>NC_000015.10:36913237-37216267 GCF_000001405.40 Homo sapiens | reverse complement strand
CTTACTTTTGCCCTGGTTTCTCTTTTCTTTAAAGGGACGTGGTAATTTTGGTTCTTTTCCTATTTAGAAAAAAAAAGAAAAAAAACAGATGTTGTTATAAGACAATGTAGATAAAACTTCAACTGATAAAAGATATCAAAAGCAAGCTAATATAAAACCTTATTTAATCCAATATTCCAATGATATGGGTCAGCCTTATAATTGATATACAACTAACATGTAAAAGAAGTCCTCAAAATCAGAATCCAGACTTCTGTTTTTTGTAGAGGGGAAAAGAAGATCACAAATACTTTAAGCACGTTCTACCTGGGTGCCCTCAGACAAACCAACAGTGATTTTCATTTTGCCAAAGCCAATGATAACTCAGCAGCATTTGCCATAGATATCAATTCTCATCTTTCTGGCTTCCATGACACCATGATCTCCTACTTTTCCCAGCATGCCACTCACTAATCCAGCTTTTCAGGTTCTATCGCTGGCTCTTTCTCCTCTGCAGTCCTTAGGCCTTCATTTCTTCTCTCTCTCTCTCTTTTTTTTTTTTTTCACTTTATTATACTTTAAGTTCTGGGATACATGTGCAGAACGTGCAGGTTTCTTATATGAGTAGACACATGTCATGGTGGTTTGCTGCACCCATCAACACATCACCTACATTAGGTATTTCCCCTAATGCTATCCCTCCCTTATTGCCCCACCCCACAACATGCCCGGTGTGTGATGTTCCCCTCCCTGTCCATGTGTTCTCATTGTTCAGCTCCCACTTATGAGTGAGAACATGTGGCGTATGGTTTTCTGTTCCTGTGTTAGTTTGCTGAGAATGATGGTTTCCAGCTTCATCCAAGTCCCTGCAAGAACATGAGCTCATCCCTTTTTACGGCTGCATAGTATTCCATGGTGTATATGTGCCACATTTGCTTTATCCAGTCTAACATTGATGGGCATTTGGGTTGGTTCCAAGTCTTTGCTATTGTGAATAGTGTGTAATAAACATACGTGTGCATGTGTCTTTATAGTAGAATGATTTATAATCCTTTGGGTATATACCCAGTAATGGGATTGCTGGGTCAAATGGTATTACCGGTTCTAGATCCTTAAGGAATTGCCACACTGTCTTCCACAATGGTTAAACTAATTTACACTCCCACCAACAGTGTAAAAGTGTTCCCATTTCTCCACATCCTCTCCAGCATCTGTTGTTTCCTGACTTTTTAATGAATGCCATTCTAACTGGCATGAGATGGAATCTCACTGTGGTTTTGATTTGCATTTCTCTAATGACCAGTGATGATGAGCTTTATTTCATGTTTGTTGGCTGCATAAATATCTTCTTTTGAGAAGTGTCTGTTCATATCCTTTGCCCACTTTTTGATGGGGTTGTTTTTTTCTTATAAATTTGTTTAAGTTCCTTGTAGATTCTGGATATTAGCCCTTTGTCAGATGGATAGATTGCAAAAATTTTCTCCCATGTAGGTTGCCTGTTCACTCTGATAATAGTTTCTTTTTTTGTGCAGAAGCTCTTTAGTTTAATTAGATCCCATTTGTCAATTTTGGCTTTTGTTGCCATTGCTTTTGGTGTTTTAGTCATGAAGTCTTTGCCCATGCCTATGTCCTGAATGGTATTGCCTAGGTTTTCTTCTAGGGCTTTACTGGTTTTAGGTCTTATGTTTAAGTCTTTAATCCATCTTGAGTTAATTTTTGTATAAGGTATAAGGAAGGAGTCCAGTTTCAGTTTTCTGCACGTGGCTAGACAGTTTTCCCAACACCATTTATTAAATAGGGAATCCTTTCCCCATTGCTTGTTTTTGTTAGGTTTGTCAAAGATCAGATGGTTGTAGATGTGTGGTGTTATTTCTGAGGCCTCTGTTCTGTTCCATTGGTCTATGTATCTGCTTTGGTACCAGTACCATGCTGTTTTGGTTACTGTAGCCTTGTACTATAGTTTGAAGTCAGGTAGCATGATGCCTCCAGCTTTGTTCTTTTTGCTTAGGATTGTCTTGGCTATGTGGGCTCTTTTTTGGTTCCATATGAAATTTAAAGTATTTTTTCTAATTCTGTGAAGAAAGTCAATGGTAGCTTGATGGGGGTAGCATTGAATCTATAAATTACTTTGGGCAGTATGGCCGTTTTCACGATATTGATTCTTCTTATCCATAAGCATGGAATATTTTTCCTTTTGTTTGTATCCTCTCTTATTTCCTTGAGCAGTAGTTTGTAGTTCTCCTTGAAGAGGTCCTTCACACCCCTTGTAAGTTGTATTCCTAGGTATTTTATTCTCTTTGTAGCAATTGTGAATGGGAGTTCACTCATGATTTGGCTCTCTGTTTCTCTATTATTTGTATATAGGACTTTTTGTGATTTTTTGCACATTGATTTTGTGTCCTGAGACTTTGGTGAAGTTGTTTATCAGCTTAAGGAGATTTGGGGCTGAGACGATGGGGTTTTCTAAATATACAATCATGTCATCTGCAAACAGAAAAAATTTGACTTCCTCTCTTCCTATTTGAATACCCTTCATTTCTTTCTCTTGCCTGATTGCCCTGGCCAGAAATTCCAATACTATGTTGAATAGGAGTGGTAAGAGAGGGCATCCTTGTGCTGGTTTTCAAGGGGAATGCTTCCAGCTTTTTTCCATTCAGTATGATATTGGCTGTGGGTTTGTCATAAATAGCTCTTATTATTTTGAGATACTTCCCATCAATACCTAGTTTATTGAGAGTTTTTGCATGAAGGGGTGCCGAATTTTGTCAAAGGCGTTTTCTGCCTCTATTGAGAAATCATGTGGTTTTTGTGATTGGTTCTGTTTATGTGATGGATTATGTTTATTGATTTGTGTATGTTGAACCAGCCTTGCGTGCCAAGGATGAAGCTGATTTGATCATGGTGGATAAGCTTTCTGATGTGCAGCTTGATTCGGTTTGCCAGTATTTTATTGAGGATTTTTGCACTGAAGTTCATGAGGGATATTGGCCTGAAATTTTCTTTTTTTGTTGTGTCTCTGCCATGTTTTGGTATCAGGATGATGCTGGCCTCACAAAATGAGTTAGGAAGGAATTCCTGTTTTACTATTTTTTAGAATAGTTTTAGAAGGAATGTTACCAGCTCCTCTTTGTACCTCTGGTAGAACTCGGCTGTGAATCCGTTTGGTCCTGGGCTTTTTTTTTTTTTTGGTTGGTTTATTTCTTCTCCATCTATCCATGCTTTAGCCGCTTTGAATTCGTTCAGCTCAGTCACGTGGTTCTAATCATCATCCATAAGCCAGACTCTTAACATCGACTGTCTATGTGACATTTCCACATAGCCGTATGAAACATATATCTAAAACAAAAACAAAAAACGAGATTCCCCCAATCCTACTCTTCCTTTGGTCTCTCCCAATTCAAAAGGAAACTTTATTAAAAAGTCGGAATATAACAGATAGTAGCAAGATTGTGGTGAAAAAGAAATGCCTATACACTGTTGGTAGGAATGTAAATTAGTTCAACCATTGTGGAAAAAGGTGTGGCGATTGTCAAAGGCCAAAAGATGGAAATACCATTCGGCCCAGCAATGCCATTACTGGGTATATACCCAAAGGAATATAAATCATTCTATTATAAAGACATATGCATGCATATGTTCATTGCAGCACTATTCACAGTGGCAAAGACATGAAATCACCCTAAATGCTCATCAATGATAGACTGGATAAAGAAAATGTGGTACATATACACCATGGAATACCATGCAGCAACAACAACAACAAAAAAGGAGATCATGTACTTTACAGGGGCATGGATGGAACTGGAGGTCATTATTCTTAGCAAAGAATAATGAATAAACTAACACAGGAACAGAAAAACAAATATGACATGTTCTTATTTATAAGTGGGAGCTAAGTGATGAGAACACATGGACACATAGAGGGGAACAACACACACTGGGGCTTTTTGGAGGGTGGAAAGTGGGAGGAGGGAGAGGATCAAGAAAAATAACTAATGGGTACTAGGCTTGATACCTGAGTGATGAAATAATATGTACATCAAACCCCCATGACAAAAGTTTACCTATGTAACAAACCTGCACTTGTACCCCTGCCCTTAAAATAAAAGTTCGAAAAATAAAAAGTAAAAATAAAAATAAAACAATTTTTAAAACACACAAAAAAACAAAACCAAAACAGCACTATCTCCCCAGCAATGCAAGCTAAAATCCTAGGAGTGATTCTTATTTTCTACATTTGGTTCACCCTCAACATCCAATTTTTCATGTAACCTTGATAATTCTGCCCTAAAACATATTTTATACACAAACAATTCTATCTCTGCTTTTATCCTCATAGTCCAGATAACCATCTGTGCTTTGAACTAACACAGTGGCTACCCAGCTACTCTTCATCCATTCTTGCCTTCTTAGATCCATTCTCTGCACAGTAGCTGTATCGTTTCACTGTATATGTGTATTGTGTCACTCTCCTGCTTAAAAATCTTCCAATGGCTGCCTATCAGAGAAAAATCCAAAATTTCCTACCCTGGCTTATAAAGCTAACATGTTTGCCCCCTGCCTGTCTCTCTTGCCTCAACTTTCATGATCCCCTGTTCCGTATGCTTAAGCCACAGAAAACATTTTTTCTTTCTGTTTCTCAGTCATTCATGGCTTATTCCTGCCTTACAACTTTTCACTAATAGGAACTCTGCCTAGGATGCTTTTCTCTCAAACTTTGCCAGCTGACTGCTTCTTGTCATTAATCTATCAGCTTGAATGCCATCTTTTCAAAGAGGCCTTCCCAAATCAACCATGCCAGCTCCATAAAGAAAGATCCTTGTCCATTTGTTCTTAGGCCTCTTCCCAACACCTAGAACATGAGTAGCACATAGTTGACACTCAATAAATATTTGTTGAATGAATGAATAAAATAACTACATTTTTTTCCTGACTGTAAAATAAAGGAATTGAGTTAGGTAATTACTAAGGCTTCTCTTGTTTAATCATGCTAGGTAAATTAGTTGGTCGCCAGTAATGTGGGCACTTGAATCTTCTCTGTTTCCATCAATTCATCCATTTGAAAAGATTTTCTCTTCCAACTATGAAAGCTGATAATAACCAATATTCCTGAGCATGACAATGCCATACCTTCATGATGTAATATTAATTACAGCTATTTTTATTAGCCATAAGCACCAGCACCATTTTTTCAGAGCTACATTGACATACACCTGCTGTTAGTGTTTGATTTATTTAGTCATAGCAAAAAATTTACATGCCAATGTAAATAGGGATGAGAGAGGAATACACGCTATTTCATAATTTATCACTATATGAGGTCCTACCATCTATTTTTTAAACAGAAAAGACAGAGAAACACTTCTACTATTAGACTAATACACAATAAAAATATATTTGTGTCTCACTTTATTCTCTTCACATACACACTTCTTTTATTTTACTGCCTCTGCATGACACATACCTATTTCAGGATGGTGTGATTTAACTCATTTAATCTGAGCCCTTAAGAACTTTTTTCTGTCCAGTTTTATGATTATTATTACCTATCATATTTTACAATCTGGATGAATTTCTTGAAAACCAATTAAAACTGTAGGTATGTTGTATCCTACTGGAACTCAAAATGCCCAGATCAGCTGAGGACTTTGTAGTTATCCCAGCTATGAACAAAACAATAAATGTTCGTGTACTTCAAAGATTTATGTGGCTAAAATTTTCCATTTTATATATATCTGTAGTTATATCACTTGTTGGTCTCACCCTCTAGATCTTCTTAAAAGAAATGACTGTGAAGCCAGGTGCAGTGGCTCACGCCTGTAATCACAGCACTTTGAGAGGCTGAGGCAGGTGGATCACCTGAGGTCAGGAGTTCAAGACCAGCCTGGCCAACCCTGTCTCTACTAAAAATACAAAAAATTAGCCGGACATGGTGGCAAATGCCTATAATCCCAACCACTTGGGAGGCTGAGGTGGGAGAATCGCTTGAAGCCGGGAGGTGGAGGTTGCAATGAACCAAGATCGTGCCATTGCAATCCAGCCTGGGCAACAAGAGTGAAACTCTATCTCAAAAAAAGAAATAAGAAAGAAATGACTGTGTCTTATATACTTCTTTGCTGTTCAGACTCGTGCATAGAAGTTCAATATGAACATGAAGAGTTAAATGTTGAAATACTAAGCGACTTCTTTTCTTTTATTAAAACACATGTTCAATATGGACACAGGGAGGGAAACATCACACACCAGGGCCTGTCAAGGGGTGTGGGGCAACAGGAGGGAGAGCATTAGGACAAATACCTCATGCATGTGGGGCTTAAAACCTAGATGATGGGTTGATAGGTGCAGCAAACCATCGTGGCACATGTATACCTATGTAAGAAACCTGCACGTTCTGCACATGTATCCTGGAACAAAGTAAAATAAAAAATAAAACACATGTTCATTTGATTTTCAAAACTAAAATATTTATATATTTCATCCACAAACACAAAAATATCAGTGTCATCATGCAATTGCTTCTTGTAATGTATTACACTAAATGGTGGCTATAATTATAGACACACCCCTATGTATTTTACGACTACATCTCTTTTTATTTTTCAAAGATGCCGGTCCATATTCCAGGGCTGAGCAAAAGACGCATGTTTTTTGATCATCTTCCAATGGGTCATTTCTGCAACATTTTCCAAGAATAACAAATAGTCTTAAACACACAGAGCCTGTGAACTCATCCTATGATTATTTCAGGTTAGCTACATGAAAGCAAGTTTTACCCCAGATATCCCATGGGCCCATGTGTGGGAGACATGAACACATTGTCATTAATACTTGATATCTGATAGTTATGGGTAGAAACAACCCTTTCCTTTTAGGGAAAATACAAACTTTAAGCAACATTCCATTTATGTACATCAATATTTGCAGAAGTAAATATCTAACAGCACCACCCACATAGTTATTTGTTGATCCATTCCTGTAGTCTATCAATCTTTTTTCAATCCTGTGTTCATGGCTAGAATGATGTAGCAGTGTATGTTGTATCTCTATGATAATTTAATTTAACTGCAGTGTGCTAGGGTCTAGATTGCTCCCCTTAGCAGCCAGGGGTGACCGCAAACAGTGCCAGAGCCTAGATTGTTGTCAGCAATACTTACTGGCTGAAGAGAGGTTTGAAAGAATGTCACATTCTACAGAAATATCCAGCAATAAGAGTCAGAGTGTATACAAGGAAATATATACAGGTATTTTAATAAAACCATACATTTCTTTGTCAAAACAGTTGATAGCTGATTAGCTAACAAAATCTCTCATCTGCATTTCCATCTCTGTATGAGTCTGTATGGTCTCTACTTGCTCCAGGCATGTTTCCTTAATGGCTTTATTTATACAGATAATCTGAAAATGAAGTAAATGGCTGAGCTAAATGAGAGTACAAATGGAAAAAAAAATAATTCTGCTAATATATGTTCTCTTTTTTCTACCCACACAAAAATAAATTCAACTTGAAAAATCAAAGGAAAGAAACAAATGGCTCTTCCCCCCTTTAATTACCACATTTAGGCAGAACTGTAAGTACACACACCATTTCAGCACATGGCTTGGATGTGAGTGATGCCACAGGGTGCTGAACTAAAATGCTTGACTCAGAAAGTGCTCTTTAGTCATGCACTCCTCTGTCAGTCCTTATTTCTGTGAAGTAGGAATCAAAAAATAAAATGATAGGGATCCCAGCACTATGATGGCAATAACATTCTCTTTTTTTTTTTCCTTTCATAGGCTAGCATCGTAGGAAAGTAATTATCCCCCACAAACTGTGAAAAAAAAGAACTATTTGGTGACACTAGAAAATATATGGGTGGTTATAGAAATGGAAATTTATTATCATATGATTTTGAATCAGCTTCAAATAATGACTCAAGCACTCCACACGAGTGATGCTGATTAGCAATGGCCTACCACAGGTTGTGGGATTTCTGATTAGCAATTTCACCTCAACGGTAAGAACTAGTGCAATGTGTACACAATCCAATTGGGAAGAGAAAGAACAAAATTATTCCCAAGGCTATTTTGGACACTAAACACCATTGTCTCAAGCAAAATGAAAGGAGAGGAAATTAGAAACTGGTGCAACTGTCCACTAGCTTGTTCTCCAGGAGACCCAGGTGCTGATGACAGAGACATATTCTGAGATATTATCATATTCTTCCTTTTCCTGGAGTGACATTTATCATCTATCCCAATGTGGTTATTGTATCATAGTTATGAGAAACCTCAGGGTTGTAAGGGACTTCGACTGTCTCTTGTTAAGTACTCAAACTCATTCCAGTATTAATATGAAGAGGTTCTTTTTTCACACTTATGATCTTTTATTTTTTTATCTACTCCAGCACAAGGCTTTAATAGTAAGGGAGTTCCTAGAAGGAGTTATTTCAAACCACGTACTGGTCACTTGTTGTTTTTACTCACTACTAACTCGGTTTCTACCAAACAAATCAGCACTATCTTCTATGTTTCCTACTGATTTCATAAACATATATCTTGTTTCCCAAATTAAGCTGCAAATTTATCCATGATGAAGTCTGTGTCTCATATGTAAGCTATTGCATCTGCCAAAATACCTGCAAGCATGAGTCTTTGGTACCTTGAAGGTTCCCATAAATACTTGTGGCTCAATGATAAAATTGGGACTGCTTTTTGGCATAAGAACAGAGTATAGATATCAATAATGAGAAGTTTTATTTATTCATTTATTTATTCCACAAAGTTTACTGAGTGTGGGTTCCATCCACAGGGATACACCGATTAAAGAAGAATCCGTCCTGCCCTCAATGAGCTAACAGTTTATAAGAGGAGGCCAACTGCAAATAAATACTTATAGTGTCTTAGGATACATGCCACGATCAAAGTTTGTATAAGGTTTAGCAGAAAGGAATAGTTCATAGAAGTAAAGTTTGACTTGGTTCTTAAAAAGTATGTTTATAAGGTGGAAGATGATGGAAAGATTTTTCAAGGCAAAGGGAAAAATACCAATTGTTACAGCTGAAATACAGTGAAGGTGGGAGTTATGAGAGAAAGAGTTGAAGAGGGAAGTGTCCAAAATTTTAAATACACTCTGCCCACAGACTATGTTTAGTCGTCAGAAATTTCTGCAAGTGCTGCCTTCAGAACCCATTCTCCTGTTCTACCTCATCTTAATGGTAGAATGTCCTCTTCCAATTCAGTTCAAATCCTTGAGCACACCTTTATGGAGGACACAAGCATTATCTCCCCTTCATTCTTCTACTCATAGCATGAGCCAGATTCTGAAGTTCCCTGCTCAGAAGACAACCCAGGCCTCTCACACAACTGCTTACACTAACAAAGGCCTAGATGGTAAACCTGGCCAGGGAAGTTTTGTGTGCCTTGCTAAAGCATTCGGACTTTATCCTCTAGTGTAAACAATGGGGAGACTTTTTTATACTTTGTCCAGAAAGCCCTAACGAAAGCATTAATATATAATAGGATATAACTAGAAAGGCATTACATCTAGATCATAACCTTTGATTTCCATTATGGTCTTCTGAGAACTAATGGGATAATTAACTTAAGCCATTAATACAGGTAAACATTTGATCTACTGTTGTTCAGATTTTGGAAATAGAATATGAATCAAGCCTTGGAAACATATTAATATTCTACCCTGCAGATGTAAGTACTATTCAGAGAACCTTTTTCTGATATCCATATGTCATTACATATGGATGTTTTTTTTTACTTTTTATTTTTATTATACTTTAAGTTCTAGGGTACATGTGCACAACGTGCAGGTTTGTTACATACGTATACATGTGCCATGTTGGTGTGCTGTACCCATTAACTCGTCATTTATATTAGGTATATCTCCTAATGCTATCCCTCCCCCCTCCCCCCATCCCACGATAGGCCCCAGTGTGTAATGTTCCCCTTCCTGTGTCCAGGTGTTCTTATTGTTCAATTCCCACCTATGAGTGAGAACATGTGGTGTTTGGTTTTCTGTCTTTGCGAAAGTTTCCTGAGAATGATGGTTTCCAGCTTCATCCATGTCCCTACAAAGGACATGAACTCATCCTGTTTTATGGCTGCATAGTATTCTATGGATGTGCCACATTTTCTTAATCCAGCCTATCATTGATGGACATTTGGGTTGGTTCCAAGGCTTTGCTATTGTGAATAGTGCCGCAATAAACATACGTGTGCAACACATGGATGATTTATTAATCATCAGATGTATTTTTAAATACTACACAAATGCAGATTATAATGTGCCAAATAATCATGCACTATAGTGCATGATTTGTATGACAGAGTTCTCTATTTAACATGGGGGTTCCGTTTTTCTGGAGGCAATCTCTTCAGAAAAGATTGGCCTCTTGCCTCTGCTGTTTTTCAGTGAGTAAAGCAGCTTTACATTACAGCCTAAGAGAGGGATTCATTTTTCTTACCCTAGCTAGCGATCATTGCAGTCATTGGTGGAGCACTATCTCCTATCAAACTTCAAACTGCATTTCAAGTTTCAGTAGTCCTAGTAAATCTATGAAGATGGCATTCCTTTGATGAAACTGTACAGTTACAATTAGGACAACAATGCTTAGTTAAAGATTGTTTTTTAAAAGTTAAGGACTCCAATAAAAAAAAAAAAAAAAAAAAAAAAAGAATCCTGTACATGGTGGTACAGGTTATGTGCTGGCCAGCTCCAGGAAGAACCATTCATAGTCATCACAGATTTCTTTATTAGGACTATTGTTCTGCAGGAAAATGTCTTAAGGGAAGAGAGACCTCTTCTAATTTCCACGAACGTGCCATATGGGCTAGCAGTACAAGTGTAACACATGATATTTTACTAAATTTATAAATTGGTAGTATTTCTTCTTAATTCCCAAACCCATGCACAAAGTTTTGATTGTAAACATTAAAAAGGAAACAAAACTGAAAGTATTTGAAAAGTTCGAGTGATGTTTTATAGTACTAACTCTGGAAGGAGACTGAAATTGAAAGTAATTTTTAAAATAGTAACATAAGAGTTAAATAGATAGATGAAAATATAAAAAATGCAAGTTCAGAAGAAAAATATCACCATAAAAATATGATTTGATGGTTAAGAGTCACAATGACCTTGAAGGTAGAAAGGCCGCACCCACTCATTTTTACTGATCATACTTTATTAACAAAACAAAGATGAGAATATCAGAAACCCGGATTGCACTGTTAGTGATTTAATAGTGTCCAGAAAAATTTTCTGAGTCTTTATACTGTCTTGAAATCCAGCCTAACTGGGAAAGATCACAAGTCATTTAACCCTAGAGTTGTACCATTTTCCTTCTATCCACAGTAGGGATAAATCAGCTTAGAGCAAAGCATGTTAGAAGCTGAGATACAATGCTGCCCTCTGTGTAGAAATATTAAAACAACAGTTGTCTTGACTGCCATACTTAAAGGACTTCTATACAAAGACTTCATTTTTTTCTTCTTCTTATTCATGTTTTTATTTATTTGTTAGAGTAAGCAAATAAGGAAAAAAAGAAAATTATATTGGCAGAGGCTGACCTCTATTTTAAGTAATTTGTAGCTAAAAAGCTTACAGACTAAAACATGTAAATATATGCAGATCTGAGAGCAAGACCTCAGAAGTGAAATAGCTGAACAAGATTGAAGAGAATACAGGCCACACACAGGAAAATCGCTGGTGCTCTTAGCAACCTGGAAACCTGAAATGAATTATTATCTGGGTCCTATTGTGACCTACTTAGTATCCTGGGAGCATGTTGGCATAAGAAGAAATTTGGGGCTATAGGAATCACTTATTTACTTGACCTCAAAGAAACGGGAACCAGTAGGATGCCTGCTGAGTCTGCCCAGTGAGCAGACACAGCTATAGTTATAGCCCAACCACAGCATGCTCAGGTGCTCACCCCGCACCATGGACAAAGGCAGCCTAAGCCTGTGTCCTCTGCTGAGTTTCTCTTTCACTGGAATATGCTGTATCTAAGTGGTAACCATTCCTAATGATAGCAGTAGACAAAAGGCAAAATGTACACCCCACCAATGTTCTCACTCTTTTCAAGTCTCTATTTTCTTTAATTATGTCACAATGAGAAGAACCGAGCATGCATTTTAGATTAAAGTTAGAATGAGAAAACAGTCTTGTGAATAAAAGAACAATGCATTTCTTTAAAATGGAGAATATAGGTGAATAGAAATGGGGAATATTTACAGGAAGGCCGAGAGAATAAACATGACACTTCCCCAAACCTCAAGCATTCTTGCTAACAGACTTCGACTACATTAAAGAGCTGGGATGATCCAAAGAGAACATTAGTTCTAGCTGTTAGGGTGTACGGATGAGGAATAAAAGTACAAAATCTCAATACTACTCAAAGTGCCAGATCTGAACTCAACTATCCAAACCCTCTGATTTTATGCTTTCACCTCACGCTGCTCCCTGCAATAAGTGTCCTTTCAAAGTCTCCTTGAACATAAATTGTTTCTCATAGCACCATGAATCACAGGGGTTTGAGTAAGGTGAGCTGAGGTAAAGGTGATTGCTCTCAGCCTTATTTTTCTCTTTTGAGGCGGAATCTACCAAGGAACAAAATTGTGCCCTCCACTTCAGTCAAAGCAGACATGAGTCATCCTTGAAATTGGATCCTACACTTAATTTTGCTTGTGTACATCTAGTGTATAATATATGTCTCACAAATGAATTCTTTCAGAAGAGCCAAAGCCTGAGATGCCATGATTGATGGAAAATTCCAAGTAACCTAATTAACATGAATAAGGAAGTTATCAAATATGAAAACTTTAGGTGAATTAACTGCCATCCAGTATGTTATGATGTGATGAATAATGGGCATCTGGAGTTTTATTAATGAATATCTAATGGGAAAGATAGAACTGGCACCAACAAGTTTAATCCCCAATAATGTGTAAAACAAGCCTAAGCTAAAACCAGGAGCTCTGTAGGCGCCAGCCCCTATGACCTACAATAGGAAACATCTTAATCCACAGGTGTGTTAGCAGAAAGACACATGCCAGCCAGCCCACAATGTATTCATGGGACAGGAAGCTCAGTTTTAAATCACTGCAGCCATTATTCTCTGAGTGAGTGTATCTATGTACTGTCCGGAGAATCACCAAAGTCAGTGGTGGTTACCTGTACTTAGCAAGGTAATCAGACAGAGAAGAAAACCTGTTTTCCTAATAGATATGTGAATAACATTACAGCAAATTCTTATATATTGGCATAGGTATCACTCACAACTGGATATACTTATTTTTTGTTTTTTATAAAAGCTTTAAATTAACAGGATTTCTTTTAAGCACAGTTAGCCTTACTTGTGGCGACAATAAATGCTGCTTAGGAGGGGCAATTTGAGAGGCCCCAAAATACCTCCAGAACAAGGTTGCTGTTGCCTGAAATTCTACCATTAAAGGCCCATTAGACACTGCCCCTCATTTTGTGTATGGCTAGCCCCAAGAAAGATAACATGTGCAATCTCCTATAAGTCAATGGTGAATATTCACACAGAGATGTTAGTTTCCTTCCAACCAAGAGCTACCATGGAGAAAATTTTCATGAAAAGGGAGGAGAAAACAGAAAGATCCTGATCTGAGTCTGCTGCTTAAGGGGAAAGTCACGTGGATTTGGATCCCTGCATAGCCATATCATGGAGTCAGTAGGTTAAATGAAGGAAATGAAAGAACTCCAACTTAATCTTGCAGTTCCTTAAAAGTATCATGCTCTTCTTGCATCCAATCTTTGCACAAGTTGTTCTTTCCTGGAAGTCTCCTTAATCCAAGAAAGTTTCCCCTCATTTCTCCTGGCTGAGAACTTTTTAAGATCAGATAAATTATCTTGTTTATCCTATCACAATGACTAGAATATTATATATATCCAATAATTTTTAAATGACAAATGAGGAAATTAGAGTTAAAAAGGCACCTAAGATCAATCCCACTTTGGTCACAATTTTGCCTTAGACCACTCTAATTAAAAACAAAAAAACTTATTTCCCCAGTGTGTCTGTATCATTAAGATGAAAACACATTTGGCAAAAAAAAAAAAAAAAAAAAGCTAGTGATGAATATGGTCATATATTAGAATTGCATGCACAAAAACCTTCAAATGCACATTTAAGAGAAAATATTCATCTTACTAAAAATCATTAATGCTAAAAATAAAACAACTATCAATGCAACTGTGCTTATCTTAGAATATCATATCATTTAAACAAATAAGAAGAAAACAGAAACTCAAGAATGCAATTTTCCTAGTTCATATAATTGTAGACACTTTAAAGGAAAAAAATTCTGAGATTTTCTAACATTTTTAAATTAGCGAAAAGTTCTCCAAATTCTAACTTTCCACTTATGACAACTATTTTTGTTCATTTTCTACTTCTTCTAAACATTCTGTATTTCTTTCAAAATCTCTTAATTTCATACGTATTTAAATTTTAACATATCCTTTTCAAGAAGGAGTAAAACACATACAAAAAAAATTAGAGACTAAAAGCTTCAATGAAGGCTCAAGCCAATATCTGTTGGGTTACATTCTGCTTTCCTGGTGGTGAACCCCTAGTTGACAAGAACTAGTGAATTGAGAGAGAGAGAGAGAGAGAGAGAGAATCTATGGGTCATTTCATTCTCAACTTACTAATGATTGGCACCCTCTTTAGACATTTAGTAATCAAAACCTGGGTCTAGGAGCTTTACAGTATATTCATTTCCTTTTATAAGAAATGAAATAACATTTAAAGTCTATATATTGATTTTCCTTAAGAAAGTGCCCTTAATGGGCTCACTAACAGGAACAAGATGGCAGGGACAGAAATAAAAGCATGGAAACTTAAAATTCTAAAGATGAGTGCTTCTCTTTCCTGGAGTAGATTAATACACAGATTAGAAATTATTTAAATTCATCATTTGATTAAGTAAATTTCTGTTAAGTGAGAAAAGTTTTTGCACTTAAGGTGCTTTGCTCTTTGTCTAAAGGAAGAGAGGAATAAAAGGGAAAGAAGGAAGAGAAGAATTGGAGGAAAAGACTATAGAAGATACTTACATTTGTAGTTGGATGTTATAAAACTTAAGAAAATTGGGGGGTTGCTTTCTGATACAAGCTTACTGAAAGGTGATTTTCGTAATATGAATCAAAGCTTTCAAAATCTGCATATACTTTGATTCACTAATTCCACTTCCAGAAATTTCTTCCAACAAAATTATAAAACAAGTGTGTTTAGATTTATGCATATGGATGTTTATTGATACCTTATTTATTAGAGTGAAAGCAAATTTAGGATGAGAAGTACTTGATTAAATAAATGGTATTCCATGATGATGTAGATGGATATTTGTTGACATTGAAAAATATTTGATATCTTTTGTTATGTAAAAAAGAAAATTACAAGTCAACATATTTGGTACAATCCCATTTTGTAATATGCTTTTGTGTATTTAATATATTGTAAGAATATTTTTTCTAAGAATATTCACTCATGTTTATGTAATATACACCTGAGACAATATATGTACCACACATATACACATACATATATGTAATATACACCTAAGAAAAATAATTAAATACTAAAAGTTGTTATTAATAAAGGTTGAAATCAGTTGTTTTAGTGTTTGCATAGACTGGTTTTTAGTAGCATATATAATACAGTTAATAAGTATAAGAAAAATAATAAAGTAAACTATTCTTAAAATCTGTTATAGACATTAAACCCAGAGAAAGATATGATGATGATGATGATATTTGCCTTTAAAGTTGACAACACTATTTTTACTAGTTCAGTTTTTATTCAAGACTAGAAAAAGACAAAAGTGATTGAGCCCTGAAAGTTTTCCTCCATCTAAGTACCTCTCTCAGACTTACTATTTATTTACCACATCTGGGACATGACTACAAATCGGTTCCCAACTTGGGAATACACAAACCCCCCAAACTAATATGTAATACAAATTGTTTCATCATCCCATGGTTAACAATCGTGAAGAATTATTGGTATTATAAATAATATTCAATTGAAATTTTAGAACAGATATGGCTCTGCCTGAGTCGTTTATTGGAAAATCATTTGTTTCACATCAGTTTTGGCATCCAGTATTCAACGTGAATTATGTGGTTATAGCCCAGTTTATTATATTTCTGTTTGTTCCACTGTGTATATATGTGTCTTAGGCTTTAAAAAGGTAATTTGTGTCCTCAAAGTGTATTATGTAACAAATAATGTGATTCATGCAAATCACTTTGATTTGTTTTCCAAAAATGTAGCCTGCTTCAATTAATCAGTTGCTATTCATTTCATATGTTTCAATTGCACTCACAACAAAAGCTCCAGTGGGTTATCATTTACATGGGGGGCTGGCTTCCAGAGGGTATGAAAGACACAACAATCAGACGTTACACCAAGCATACAATTATAGTGTGTGTCCCCACAAACTCCAATAAATCACACATCACATTATGCCAAACTCCCACCTCTCTGAAGTTTCCTGTTACCCGAGCCACCTACCTGCTGTAATCACAGCATTCTGTAGTGCGTGGGTGCACAGCTTTCTACCTGCTGAGACCTATTCCATAACTCCCAATGTGTAACAAGAATCAGCAAGCGGATTGCTATATCTATGTTCTGCAGCCTGCCCATCAGGATAAATGAGTGGCTGGAAGTGCTTCGCTCCTATGCATGAACTTTGTTTAGGGAAGAAGGAAGTAAAAGCAACATGTCAATTTCAGCTGTGCTTGGAAATTGATGCTACACAATATTTTCATGTAGATTTTTTATTCAGAATGTAAAAATGGACATAACGAAAATATACTAGAGATGTTATAAACTAACTGTAAAATTCTCTTTTATAAAGGTTTTGTTTTAATTATGAGACAAGTTAAAAGATATAATTACCACTCATACTTTTACTTAAGTGTTATGTTGTCTCAACCCTATCCCATAGGATGAACTATAATAATGGACTGGAATTTGCATTTTATATAAAGTATATTATTATTTATTTTCCTAGCAATAACAGGGTACTTAGTGTCATCTAAAATAGAGGGCATTATTAAGCCAAAAGCACTTTTCTATGCCAGCTATTTATAAACTGCATGTGAATAGTTCTCAAATATAGGGTACTGAAGTGACTAATTGTGCTGGGTAGGTAGTCATTAGGAGTAAAACTGCCCACAAAGGGAAGATTTGTATATGCGGTTCTGATATTGCTCTGTCAACCATTCATTGCCAAGTTAGTCTGATGACAATGACACAAGATTATATTCAGGGACATTTCTTCTGGGGCCATTGCTGTGGAAACAAGTAAGGGTCAGAAGAATGAAGCATAGACATATTTCCACCATGTCTGTATACTGAGGCTGAACTGCATTGAGGGGAGGATGCAGAGCTCTATGCCATATGATTGGCATCCCTGTGGCATCATATGCAATCATATGGCATACAGCTCTTCAAACCTGTATGTGTTTTCCTATCAATGAGCCAAATCCCTATTCCAACAAGGTGAAGTTCACAAACAATAGTTAAAAGTATTCCAAAGGAAAATTTTCAACTTTGACATTGGTGCTAATGCATTTTACACTTCTAAGTTTCTATTCTCATTCTTCTAATTTTTAATAAATTAAAGAAAAAATAAAAGTGAATGAACATTCATTTGTTGAGTAATTTGTTGTGTTATTAGTAATCAGAACTTTATCCATGGCATTGAATGTAATAATCACAGCACAGTAAAGGATAGCAATCCACATTTGAACCAACAAAGGGTCAAAACAGGTAAGCAGCAATACCAGCAAAGCCAAGCCCTAGTACTGCAGTCTGTCTTGTGTCTAAGACCTGTGCTCTTTCTACTAAATCAGGTTTTCTCCTTTGATTTACTATGGAAAAGGAGAAATGCTTAGCTGTAAACTATGATGAAGTATTTGTTTTATTGCATTACCTATAAAAGATTTTTCTTTGTGAAAGATATACACAAAATATTTTTAAAATAATGTCCTGATCATCCAATTTCTGTTAAGAAATAGGAAGTTGCAGTAGACCATTACCATAGGCTGAATAATACTCCCCTCTAAAGATGTCCATCTCCTAATCTCTGAAGTTTGTGAATTATGTGACCTTATAAGACCAATATGGTTTGGCTGTGCCCCACCCAAATCTCATTTTTAATTGTAATCCCCATAGTCCTCATATGTCATGGGAGTGACCTGGTGGGAAGTGATTGGATCATGGGGGCGGTTTCCCCCATGCTGTTCTCAATTAATCAGTTGCAATTCATTTCATATGTTTCAATTGCACTCGTTATAGTGAGTGAGTTCTCACGAGATCTGATGGTTTTGCAAGCATCTAGCATTTCCCTTGCTGGCACTCACTCTCTCTCCTGCCACCTTGTGAAGAAAGTGCCTGCTTCTGCTTTGTCTTCTGCCATGATTGCAAGTTTCCTGAGGACTCCCCAGCCATCATGCAGAACAGTAAGTCAATTGAACCTCTTTTTATAAATTACCCAGTCTCAGGTATTTCTTTATAGCAGCATGAGAACGGACTTATACAATGACGAAAGCACATTGCACGTGTGATTAAGTTAAGGATTTTTTTTTTTTTCAGACGGAGTCTCACTCTGTCTCCCAGGCTGGAGTGCAGTGGCACGATCTCAGCTCACTGCAACCCCCGCCTCCCAGGTTCAAGCAATTCTCTGCTTCAGCCGCCCGAGTAGCTGGGATTACAGGCGCCCAAAGTTAAGGCTCTTGAAATGGAGATATTATCCTGTGTTATATAGGTGGGCCCTACGTAATCACAGGGTTCTTCTGAAAGGAAGGGAAACGGGTCAAAGTCAGGAAGTAGATGTGATGACAGAACTGGAATAGTGGTCTTTGAAAATGGAGAAAGGAACCATAAGCCAAGGAATGCAGAAAGCCTTTAGAAGCTGGGAAAGGGAGGGGAATGGATTCTCTTCTAGAGCCTCAGAAAGAAATGCAACTCCTGCTAACACCTTGATTTTAGCCCCATAAAACTCATTTCAAACTTCCTACCTCCAGAATTATAAAATAATAAATGTGTGTTGTTTTAAGACACTAAATTTGCAGTAACTTTTTACAGCAACAACAAAACTAACACAATTAGCCCCACCTTAAAAATTGAAACACAACTGATAAAAGTACAAATTATACCTTCTTTTTTTTTTTTTTTTTTTTTTTTTTTTTTTTTTTTTGGGAGACAGACTTTCACTCTTGTCGTCCAGGCTGGAGTGGAATGGCCTCGGCTCACTGCAGCCTCCGTCTCCTGGGTTCAAGTGATTCTCCTGACTCAACCTCTCGAGTAGCTGGGATTACAGGCATGCACCACCACGCCTGGCTAATTTTGTATTTTTAGTAGCCAATGATTTTTTAAAACCTAAGGAAATTAAATTTTAAAAGGGACAAGTCCTTCCAAAAAGTAAATCACATGGCTGCTTTTATTGCTGGGGAACTACAGTAGAAGTAGAAAGAGAAACTCATCTTCCATTGAGGGAGGTAAGAAGAAACCAGCACATTTAACAAAAGGTGAATGTGGGTTAGTGTGTTAGACTGCCATCTCAAGGAACCCAGCTCCTTTAGCCCAGGTTCACAGAGTGAATCTGTACCCACCCACCAACTCTTTTCCATGAGTCCATCACTAAGTTCATGGGAACAATATGCTAAAGAGTGGGGGCAAAAAAAGAGAACTGACAGAGATCTCCTCTCCAGCAACAAGGCCTTAACCAAAGCAGAAGACAGAGGATACCAAAGGCTGCAGGAGGTGGGAAGGGGTGGGTGAGTAGGACAGAGATTCCTCCTGAATTGCACAGGATATTAACTGTACCTTTCACTGACTTCAAGACAGTAGTATCCCACTGAAGGCTGGAAGCAGGGCAGAAGGGTAGACAGAGATTTCCTCAGGTTCAGAAAAACAGGACAGGTCTGGAAACCAAAAGTAATTCCCAGTAACTCAAAAATTGGAGAGTTGAGTTTTAAAACATGGAGTATCTCGAGAAAATTATGGTGTTTCTTTCTCAGGACTTGGTGAAAGGAAAGTGCTACTCCTGACTGCAAAGTATTCCAGTGGTGAACTGCATCTAACTAAATCTACCACTAAGCTTATGTTCAGCTCAACTACAGATTAGATTGACTCAGCACCCATCCTAGCAGCCTGATAGAGGAAGAGAATGCCATTGACTGGTGGTAGCTACTATTCTTGAGACAAAATGACTGCCTTACATTAAAAATTATACAACATGTGAAGAAGTAGAAAAATGTGATGCATAGGAGAAATGACGATCAACAGAAACAGGCTGACAGATGACCCAGACACTGGATTTAGCTGACAAAAATGTTAAAATAACTATGATAAATGTGTTACAGAATCTAGTAAAACTTGATGCAGGAAGATATTGAAAGTTTTAGAAGAAATATAAAACTATAAAAAGGAACCAAGTAGAAATGTTAGAGCAATATAAGAAGAGCAAAATTCATTCAATAGGCATAAGAGTATACTGGACACGTCAGAGGAAAAGATCAGTGAACTGGAAAACAGGACAATAGAAATCATCCAAACTAAAATACAAGGAATAAACAAATCTTAAACTAAACAGGAAATCCAAGACCTATTTAAAGACATCGAATCATATAATATATGTATAGTTAGAGTTCCAGAAAAAGAATGAGGAAGAAGAATTATTTTGAAGAGATAATGGCTGTGAATTTTTCAAAATTAATGAAATATATCAACCTGTGAGTCAAAAAAAAAAAAAACTTAGCAAGTCTTATGTAGGATAAATACAAAGAAAGCTACTATAGGCAAAACATAGCCAAACTACTAAAAAACAAAGGATAGAGAGAGTATCTGAAGAATGGCGATGAAAAAAGAGACACATTACATACAAAAGAAAAGAATAGTAAGAATAATTACTGATTTCTCCTCAAAAAAGGAGACCAAAAGACAATGAAATATATCTGTAAAGTACTGAAAGCAAAAAATAGAATGTTGTAGATAGCAAATATATACCTCAAAAATAAAAACAAAATAAAAACTTTCCAGACAAAGTAGAGAGGATACTTCTCAAAACTCTGTTCCATTAGATGTTCTAATAGAAATTTTTCAGTATGATAGAAAATGATACAACTTATAAGCCCGAATCTGTATGAAAAAAATAAAGACCACCAGAAAAGAAATTAAAAATTAATATTTATCCACTATCTAGGTAAATATTTAAAATATTTTTAAATTTTTTAATTTCTTTTATTTTAGATTCAGGGGATATATGTGCAGGCATGACTATATTGCATAATGCTGGGATTTGGGATTCCATTGAACCTATCACCCAAATAGTGAACACAGTACCCAATGGATAGATTTTCACCCCTTCCACCCTTCCCTCCATCCCCACTTTTGGAGTCCCTGGTGTCTATTTTTTCCATCTTTATGTCTGTGTGTACCCATTGTTTAGCTCCCACTTACAAGTGAAAACATGTGATACTTGGTTTTCTCTCTGTGCATTAATTCATTTAGGATAATGGCCTCCAGCTACCTCCATGATATTGCAAAGGACATGATTTTATCTTTTCTTGGCTGCATAGTATTCGATGTTATATAGGCACCATTTTTTTTCTTTTATCTATTCCACAGTTGATCGGCACCTAGGTTGAGTTCATGACTTTGCTATTTTGAATAGTGTAGCAATAAACATGTAGGTGCAAGTGTATTTTTGGTGGAATGATTTTTTTTTCCTTTGGGTAAATATACAGTAGTGGGATTGCTGGATGGAATGATAGTTCTCTGAGAAATCTCCATACCGCTTTCCACAGGGACTGAACAGGTTTACATTCCCACCAACAGTGTTTAAACTTTGCCTTTTCTCCATATCCTTGCCAAAAAAAAACCCTTTTTAATACATAAATATGTAACTTTTATATATAATATATAGTACATAAGTCACATTTCTATACGTATATATTTAACACAATTAAGACTTGACAATTTAAAGAAAAATTACAACAACATATTTGGGGTAATAAGACATAAAAAAGTTACATATGTAACGAAAGCACAAAGGACAAGAGGAAGGATAAATATATGCTGTTGTAAGATTTTTAAATCGTTCACAGAGTAGTAGTTGGAGGTAGACTGTAATAAATTAAAGATAAATATTATACTCTCTAGAGCACACACTAAAAAGTAATAAAAATAGTCAACAACTAAGAAAACAAAATGGAATTCCAAAAAAAATTTGATTAACCCAAAGGTAGAAAAAGAGGAACAGAGGTAGATCAGATAGTGTAAATTGAAAATAAGTACCAAGATGATAGAATTAAACTCAACTATATAAAGAATTACACTAGCTATAAATGTATTTTATGAAAAGGTAGAGGTTTCAGACTGGATTAAAGAGCAAGATTCCACTATATGTTGTCTTTTAAAAATACACTATAATTATACTGTGCAGATAAAGACACTGCACACTATATAGACAACAGATACAGGTTGAAAGAAAAGAGTGGAAAAGCTATTGTGGCTGTCAGACAAAACAGATGTTGACAAGAAAAGATACAGAGGACTGTTTTCAAAATAAAAGAGACAATTCAGTAAAAAGCAATAAGAATTCCAAATATATATGCACTTAATAACAGGGCTTCAAAATACATCAAACTAAAATTCCATCAATGGATGACTGGATAAAGCAAATGTAGTGTATATACAAAGTGGAAGACCATTCAACCTTAAGAAATGAGGAAATTCTGTCATTTTTGACAACATAGATGAAACTAGAGGACATTACATTAATTGAAATAAGCTAGGCACAGAAAGACAAATAAGATATAATCTCACTTATGTGTGGAATCTAAAAGAGCCAAACTCATAGAAGCAGAGCGTAGAATGGTAGTTACTAGGGGTGGGAATGGGAGGGTAGTTAGGGAGATGCTGTTCAAAGGTATAACGTATAAATTAGACAGGAATTTAAGAAATCTATAGTACAAAATGTTGACTATAGTTAATAATAATGTATTGTGTACTTGAGAACTGCTAAAATGGTAGATTTTACATGTTCTTGGCAAAACTAAATATGTGAGTTTAAAAAAATACATGAGCCAAAAACTGATGAAACTAAATGAAGAAATAGACAAGTCCATAATAATCGTTGGAGACTTCAACACCCCTGTCAGTAATTGATAGACCAATACAATAAAAAAGAATCGGTAAGAATATAAGAACTCTGAATAACATTATCAACCAAACTGAACAAATTAATATTTATAGAACATTCCACTACACAACTCCAGATTATAAATCCATTTGAAATTCACATGAAAATCTTAACTACAATAGATTATATGTTGGGTCATAAAAGAGGTCTGAAAAACTGTCAAGAATGAAATTGTACAGAATATTTCTCTTACCACAAGAGTATAAAATTAGAAACCAGTAAGCTATGCATAAAGCCTCAAACTTTTGGAAGATATTAAGCCATACACATCTTAAAAACCCATGTGATTAAAAAAAGAACACAATGAAAATTTTAAAAATAGTATAAACTGAATAATGATGAAAATACAAAATACGCTGGGCATGGTGGCTCACACCTCTCATCCTAGCACTTTGGGAGGCAAAGGCAGGCAGATCACCTAGGTCAGGAGTTTGAGACAAGCCTGGCCAACATGGTGAAACCCCCGTCTCTACTAAAACTACAAAAATCAGCTGGGCGTGTTGGCAGGCACCTGTAGTTCAAGCTGCTCAGGAGGCTGAGGGAGTAGAATCACTTGAACCCGGGAAGTGGAGTTTGCAGTGAGCCAAGATCGCACCACTGCACTCCAGCCTGGGTGACAGAGCGAGACTCCATTTCAAAAAGAGAATACAAAATACAAAAATTTGTGAGATACAGCTAAAGCAGTGCTTGGGAGAAACTTATATTTGAATTCCTGATTAGAGAAGAAATGTTTAAAATAAATGACAAATAATTATTATATCAAAAAAGATAGCTGCACTCATATGTTTATAGAAGCACTCTTCACGATAGCAAAGATATGGAAATAACCTAAGTGTCTATCAACAGATAACAGGATAAATAAAATATGGTGTGTGTGTGTGTGTGTGTGTGTGTGTGTGTGTGTGTGTGTGTGTATACAGTGGTATATACATAATATATATAATGTGGTATATATATAAATCAAATACCGCTCAGTTATTTAAAAAAAAAAGAATGAAGTCATGTCTTTTGTAGCAACATGCATGGAACTGGAGACCATCATCTTATATAAAATAACTCAAAAACAGAAAGTCAATACCACATGTTCTCACATATAAGTGGGAGTGAAGTGATGTGTACACATAGACATAGAGTGTGGAATAATAGGCATTGGAGATTTGAAAGGGTGGAGAGGGTGGGAGAGGTGTGAGGGATAAGAAATTACTTAATGGGTACGGTGTACACTCTTCAGGTGATGATGGTATACTAAAAGCCCAGGCTCCCCCATTGTGTGATCTATCTAAGTGACAAAACTGCACTTGTACTTCCTAAATCTATAAGAAATAAAACAAAAATAAAGTAATGACATAGAAAACAAAAAATACAGAAACTAAACAACAACTTAAATGTTAGCTCCTATTAAGGCTGGCCAAAAAAAAAAAACAACAACAAGAGAGAATAAACCCAATTGTCATTGTTCAGAATGAAAGAGAGAATGGCACTATAGGGGCTATAGCTATTAAAATAAGAAGGTTTTTAAACAATTTTATGTCAATCTCGTCAACAATCTAAATGAAATGGAAATTCTTTGAGAAATACATGTTACCAAAGCTGACAAAGAAAGAAATAGAAAAACTGAATAGCCCTATATCTAATAGAGTAAATAATTTGAAATAAAATTCACTGCCCCAGAAAAAAACTGAGGCCCTTATGGTTTAAATGAAGAATTCTACCAAACATTTAGGAGGAAATAATACCAAGCTTATAAAAACTTTTTTACAAAATAGAGAAGAAAAAATATTTCCTGACTGGTATGGAACCACAATAACCTTAATTACAAATTCAGTAAAAAATTATAAAACAAAATCAAAAAAGGGGGAGAGGATAAAATTACAGATAAAAATCATTCATGATTGTATACAAAAATCCTCAACAAAATATTATTAAACCAAACCCAACAATATATGAAACAGATGATATGTACCATAATCAATGGCATGTATATCAGGAATGCAAAGTTGATTTCACAGTCTAAAATTAATGTATTTCATCACATTAACAGAATAAAGATGAAAATCAAATGATAATAAATGCAAAAAAGTATTTAACAAAATTCAATGCATATTTATGATAAAGTTCTTAGTAAACTAGAAATAAAATAGATTTTTCTCAATTTGATAAAGGGCATCATTAAAAACTTAAGGTTAACATCAAACTTAAAGGCAAAACACTGATTACTTTCTCCCTAATGGTACAAGATTGTCTGTTCTCACATACTGTCTTAACCTTGTAGTTCATCAAAATTCTAGTCAGTGTAATAAGGCAGGAAAATATAACAAAAGGCATACAGATTAGAAAGGTAATAAAAAGAAAACTGTTCTTATTCCCAGATTATATGATAGTTATATAGAAAACCCTAAGAAATACATGGGTGACAGTGGAGGGGGGAGGCAAAGCTACTATAACTAATGCGCAAATTAAACTCATTTGTTAGCTATATGATTAAGATACAAAAATCAGTTTTATTTCTTTATATTAGTCCAAAAAATTAAATTTATAAAAATATCATTTATAAAGGCATCCCTAAAAATCAAATATCTAGAAATAATCTACCAAAAGATGTATATCATGTCCATTTTGAAAAACATAAAACATCACTAAGAAACTTTTAAAAGATCTAAATAAATGGAGAGAGAGATCATGTTCTTGATTTGAAGACTTTATATTGCTAAATATTCATTCTCCCCAAATTGATCTATGGTTCTCGCAAAAATAACAAAGTACCAGCAATATTTTTTGAATAAATTAACAAAGTGATTCTGAAATTTACATGGAAATGTAAATGAGATCCAAAACACCTTGAAAAGAAAAATGAATTTAAAAGAATTTTCGCCATCTGAACTCAAGTATTACTCAAAAGCTAAAGTAATCAAGACAGTTTTCACTGGAATAAGGACAGGTTAATAGACATACATGTAAATATGCATTGATTTTCAACAGACACAATATTCTTTGAGGAAATCAAAGTCTTTTTAACAAAATATGCTGGAAATCCTAGACAATCGTGTGAAGAAGAAAAAAAAAGACCTTTGACTCCTATCTGATGCCATACCCAAAAATCAATTCAGAATGTATTATAGACCCAAACATAAAAGCTAGAAACATAAGCCTTCCAGAAGAAAGCAGAGGAAAGTAGCTTTGCAACCTTAGAAGAGCCAAACATTTCTTAGATTCCAGGAAGATATCTTTAGCCAAGCACACACCTTGGTTTTTATCCAAGAATGAAAATATAAGCCAACAGAAAGAATGTTTAGAGAAGCTATTTTCATAGTAGCCAAAACCTGTAAACAACCTAGATCTTTATCAACAAAATCGATAAACAAATTGAAGCATAGTCATACAATGCAATGCTACTCAGCAGTAAAAAGGTTATAATTACTGATTCATACAACAATATGTTAAGAAAAAGAAGCCGTCTATATAAACTGACAAACAGGTAAAACTCACCTATGTGAATGAAATCCGAAAGTGGTTGCCTCTGGAAGAGAGGATTGACTGGGATGGAGCATAAAGGAATTTGCTAGTGTGGTGGGAATGTTCTATATCTTGTTTTGGGTAGTGAGTAAATGAGAGAATAGGGGCCCCCTTATCCAAATTTGGGTTTTCTGCAGTTTCAGTTGCCTGAAGTCAACTGCAGTCTGAAAATATTAAGTGGAAAATTCTAGAAATAAATAATTCATAAATTTTGAATCCCACATTGTTCTGAGTAGTGTGATGAAATCTTGCGCCACCCCATTCTATTTAGCCTGGCACGTGAATCTGCCCTTTGTCTAGCATATCCACTCTGTAGAAGCTACCCATATGTTCATTAATCTCTTAGTAGCCATCTTGGTTACCATATAAACTCGTGTTATTACCATGCTTCTGTTTCAGTAACCAGTAACTTTTTTTTTTTTTTTTTTTTTTTTTTTTTTTGCTTATTAATGGCCCCAAAGTGGAAGAGTAGTGATGCTGGCACATAGTTATAATTGGTCTATGTTATTATTCATTATAGTTGTCTCTTACTGTGCCTAATTTGTAAATTAAGCTTTATCATTAGTATGTATGTATAATTGAAAACATAGTACACAAGGTATGGCATTATCCTTGGTTTCAAAATCTACTAGGGGTTTTGGAAGTATCCGTTGTAGATAAGGGGGACTACTGCATAGAACTGTCAAAACTCATAGAATTGAGTATTTGACATGTGTCCATTTTACTATGTGTAAAACATACTTCATTTTTATTGAATGTAAAAATTATGGATTCACTCACCTGAGGCACTAAATAATTCTATAACATACTGGCAATTGTCTTTGCAAGCATTTCTTAACAAATCTTAAACTGAGTTATTTTAAGATTCCTTAACAAATCCTAAAATGAGTTATATTTCAAATATAATCAAACAACTACATTTTACTCCCATTTGTGGAAAACAGTAGATTTAAAAAAAGTTATTTTACCATGACAAGGAAATAATTAGCTAGATATAAATAAGTTATTTCACAGAACAAATTGCCTTATTCCTTCCAAATAAATAACATTTTTTAAAGGAGAGTCTGTTATAGATTAAAAGAAGTTTAAAATAAATATCAACCCAATAAAGCATACTTGCTTTGGCCTTGTTTGGAGCTCTTTTTGAACAAATCAACTATTTTTAAAAGATATTTGTTAAACAATTGAAGAAATTTGAGCACAGACTAGGTATTAGATGATGATAAAGTTATTTTCTTAGATGTGGTAATGTGATACTGCGGCTACACTTAAAAAAAATCTCATCTGTTAGCAATATATAGTGAAGTACTTAAAGTGAAATAACATGACATATGGCATTTTCCTTAAAAGATCCTAGCATAAATAAAAATGTAGAAGAGGATGATAAATGAAACAATATTAGTAAAAACTGGACAATTATTGAAGACAATTTGTGATGGGGACAAATGGATTAATTAGACTATTATTTTATTTTGTGTATGCTATAAATGTACAATAACAAAAATTTTAATGTATTATTATAAATGAAAAACAGATCACTCTTTGTTTTTCCTTTTTAAACATATCCATTTTTATTTTGGATTCATGGGGTATATATACAAATTTGTTACAAGGGTATATTGCATGAGATTTGAGCTTCTTTTCATCTCATCACCCAGATAGTGAATGCAGTATCCAATAGAAAGCCCTTGGCCTTCTCCTTCTCTCCTTTTGGAATGTTCAGTGTCTATTGTTCCCATCTTTACATCTGTATATACCCAAGATTTAGTTTCCACTCATAAGTGAAAACATGCGTTCTTTGCTTTTCTGTTCCTGCATTAATTTGCTTAGGATGGTGGCCTCTAGCAGCGTCCAAGTTGCTGCAAAAGACATGATTTCACTGTTTGTATGGGCTGCATAGTATTCCATGCTGCATATGTACCACATTTTCTTCTTTTTTTTTTTTTAACTTTAAGTTCTGGGATACATGTGCAGAATGTGCAGGTTTGTTACATAGGTATACATGTGCCATGGTAGTTTACTGCACCTATCAACCCGTCATCTAGGTTTTAAGCCCTGCATGCATTAGGTATTTGTCCTAATGCTCTCCTTCCCCTTGACCCCCCACCCCCTGACAGGCCCTGGTGTGTGATGTTTTCCTCCCTGTGTCCATGTATTCTCATTGTTCAACTCCCACTTATGAGTGAGAACATGTGGTGTTTGGTTTTCTGTTCTTGTGTTAGTTTGCTAAGAATGATGGTTTCCAGCTTCATCCATGTCCCTGCAAAGGACATGAACTCATCCTTTTTTATGCCTGCATAGTATTCCATGGTGTATATGTGCCACATTTTCTTTATCCAGTTTATCATTGATGGGCATTTGGGTCGGTTCCAAGTCTTTGCTATTGTAAATACTGTTGCAATAAACATGAGAGTGCATGTGTTTTTATAGTAGAATGATTTATAATCCTTTGGGTGTATACCCAGTAATGTGATTGCTGGGTCAAATGGTATTTCCAGTTGTAGATCCTTGAGTAATCGCCACACTGTCTTCCACAATGGTTAAACTAATTCCCACTCCCACCAACAGTGTAAAAGCATTCCTATTTCTCCACATCCTCTCCAGCATCTGTTTCCTAACTTTTTTATGATTGCCATTCTAACTAGTGTGACATGGTATCTCAGTATGTGTACCACATTTTCTTTATCCAGTCCACCATAAACGGGCATCTAAGTTGATTCCTTGACTTTGCTATTGTGAATAGGGGTGCAATGAACATGCAAGTGCATGTGGTTTTTTTTGGTAGAATGATTTATTTTCCTTTGGGTATATACCCAGTAATGGGATTGCTGGGTCAAATGATAGTTCTATCTTTAGTTCTCTTTTTGGAAAAGTGTCTATTCATGTCTTTTGCTCACTTTTTAATGGGGTTGTTTGGTTTTTTTCTTGTTGATTTGCTTAAGTCCTTTACAGATTCTGGATATTAGTCTTTTGTCAGATGTACAGTTTATAAATACTTTTTCCCATTTCTGTAGGTTGTCTGTTTATTCTGTTGATAGTTTATTTTGCTGTACAGAAGCTCTTTAATGTAATTAGGTCCCACTTGTCAATTTTTGTTTTTGTTGCAATTGTTTTTGAGGATTTGGTCATAAATTCTTTGCTAAGACTAATGTCCAGAAGATTATTTCCTAGGTTTTCTTCTATGATTTTTATAGTCTGAGGTCTTTACATTTACGTCTTTGATTCATCTTGAATTAATTTTTGTATATGGTGATAGGTAGGGATCGAGTTTCATTCTCCTGCATATGATTAGTCAGTTTTCCCAGCACTATTCATTGAATAGACAGTCCTTTCCGTACTGTTTATTTTTGTTGACTTTATCAAAGATCAGTTGGTAGTAGGTGTGCTGCTTTATTTCTGGATTCTCTATTCTGTTCCACTGGCCTATATGTCTATTTTTGTACAAGCATCATGTTGTTTTGATTACTGTAACCTTGCAATATAGTTTAAAGTTGGGTAATGTGATGCCTCTGGCTTTGTTCTTTCTGACTTAGGATTGCCTTGGTTATCTGAGCTCCTTTCTGGTTCCATATGCATTTTTGAATAGTTTTTCTAATTCTGTGAAAATGGCATTGGTAATCTGATAGCAATAGCGTTGAATCTGTAGATTGCTTTAGGAAGTATGGACATTTTAATGATATTGATTCTTTCAATCCATGAGCATGGGATGTTTTCCCATTTGATTGTATCATCTTTGATTTACAGTGTTTTATAGTTGTCCTCATAGAGATCTTTTGCCTCCTTCATTAAATGTATTGCTACGTATTTTTGTGTGTATGGCTATTGTAAATGAGATTGTGTTCTTGGTTTGGCTCTCAGCTTGAACTTTATTGGTGTATAGAAATGCTACTGATTTTTGTACATTGATTTGTATCCTGATATCAGGATACAGATTTTATTTCCTGAAACTCTACTGAAGTCATTTGTCACTACAGGAGCCTTTTGGTGTAGTCTATAGGGTTTCCTAGGTATAGAGTCATATCATCAGTGAAGAGAGATAATTTGACTTCCTCTTTTCCTATTAAGATGCCTTTCATTTATTTCTCTTGCTTTATTGCTCTGGCTTGGCTACCAGTACCATGTTGAACAGGAGTGGTGAGAGTACACATCTTTATCTTGTTCCAGCTCTTAATGGAAATGCTTCCAGCTTTTGTTTGTTCAGTAGGATGTTGGCTGTGGGTTTGTCATAGATGGCTCTTATTATTTTGAGGTATATTCCTTCAATGCCTAGTTTGTTGAGGATTTTTATTATGAAGGGATGTTGCATTTTATGGAAAGCTTTCTCTGCATCTCTTGAGATGATCATATTTTTTTAATTCTGTTCATGTGGTGAATTGCATTTATTGATTTGTGCACGTTGAACTGACCTTGAATCCCAGGAGTAAACCACAGTTGATCATGGTTGATCATGGTGAATTAACTTAAAAGTAGGTCCTCTTATCTTCCAGTGAAAAATATTGCTGGCTATTACTCAAGCTCTTGTTATTCAGAAGCTTCCACATTACACATAAGTCATTCATTATTTTATGTTGCACTGAACTTTTTAAGTCATAAAATAATGAACACTAATTAAATAATTAAAGCAAATATAATTAACAAAATCAACTTTTTCTTCCTGTTTATAGCACAAAATTAAATAACTTCATATGACTATATACATACATATAAATATTATATGTTTGTATATACACACATAGATATGAATGTATGTGTGTATATATGTGTGTGTGTATATATATATTACATAAAAACAAAGAGGGAGATATTTTTGTGAATGAAATAACATTCCTTGTCTTCCCCCAAAACTAAAACAATAAAACCAATATCTATGAAGCCCTATAAGCTGGACTTTTTTTCCAGAAAGTTTCATGATTTTTCAGATATAGAAAGTGAATATAATTGATTTTTGCTAACACCAACTTCTGAGCTCTAGCGTGCATATTTAAACATTATTGAGCATGCACAGAGCTAAAAGTGGAGGTGGACTGTCTTTCCTATTATAATGACAATCTGCATTTGACACATCGATAATGTCTTAACCTTTTACTCCCCAAAGTAAAGACTCCTACTCTCTTCAGATTTTGTATTATTACCTCAAAAGACTTCTTTTCCACATCTTTTTTTTTACTTTTTATAATATCCTGAAGTTTTTTATATTAAAATATTTGATGGCTAGTAGTTTCTTTGACAATGTTAGTCACATATTGATTATGTGCTTCTATGTTTAGTGTTAATTGTAGTACAGTGATTTCCCTCATACGAGTATACTTTTAGACACAGGAAGTCAATCACTGGTAGTGGCCCCAATAATAGGGCATAAATCTCTGAATCAACTTTTTGAACTGATTTGGGGCTATAATGAATTGGGGTCCAAGAAAGATACAAATAAATGCCAATTAAAATTATATTTATGGAAACATGATGCTCATTCTAGTCCTGGCTCTGCTTCTAATATGTTATGTGATTTTTTTTTTTTTTGCAAAGTGAAAGTAAGTTTATTAAGAGCGTAAAGGAATAAAAGAATGGCTACGCCATAGACAGAGCAACCCGGATGGCTGCTGGTTGCCCATTTTTATGGTTATTTTTTGATGATATGCTAAACAAGGGGTGGATTATTCATGCCTCCCCTTTTTCGACGATATAGAGTAACTTCCTGACATTGCCATGGCATTAGTAAACTGCCATGGCGCTGATGGGAGTGTATTAGTGATGACGATCAGAGGTCACTCTTGTGGCCATCTTGGTTTTGGTGGGTTTTGGCCAGCTCCTTTACTGCAACCTGTTATTATTATTTTTTTAAATTATACTTTAAGTTCTGGGATACATGTGCAGAACGTGCAGGTTTGTTACATAGGTATACACGTGCCATGGTGGTTTGCTGCACCCATCAACCCATCATCTACATTACGTATTTCTTCTAATGATATCCCTCCCCTAGCCCCCCACCCCCCAACAGGCCCCAGTGTGTGATGTTTCCCTCCCTGTGTCCATGTGTTCTCATTGTTTAACTCCCACTTATGAGTGAGAACATGCAGTGCTTGGTTTTCTGTTCTTGTGTTAGTTTGCTAAGAATGATGGTTTCCAGCATCATCCATGTCCCTGCAAAGGAAATGAACTTATCCTTTTTAATGCCTGCATAGTATTCCATGGTGTATACGTGCCACATTTTTTTTATCCAGTCTAACACTGATGGGCATTTGGGTTGGTTCCAAGTCTTTGCTATTGTAAATAGTGCTGCAATAAACAATACATGCTATTGTGAACAGTGCCACAATAAACATACATGTGCATGTGTCTTTATAGTAGAATGATTTATAATCCTTTGGGTATATAACCAGTAATGGGATTGCTCAGTCAAATGGTATTTCTACTTCTAGATCCTTAAGGAATTGCCACACCATCTTCCACAATGGTTAAACTAATTCACACTCCCACCAACAGTGTAAAAGCGTTCCTATTTCTCCACATCCTCTCCAGCATCTGTTGTTTCCTCACTTTTTAATGATTGCCTTTCTAACTGGCATGAGATGGAATCTCATTGTGGTTTTGATTTGTATTTTTCTAATAACCAGTTGTGTGATCTTTGACAACCATTTATTCTCTCCAGACCTTTTTTTTTTTTTTTTTTGAGATGGAGTCTTGCTCTGTTGCCCAGGCTGGAGTGCAGTGGCACAATCTCAGCTCACTGCAACCTCTGCCTCCCAGTTTCAAGAAGTTCTCCTGCCTCAGACTCCAGAGTAGCTGGGATTACAGACATGCACCACCATGCCCAGCTAATTTTTGTATTTTTAGTAGAGACGGGGTTTCACCATGTTAGTCAGGCTGGTCTTGAACTCCTGACCTCGTGATCCACCCGCCTCAGCCTCCCAAAGTGCTGGGATTACAGGCGTGAGCCACCATGCCTGGCCTGTCTCCAGACTTTAGTAGCCTCAGAATGGAGCTCAGACAAGATTCAGATGAAGTTGCTATGAATATACTCAGAAAGAAGGCCAGCTTCCTCAAGGCCAGAAGCATAGTTTGTTGGTGTCTTACAGACTCACAGACACGCATGCACGTGCATGCACACACACACACACAACACCCTAATGTCATTGAAAGCTCAATTTAATCTGCATGTATTCTACAAAATCTTTCCTGATCCCACATTTTCCATCTACCCACATCCCTTCTGTTCATTCCCAGGGGATTTGATCTGTACCTCTTTTAGTATACCTATTACCTTTGACCTAAATGTCTGCCTTTAGAAAGATGTTGAGTCATTGTGCAAAAATCCCGGTGCTTTGGAGAAAGGAAGGAAGGAAGGAAGGAAGGAAGGAAGGAAAAAAAGGAAAGAAAGGAAAAAAAAGAAAGAAACTCCTTTTTTCAACCAAAGTCAAGGACCCAAAGCCTGCGGACCTATTTCCTCATCTATTATAATGGGAGCAATATTAGAGTTACTTTGAGGATTAAATGAGTTTCTCTGTGATCTTAGTTGTGTTCAGCAGATAAAAGAATCTCCACAATTGTTAGTAGTTTGTATTATTTATAATTATTTTCACACATCCCTGATTCCCACACTGTCTTGTAAGTTCTTCAAGCGTAAAAGTTTTAGCCAATTAGTTCTTCACACATAGTTCGTTCTTAAGAATTGTTTAGGAAGGAAGGCGGGAAGAAATGAAGAAAAGAAAGACATTATACATGGACAAGAATCGTTAAGTAGCATCTCAAACAAAATGTGTTTACATAACCCAGAAATCAGGACAAGAAATCATATTGGATGATCAGATTCTCTTTACAGGGAATACCACTCAGTAAAGATTCCAGAAGAAGGACTCGTGTGTTAGAAGTAATTTTAAATATACAAGTTGTGTTTATCAGGAAAAGTAGTAGTTTCTCCTAGCTTTACTACATTTCATTTCCCACACTGTCCAATCAATAATTGTGTTGAACAGGACAAATTCCAACTGTTAATCTGAATGTTTCACTCTTCAGCAGTGCTGCAAACATTGTTGGAGTATTTCTGAGCAACAAGGAAGTAGAGAATAAACCAAAAATGAAAGAGCAAGTACAGAAGCAGGAAGCAGAGAGATTCTAAGGAAATGCCAGGCCAGAGGTCTGGGTGACTTTGAAGGATAAGAAGCTGAAATCTACCTGGATGTCAATAAAATACTTCTTGTTTCAGTTCTCCTAGAAAACTGGTATCTAATTCTGCATTCACAACAGCATTTGCCTGACTGGCCAACTATAGTTTTGCCTACAAGTAGAACAGGAAAATAGAATAAATCCTATCTCAAAGAAAACATACAAACATTTTATTTCTTTCCACACTTCCAAAATGCAGTATGAATGAGAAATTTCCAAGTGCTCAAAGCAACAAAATTATGTGAAATGGCAAATGCTACAATTTCAAATGTGTAAAGGTAGATATGGTCTGCTTGACTCTCTGGATCAAATTGAATTCAATATTCCAAGTCTAGTTCACATCCAAGAACATAAATTATCATTACCACAGAAAATAAACATGGGAAAAGATCCAGACATATAAATAGTGATATATAAATTCAGTTAAAAAAAAGAGAAGATACATTAGGATATAATCATGTCAAGATGGTCTGGCCAGGCATGGTGGCTCATGCCTGTAATCTCAGCACTTTGAGAGGCTGAGGCAGGCAGATCACGAGGTCAGGAGTTCGAGACCAGCCTGGCCAACTTGGTGAAACCCCATCCTTACTAAAGACACAAAAATTAGCCAGGCATGGTGGCGTGCACCTGTAATTCCAGCTACTTGGGAGGCTAAAGTAGGAGAATCACTTGAACCCAGGAGGAGGAGGTTACAGTGAGCAGAGATCACGCCATTGCACTCCAGCCTGGGCAACAGGTGAGACTCTGTCTCAGAAGAAAAAAAAAAAAGAAAGAAAGAAAGATGGTCTAAGTTGGCATTGCTGGTCTTGTAGTGATCCATATATCCACGTTTTTGTGATGTGATTACAAAAGTAAAACTTTTTATTCCAAGTGGTAGTCTTACAAATATTTTTCAAATTTCCCTAGGAAATCATTTTCCCTATTACTCACTATCATAAATGATCCTTTCTCAATGTGTTTAAAAGAGACTTTGAAGACTGATCTTATCTATTTGCATGTATAATCTAAGGCAACTGCAGGTAGCCTAGAATGTCTGGGGCATATCCAATTCAATATAATTTTGTTCCTTTTGACAAATTAAATGTCACTTAATTTGTATACCTTTGTAAAATTTTTTGTATACTAAATTCATAATTTAAGAAAAATTTATCTGCAACGTTGAGTCTTTTTTTTATTTAGAAAAATGCCTTTACCATTCATAAGACATATTTTAAACCTAAATCCCTTTCAACTAAGCTGCTGTCTGAGAAAGTAACCTTCAGAAGCAACAACCCCTAAAGACCTACTTCCAGTCAGGCATAATCTGGGGCTAGCATGGAATAACACAAGTCAATGACCATTTACTAGATTTCCACTGCATGTGATCATACACTGTGCTCAATTCTGAGCAAATTATAATTACTAACGCCTTCCATGTTAGTTCTTTAGGCTTCAAAAGGACAGCTTTGTGTGTGTCAAACTCTCCAATGAATAAGAGGACTGAGTGCTACCTCTAACTTGTCATTGGCAATTTCCCTTGAATGAAGATCCCCTAAGGAATCCATGAAGGTGCAATATTTATCAGGCTCCTCCTAAATAGCACCAAAAATCGACCAAGAAAGGCTCCAGTTTAGGAAAATTTTCTTGAATGATTTAATGATTTTTCTCTTTTCCATTTTTTTCACATTCTAGAACTCCTGAAAGGGTCCTCTAATTTTCTTTTCAATCATATTGTTTTTTTCTTTGCCTTTTACATCTATTTTATTGGAGATTTCTTCACCTCATCTTCTAACATTTTTTTTTCATTTCTGTTATCAGTTCTTTACTTTTCAATAACTCGTTTTCTCTCTGATGCTCCTTTTATAGTAACCTATTATTTACTTCAAGGATGCATGATGTTATCTTTTGGAGGATACCAATGATCGTTTTTTGAAGTTTTCTTCTCCCAGCCTAAGTTCTCTTTTCCCCAGGTTGCATTTTTCAGTGTGTTCTTTTGTGTCTCCAGCTTTCACATTGAAGGCTTTCCTTGAATGTCCATGATTCTTGATTTCCTACTGGTATCTAAGAGTGGAGCTCTATAAATTGATTTGAAGAATGGGCTTTGTAAAAGTGAAACCGTGAGTTTCACTATGTAATGATCTGGCTTAGTTGTTTTATCAGAGTAACGCTGAGGTCAGTATCTTTAGTTCTCCCCTCCTAAGCTATTGTGAATTCCAGAGAAGAATCCTACAAGCCCCTGACAAGAGGGTACAATAGTAGCTGCAAAGGTTCTGGAAACTAGGTAGAAGTCAAGCATTAGGAATGAAAAACTTGTGGTTTTTCATTCAGGTGGAAATACTTGGGTTTTTTCAGAGGGTACCTACCTCCAGGCTCAACTTGAAACAGAATTGCTTTAAGGAAATATATATATATATATATATATATATATATATATATATATATATACACACACACATTTGTAAAGGAATTTTGCTTTCTTATTTCATTTTGCTCTAACCACAAAAAAAATTTTTCCAATATCCATTTATCCACTCACAAATGCAAATCAGTTATGCTGATTTTATTAACAGTACTTTGAAAAATTAAGCAAGCTGGGTTTGCAGAAGTGCTAGCTGTTGTTTTTGTTTTGTTTCACATTTTTAATTGCATCCTCCATGAGAATGCATAATTCTCATGGGTCTTGGTTCTAATTTATGATAAATACAACTAATTCAAATATTTAAAAATAATTAATGACAGCCTCAAAAAGAGAAAGATTAATGAAATCTCCAAAACAGTTAAATAAACTTTAATTTATCATCTTATTTGGCTTGACCAACTCTAAGATGTGAGTCTTTACTTACATATTCAAGAACTAAGAAGAAGAAAGAAGGGAAAAGTCACTGTTTTCAAAAAAAATAAAATAAAATGAAATAAAAATGCTATGAAATTTCAGTGGTTATTTAATGCAGGGACTCGATGTATTGTTAGAAGAGTCATTCATTTACTAAGCCTTCCTTACAAAGCATAAAAGCCATGGAATGGAGAAATGGGTAGTTCTGATGCCTACAAGGTTGTCTTTCAATACTTGGAGGTTAATATTTTTCTCACACATGTATTTAAGTTTATGTGCAAATAGATGCTGAGCACCATGGAAGTGAAGCAGATTTTACCTAAAATTTCTAACAAAGTTCTAGGGGATCACTGTAGATTAGCATGAGAGTATAAAATCTCTGATTGTTGCAGACTCAAGAAGAGTCCACAACCTCTTACAGGTTATTTTCCACTGATATCCACTGGGCACTGAAGAGAGTGCGGGCAGGGCACGAGACCAGAGAAATCTACTCTCAGTAGCATCTACCTGGGGAAGGAAACAACCACTGCAATGGAAAAATCCCATAGCTGCACTATGCTCTTCTCTTCTATGGAATAAAACTAGAAGTCAGTGGGCAAAGGGCAGCAGACCTGTTGTTCCCAGAGAACAGGTGAAGACCCATTAATTCTGGATAAAGGGTAAAAGAAAAAGATTCTATGCCCTTGGAGAAGAGATAGAAACCTATCCTGGGCCCAAACTATTGATGGTCTCCTACAGCTGGTGGGGGCCAGGAGGTAGCATAAAACTCTTCCCCACACAAAACCCAAGTTAGAGTTCAGCTACCACATGGAGGAGTAGCAGGATCACTGAGAGAGCCAACTATTGAGGCCCAAGAATGGGGGGCATGCCTAAAACTGAGGCTGGGCTGGGACACAGAGAATCACTTCTGCCACCACCTCTAGGCTAGGAAGCACTGAGTAACGAGAAATGGCAGTCTTCTGTTGCAAAAGGAGCAAGAGTATGGAGACAAAAACTCCCTCTTAAGCACAAGCTCAGAGAAAAACAAAAGTAGAAGATGAAGAAAAAGGACTATAAAAATCCTCCAGTAACCCAGCTTATATCATATATATAAGACAATGTTAGAGAAATTTGCAATTGATTGTATACAGAAGATATTCAGAGGAACCACATCAGCAAAACACAAATGCAACTCAAATCCTGAGTACATTGATGCCAACTCCAGCATTAATAATTAGCAGAAGAGGCTTGCTCATTTCTAGGCATAAATGCTGTTGACTTTAGTCTTCACTGTTCTACATATAAAGTCAGCATTCAAAAGAAAATCTTCTTTCAAGAGACTAAGCAATCAATAGAACCAGACCCACAGATAAACCAGATGTTGAAAATATCAGACAGGTAATACAAAAAATCCTTAATGTGTTAATGGCTCTATTTTAGAAAGTACACAGAGTTTTTAAGAGAAGGGCAATTTCACCCAGTATATGGAAAAGTCTAATGGACTTGCATGGTAAAAGCATGGTAACAAGATGAAGTATGTCTTTGACGGGTTCATAAGTAGACTCAACACAACTAAAGAGAGAAATGTAAAAGAAATGTGATCATACAAAAACCTATATATAAGTGCATCTGGAAACATTCTGTCTTAGTCTGTTCATGGTGTTATAGTGGCATAAACTGGGTGACTTATAAAGAACAGAAATTTGGTTCTCCCAGCTCTTGAGTCTGGAAAGATCAAGACCAAGCCACTAGCAGATCTGATGTCTGGTAAGGGCTCACTTTCTGATTTATAGATGGCCATCTTTGTCTTGTGTCCTTCTGTGGTAGAAGGGCCAAGGAAGCCTTCTGGGGTCTCTCTTATGAAGGCATAAATCCACTGTCAGTAGCATCTACCTGGGGAAGTAAAAAACCACTGCAATGGAAAAATCCCATAGCTCCACAGATGAGGGCTTCATTTTCATGACCTAATCCCCTCCCATTGGCCCAATCTTTTAATACCATCACATTGAGGGTTAGGTCTCAGCATATGAATTGAGTGGTGTGAGGGGAGACAAAAACATTTAGTCTATAGCACAGTCTGAATACCCTTCAATAGGTGAATGGTTAACTGTGGAACATCCATAAAATGGGACACTACTCAGAAGTAGAAATAAACAAAATATAAAATGAAATGAATGAATCAAAAATATTTTAGTGATCTACCCAAAGAAAAAGAAATTGTTTTCCCAGCATTTGGAAAGGCTGACCCAGGAGGATCGCTTGAGGCCAAACATTCAAGACCAGCCTGAGAAACATAGTAAGATCTTGTTCCTGCAAAAAAATTTTTTTAAAAAGACACCTGTACTTGTATGTTTATCTCAGCACCATTCACAATAGCAAAGTCATGGAATCAATCTAACTGCCCATCAATAGATAACTGGATATATACACCATGGAATACTACACAGCCTTTATATAAAGGAATGATTCATGTCTTTTGCAGCAAAATGAATGGAATTGGAGGCCATTATCCTATGTGAAATAACTCAGAAACAGAAAATCAAATACTGCATATTCTTATTTGAAGTGGGAGCTAAACAATGGGTACACATAGACATACAGAGGGAAATAATAGACACTGTAGACTCCAAAAAGAGGGAGGGTGTGGGAGGGGTGAGGGTTGAAAAGTTTCTTATTGGGTACAATGTTCGCTATTTGGGTGATGAGTATACTAGAAACCCAAACTTCACCATTATGCAATATATCCAGGCAAAAAACCTGCACGTGTATCCCCTGAATCTATTATACACACACACACACACACACACACACACTCTCTCTCTCTCTCTCTCTCTTTACTGAGCAAAAGAAGTTAAACACAATAGAACATATACTATTTCATTTGCATAAAGTTCTAGAACAGGCAAAACTAATCTATAGAAACAGAGAACAGATTGGTGTTCACCTAGGGCTGGGGGTATTAACAGAATGTCTGGGAATGGACACAAAGGAACTTTTGAGGGTGACAGAATTATTCTATATCTTGATTGTGGTCACAATTACATGACTGTAGACATTTGTCAAAACTCAGCAGCCTATACATTGGTGAAATCAATGGATTTTATTTGTGTATAAATTATTAAAAATCTGTATTTTAATTTTTTTATTATACTTTAAGTTCTGGGGTACATGTGCAGAATGTGCAGGTTTGTTACATAGGTGTATACGTGCCATGGTGGTTTGCTGCACCCATCAACCCTTCACCTATATTAGGTATTTCTCCTAATGTTATCCCTCCACTAACACCCCACTCCCCGACAGGCCCTGGTGTGTGATGTTCCCCTCCCTATGTCCATGTGTTCTCATTGTTCAGCTCCTACTTATGAGTGAGAACATGCGGCATTCGGTTTTCTGTTCTTGTGACAGTTTACTGAGAATGATGGTTTCCAGCTTCATCCACGTTCCTGCAAAGGACAAGAAGTCATCCTTTTTTGTGGCTGCATATTATTCCATGGTGTATATGTGCCACATTTTCTTTATCCAGTCTATTACTGATAGACATTTGGATCGGTTCTAAGTCTTGCTATTGCAAATAGTGCTGCAATAAACATACATGTGTCTGTGTCTTTATAGTAGAATGATTTATAATCCTTTGGGTATATACCCAGTAATGGGATTGCTGGGTCAAATGGTATTTCTAGTTCTAGATCCTTGATGAATTGCCACAATGTCTTCCACAATGGTTGAACTAATTTACACTCCCAAGAGTGTAAAAGTGTTCCTATTTCTCCACATCCTCTCTAGCATCTGTTGTTTCCTGACTTTTTAATGTTCACCGTTCTAACTGGTGTGAGATGGCATCTCATTGTGCTTTTGATTTGCTTTTCTCTAATGACCAGTGATGATGAACATTTTTTTCATATGTCTGTTGGCTGCATCCCTGATGAACATCAATGCAAAAATCCTCAATAAAATACTGGCAAACTGAATCCAGCAGAACATAAAAAAGCTTATCCACCATGATCAAGTCGGCTTCATACCTGAGATGCAAGGCTGGTTTAACATACGCAAATCAATAAATGTAATCCATCACATAAACGGAACCAATCACAAAAACCACATGATTATCTCAATAGATGCAGAAAAAGCCTTCGACAAAATTCAACATCCCTTCATGCTAAAAACTCTCAATAAAATAGATGGAAAATATCTCAAAATAGTAAGAGCTATTTATGACAAACCCACAGCCAATATCAAACTGAATGGGCAAAAACTTGAAGCATTCCCTTTGAAAACCAGCACAAGACAAGGATGCCCTCTCTCACCACTCCTATTCAACATTGTATTAGAAGTTCCAGCCGGGGCAACTAGGCAAGAGAAAGAAATAAAGTGTATTCAAATAGGAAGAGAGGAAGTCAAATTGTCTCTGTTTGCAGATGAAATGATTGTATATTTAGAAAACCCCGTTGGCTCACCCCAAAATCTCCTTAAGCTGATAAGCAATTTCAGCAAAGTTTCAGTATACAAAATCAATGTGCAAAAATCAGAAGCATTCCTATACGCCAATAACAGACAAACAGAGAGCCAAATCCTGAGTGAACTCCCATTCACAATTGCTACTAGGAGAAGAAAATACCTAGGAATACAACAGATGTGAAGCACCTCTTCAAGGAGAACTGCAAACTGCTGCTACTGCTCAAGGAAATAAGAGCGGACACAAACAAATGGAAAAACATTCCATGCTCATGGATAGAAAGATTCAATATCATGAAAATGGCCATACTGCCCAAAGTAATTTATAGATTCAATGCCATCCCCATCAAGCTACCACTGACTTTCTTCATGGAATTGAAAAAAACTACATTAAACTTCATATGGAACCAAAAAAGAGCCCACATAGCCAAGACAATCCTGGGCAAGAAGAACAAAGCTGGAGGCATCATGCTACCTGACTTCAAACTATACTACAGGGCTACAGTAATCAAAACAGCATGGTACTGGTACCAAAACAGATATATAGACCAATGGAACAGAACAGAAGCCTCAGAAATAACACCACACATCTAAAACCATCTGATCTTTGACAAACTTGGCACAAACAAGCAATGGGGAAAAGATTCCCTATTAAATAAATGTTGCTGGGAAAACTGGCTAGCTATATGCAGAAAACTGAAACTGGACCCCTTCCTTACACCTTTTACAAAAATCAACTCAAGATGGATCAAAGACTAAAACATAAGACCTAGGAACATAAAAATCCTAGAAGAAAACCTGGGCAATACCATTCAGAACGTAGGCAAGGGCAAAGACTTCATGTATAAAACACCAAAAGCAATGGCAACAAAAGCCAAAATTGACAAATGGGATCTAATTAAACTAAAGAGCTTCTGCACAGCAAAAGAAACTATCATCAGAGTGAACAGGCAACCTACAGAATGGGAGAAAATTTTTGCAATCTATCCATCTGACAAAGGGCTAATATCCAGAACCTACAACGAACTTAAACAAATGTACAAGAAAAAAACACACAGCCCCATCAAAAAGTGGGCAAAGGATATGAACAGATACTTCTCAAATGTATTTCAATTAAAAAAAAATTCAGGCCATGGTTGTTATTGGTGAGGAGAAAAATCATCCCAACTCTTTTTTTTTCTATACCAAACGCTAGATTTACCTTATTAACTGGAATCTTATATATGAATTATTACACAAATTCGGATATTCAGTGAAAAAAATCTTACCTCCCCACAATACAATCTCCCTTTAAAGATCTCATAGAAATATTCATGCATGCCAAAAAGGTCTTAAACTGAATACAGTGTTAACACTAAAGAAAATGCTGTTTCTTGGGCTGTGTATTCTACGTAATAGAACTATTCATTTAATGTAATTCCTCAACCTTTCAAGGGTTAAATGCTTGATAATTACAAAATAAGAAATGCCCCTAGAAGGCTGCATCTGTTGTGTTAAGAATTGATATAATGTTAGTTTCAAAAGCAGGATTCAACTTAATATGAACATTGACAGCTATGACACATAGCAAATATGCATAGAAAAGAGATTGGAAGAACACACACCAAAATGATAACCGAGTTGTGGACCTACAAGCAATTATTTTCTCCTTCATGTATTGGTATTTTACAAAGTTTATATAATAATAACGTATTTCTTTGTGACAAAAAAAATAAGTAAAAATCATTTCTAATTGTTTAAGCACAAATGAAAAGATGAATAGGTTTCTCATTGTCCTGCATTATTTACCTGAAAGTTTTGTGCATCTGATACTGACAGTGTTTTAAGATGAGCAAAAATGATATGCTTTAGCCAATATTAAAATTCTGTTTTCATAAAGCAAATTAATGGGACCTGGGTATCTTTTTTCTACCCTAATTTTGAAAGAGGACTTTTTCTGCCTACAGTTCCTACTTTCCTGCACAAAGCACTCGGGATTTAGACAGCTGTATAAACACATGTTGAAAATTCATATATTAGCAGCAGAAAATTAAGCAGAAGCAGAGAGCATATCCTACATGCATCTGGCCTTAGATCCTCTTCCCCAAGGACACTAACCTCTGAATAGCGTTGACAGGGAAGGTCATTTATCTATCCTAAGAAAGTCTGCCAGCACTTTCCTTGAACTCATAAAAGGGTAGGGTGGTCAGTAGCAGCACTTCACTCTTAATCTTCTAAGTTGCTGCCAAGTTACTCATCACCATAACTAGACCTAGGAGATGTTGTCCTTGTTTTTGCATTCAAAAGTCTATGTATTTCTTTACTATCTACAAACTTCAAAGTATTCTGCCTCGTCAGGCGAGGGCCTGGTATTCCAGTGCCCAATCTGCGGGTAACTAACATACATCTCAGGTCCCAAATGTGAACTCAGACGATTACACCAGGTAATTACAAACCAGAGGCAAACTTACTAACAGGATAATGCTGACAAATAATTGAAAGAGAAGAAAGTTGTCTCAGCATTTTTCTTTATGAAGCAAAGATATAACCTGGATTTTTATGAATATAAAGGAAGATATTGCAAACTCAGGCGGAGGTCTGTTTGATTGCTTCAAAGCAATTCCAGACCATCAAGGCAACCCTATGGTATCAACACTTTAATATTGATATGGGCTTCCAAAGCAAACCCCAGAGCATGCCATGGCACATTGTGTCTTCATCACTTTCTTGGTCCTCTCTGACTTATTTTACCTGAATAAAGTCCTTGTCTCCCGCTTTACCCCTGTTTTTTACAATGATATTCTTGACTCCTTGGTAGTTGCTTCTTTAACTGACCAGGTTAAGAATTGGAGATAATTTATGTAAAAATTTAATAAATGTTATTATTGTCATTACTGTTTTCATCAGTGCCATAATCTACCTTTATCTTTCCCTCTTCAGGCCTATAAAAGTTTTTTTCCATCATATCAAATTCCAAATCTTCTTTTTATGCATTCTAGACCCTTGCTACTCAAAGTGCATCTACAGACCAACAGCACTGGTGTTACTGTTAGAAATGCAGTATCTTGGGCCCGCACCAGGCCTGTGAAAACAGAACCAACATTGTAACAAGATGATTCGCAGATATGCTGTGCTAGAGAAGCACTGTGCTAGATCACTCATAGCTGGAATTGCTTTGCTTTTCCAGTCTTCGTCTATTCCCCATGTGTGTCCTCTAATATAAGCAAGCTAATCTTGAGAGACCTTGCCATTTTGTGCCTTCCCCCACTGTCTGCTGAGTATCTTTGCCCCTTTTCTATGACTGTCCAAATTTTACTAGTTCTTCAAAAGTCACCTCTAGGTCAATGTTTTCTTTGAATGACAAGTCTTGCCAGGATTGTTTTCTTGACTGACCTCAGCCCCCATTGTGTTGCTCACATACACTGGCACTTAATTTTATTCAGTCTACCATATTATTACAAACTGTTGTCTTTGTTTTGTTTTATATCTACTAGTTTCATGTAGAAGTTCTGTTTCCACAAAACGATGACAGGGACCATATCATACAGGCTCTATTCAGTATTACTCTCACATTCAGTGCTTAGAAAATGTTGTTGGATTGGTTTGCACAAAGTTTCTGAGAAATCCAACAATAATTGAAATGTGGGACCTGCAAACTGACAATATGTTTAGAACATTACAATTTTTCTAGTATCAGAAATTAGTATTTTGTAAGCCAGTCTTATAATTGGAAATTTAAGGAACATAAGAATATAAAGATTCAGTTTTACTACAGCATTTAAATTATTCATGCTGAATGAAATAATTATCCATGCTGAATAAAATAATTACCCAATTTTATATTAATTCAATAAATATTTATTATTGCCACAAGCAAGGTAAATTTCTAGAAATTTGGCATAGAACCATGTATAAGACAAAATACAATACCAGCCCTTGTGAATCTTACATTCCTGTGCCCTGTGTTTAAGAGTGGATCTTATATCTGACTCTATATTTAATGGAAATACAGTTCTAAAATATTGTTCGCACTCAATTGTTAGTATCACTAGGGACCTATTACCACTGAATATTTTTCTTAGAATGCAAGATTTGAATATAAAATAGAAGGCATTATAAATTATTTATATATTATCTGACTTTTATGCCTAATATAATTTTTACATAAATGAAAAAAATCATCTTCAATTTTTAGTTGGTACAGAATGAAGTAAAATTCCTTAAGCAGGAGGCATATAAGCTAATTTTATCCCTCAAAATGTTTTTGTTTTGTTTTGTTTCATTTGAATTCCTTCAAAGGATGTGTGTGTGTGTGTGTGTGTGTGTGTGTGTGTGTGTGTATGAAAGAGAATTCATGCACACCCACCCCCCAAACTCTCTCAGTTAAAGGCTTATTTGGTTTGGCTGTGTCCCCACCCAAATCTCATCTTGAATTCCCACATATGGTGGGAGGGACCTGATGGGAGGTAATTGAATCATGGGGGCAGGTCTTTCCTGTGCTGTTCTCATGATAGTGAATAAATCTCACTAGATCTGATGGTTTTATAAGGGGAGTTTCCCTACACAAACTCCCTTTTATCTTGTCTGCTGCCATGTGCCATGCCTTTCACCTTCTGCCATAATTGTGGGCCTTCCCGGGCACATGGAACTGTAAGTCCAATAAACCTCTTTCTTCTGTAAATTGCCCGGTCTCGAGTATGTCCTTATTAGCAGCATGAAAATGGACTAATGCAAAGGCCCTAGCTCTCTTTTTGAAATAGATATTTTATCAAAGTATAGCATATAGTAAAGTTCACAAATCTAAAGTGCATAGCTCAAATAATCTTTTAAAAGTGAAAACACTATGTAACCATCTAGATAAAAATATAGAATATTACCAGCACCCCAGGATACTTTTATGCTCCCTCTCAGTGCTTATTACACCCAAAGGTAAACATTGACTAGTTTTAATCCCCCAAATTTAATTTGCCTGTTTTTGAATTTTGTAGAATATACAGATAAGGTATATGCTTTTGCATCCGGCTCCTCTTGCTCAAAATAGAAATATTCATCTATATTGATATAGTAGTTTATTCTTTTTTATTGCTGTATAATATTTTGGTGAATAAATATACCACAATTTATCCAGTCTGCTATTGATGAGTATTTAGATTGTTTCCCGTTTAGGACTATTACAAATAATGCTACAGTGAATATTCTTACAAATGTCTTTTATTGTGTATTTTTACTCATTTATAATGAATATATTTCCAGGAGTGGAATTTTTAGGTTATAGGGTGATATATATATTGATATGGATACTGCTGAGTAGTTTTTGAAAGTGATTATACCAATTCATTCTCCAACCAACATGATATATTAGTTAAGGTTGTTCCACATCCTTGTCAACATTTGATATTGCCAGGGTTTTTTTTAATTTTATTTTAGCCATTCTGGAGGGCATGTATCAATATCTCTTTTTAGTTTTAATTTGCATTTAAGTTGAATTTTGAACAATTTGATACATGCTTCTTGGCCAAATGGGTACCCTCCTTTAAGGATATTCAAGCCTTACACATTTTCAAATTGGGTTGTTTTTATTTTTCTCATTGATTTCCAGGGTATTTTAATGAATATTTCCTTTGTTTATGTATTAGCTTCCTCAATGTTATGCCACTTAATAAACAACCTCAAAAATCTCAGAGTGTTATAACAACAAATGTATATTTCATTCTCACTTTATGTGTTGGTTGCAGTTCATTTACAGCTCTTCTGGACTCCTCTAGTTCAAGCTAGGCTCATTTTTCCTTGGTTCAGCTTGGCTGCATGTGTCTTCTCACTCTAGGAAACAAGCTGAAGATGGAGCCACTATCTGAGATATCCAGTTCTCATGGTTGAAAGTCAAAGCAAGAGATGGAGCTAGCAGAAACTAGCAATGTCTCTAAAAGCATCTTCTATTCAGTCATGGAAAATGTCATGTCCATTTACAAATCATTGGCCAAAGCGAGTCATAAATTTCAGCCCAAAGTCAATGGAGCTGAGAAGTACATTTTTTCCAGAGGGATGGATGAGTAAGGGAGTGGAGATAGGAAACCATGAGCAATAATACTATGTTGAATACATGGTATTACAAATACCTTCTCCTACTCTCCCTAATAATGTCTTACAATGAACAGAAATGTTTAATAATAATGAAGTATGACTTAACAATATTTTCCCTTAAGGTTTGCACTTTTTGTAGTTATTTAAGAACTCTTTCCTTCTTATAACAACATGACAATATTCTCATATTATTCTGTATCAGATATTGGCAAACTTTTTCTGTATAGGGCCAAATAGTAAATATTTCCACTTTGCAGGCCATATAGTCTCTGTCACAACCACTCAACTCTCAAGTAGCAAAAAAACAGCCAGAGACAATATGTAAATGAATGGGTATGGCCGTGTTCCAGTAAAACTTTATTTACAAAAATAGGTGGTAAACTGGATTTGGCTTACAAGCCATAATTTTCTGCTCATGTTCTATGTTATCCTCTAGAAGAGTGGTCCCCAGCCTTTGCTGCAGGAGAGGGAAGATGGTTTCTGAATGAAACCATTCTACTTCAGATCACCAGGCATTAGTTAGATTCTCATAAGTAGCGCTCAACCTAGATCCCTCGCTTGCGCAGTTCCCAGTAGGCTTGGCTCTCCTATGAGAATCTAATGCCGCTGCTAATCTGACAGAAGGCAGAATTCAGGTGGTAATGCCCACTAGTCCACGGCTCACCTCCTGATGTGCAGCCCAGTTCCTAACAGGCTCACAGACCCATCAGGGGTTGGGGATCCCTGCTCTAGAAGCCTTATTGTTTAATCATTCACAATTACATCTACAATCTGTCTGGAGTTGATTATTTTGTGTTTGATTTGAGGTAAGAGAACTATTTTTTATATATATATATACTAAAAATACAGAAAATTTGATGGGTGTGGTGGAGTGTGCCTATAATCCCAGCTACTCAGGAGGCTGAGACAGGAGAATCTCTTGAACCCAGGAGGTGGAGTTTGCAGTGAGCCGAGATCGCGCCACTGCGCTCCAGCCTGGTGGCAGAGTGAGGCTCCTTCTAAAAGAAAAAAAAGAAAGAAATTTAATCTTCTGGACAGGTAGAGTATGGAACGATTACTCTGATCTACTCAAAGCTGTGTATTTCTGTTTGTTTTTGGTCCTAGGGCTCAGATATTCAGGGACCCTCAATTGAAGCCAAGGTGGCTTCATAGCCCCTCCTCCACAGTCATTCCAGAACTTCAGATTGGGTCTCCCCAGAACTCTGAAACTGCCAAATCTTCATTTGGCTATCTACTTCTTAACAGTTTGCTTTCTACTTGGTTTAGCTATCTCTTGGCATTTAGCTTCACTCAAGTATAGCTTAGGAGTTACAAGTGCCTCTGAATTCCACATGTATCATGAGACTTTTTTGCAGTTTCCTTTTCTCTAGGATCTTGGTCCCTTAAGTCCTGGCTGTCTTGGTAACCCTTAACCCCAAATTTTGTCTCCGCAGCCCACTGAAACTACTTCTAGCTCTAAACCAGTACTTTCAGTTCAGCCTATACGCTCCACGCTTGGAAGCAGCAGACTCTGTAACCCTTAAGTAACTGCAACTCTACCACTAACCTAAAGAATAGAATAAGGGAAGATTAGGTCTGGCTCATCTAAAGGTGTTTCCCTTTTTTCTGGATGCTTTGATTGCTCCAATGCCTTCAAACAGCTATTTTCTCTCTCTCTCTCTCTCTCTCTCTCTCTCTCTCTCTCTCTCTCTCTCTGTGTGTGTGTGTGTGTGTGTGTGTGTGTGGTGTGTGCTTTTTTTCTTTAATGAATCTTTTACATTTGTTCTGTGAGAAGGCTAGTTTATTATGGACAGTAGCAAAATCCCTGCATTCCTTTTAATTTTACATCTGGCCAAATATATGCATTTATGCATTACACTTGTACCCCATAGGCATGTAGGTTGTTGATTCCTGGTCTCTTTGAGCAATGCAATGAATGAGTGCCTGGGTTAGAATTATGCATCTTTGCATAAAAAAGTGCTAAGCACTCTTCCCTTGGACTCTTTAGCATTCCTCAGTATAACATTGCACACCTAACAAAAGGCACATCCTAAAATTTGTACTTTGACAGATTTTAGTCACCTTTTCTAGATTAATTTCATTTGTTTCCATTAATTCAAATGCCCTGGTTATTGTAATACACCTGAGTATAATTAGATTAAAAACCAAAAACAAAAACCCTATTTTAGCCTAAATCTGAGCTGGGGGTTTGGGGGACAGAACTAACAACATTGATTATTACTTACACATACAACTAAAGACTAAAATATCTGAGTTTTATATCAGTTATCTGTCTTACCCCTAATATGTCTAGTTGAGACTTATCTTTATCCCCTGACCAGTGTGACCCAATTCCTCATCACTCTCCTATTTTTCCTATGCCGCAATGGCAGGCTTTCTCTGTCGCTTGTCGACTTAATGTGTGTGAGGGCTATAAAAAGAAGCTAAGTAGTTCTGGCACAGTAAAGAAGTGTGGAGGCAGTGCTGAACAGCCAGAGGACACAAGAGCTCTACCATATTATACTGTTTGTCACTCTGATGTGAACAATGGCTGTGAAGTTATTAAACAGATTGTCCTGGGTTCTTCCTCTCATTAGTATTTTAGCATTCCCTCTCATGCCATTGTCCTAGGTTTCTTTTCATGATAACCTCTTAATTATTGTGCAGGCTTGAGGAGAAGGATGCACCCACTGCAAACCATGCAATGGTTCAATTGTTCAAAGCCACTTGGGTATTCGTTTATTTGTTCCTAGATTTACAATTTAGTTGTGTTAACTCATGGAAAATGCTCCAGGACAGATTTAAATCATAACGGACAGTTTCCATTTTTTTTCTCTGAAAATCAAATGGGAAGATTTTTTTAAATGGGTAGTTAGTGGTTTGCCCCAACATGCTTGGAATGTGTGTTTACTTAGATGTAGGATAATGTAATTTTTAACAAGTCCAAGTGCCTTTGTCAAAATAAGCAAAAAACACCTAGTATGTTGCATGGACAATAATAGGCATCGAAAGAACACCGCTTTCTTGCAGACAAACATAAATTTCTTACAGGATAAATAAAATTTCCTTAAATATTTATGAAAAACAAAACTTTTCATATAAGACCTGCTGTCAAACAAAAACTCTTTGCTTTCAGCAGGTCAGTCTCTTCACTTGTGTCAATATTTTAATATATAAAAAACAATTCCAATTTAAATTGGATTTAGGTCTTAGTTTTAGCTCTATAAACTGAGTGTGTTTATAAATGATGCTTAAATACTTCACGTTCTATTCATTAAACATTTATTGGGTAACCATTATATGTCAGATACTGTCTAGGCACTGAGGAAAAAGAAGTGAATAAGAATGTAAGGTTCTTGAAGTTTATCACAGTAAATTCCTCTTTAAAATAATACTTAACATCCCTTTATTTTTTACTTCATTTTTATATTAAAAGCCCCAGGATTGAAGTTAAAATATCTTACTATTCAAAAGAATTGGACTATGCAGTCATAGCAACTACAGTGCAAGGTTTAACTTTGCCCTTTATTCAGTGAACCATTTCCTTCTTATTGACAAACATAAAAATACTTATAAGTGTATAGCGCTTTTTAAAGTTCTTTGACCAATATAATTTAATGTAGGCCTTATAATACTCTGTGAGGTAGGCCAAGCAGATATTATTATCTACATTTATAGTTCAAGAAAATTGAGGCTGAGACAGGCAAGCGATTTGTACCAAATCTCATAGTTAGGATGGATCCCACATCTGGTTCTCCTTTAATTCTCCAGGGTGCTCCTTAGGACACTCTACAACCACTTATTGAAGCTTTCCAGATATTTTAAGGAGAACACTTGAATACAATAAGAGTCAAAGAAAAAAAAAAGCATCAGGCTATTTCTGAACAAAGTGACTATTTCTGATTAGGTTCCCAATTAGGATAACTGGGAGCCTATACCTGTGCACGGCATTAGACGTTTTACATGAACCTGCTTGGAAATTTCTATCAATTAGAGTCTGAATCTCACCTTTAAACAGCACATCATGGAGAAAAGACTTTTATTAGAGTGTATTTTAAAAACAGACCTTTATTATTGGGATTAAAGCCATTTAAAACTGTGCAAAGTATTTCGTACAAGTTGAACAAAATTTTTGGCACAGTTCTCAATCTCAACAGCTTAGAAATGCACATAGGCCGTGCCGCATAGGACTCGAGGGCAACTTCTCATAGTCATACACTAATTTCTCTCCATGCTTGTCTCTGTTGAGTCCTGCTTTCTCCATGGAGCTCCTCTGATACAGTCAGAAATGAAGTAGCATAAAGGATTTGCACTAGTTACATCTCAAGCTCAATCCTTTCCTGGAACCTAAGGCTGCCTAAGCAAATACCACTTGTTACCACAGTTTCTGTGGTACCAGACTGTTCCATAAGGTGGTTGAAGTCTGCAGGTTTTAGATACAACGGTGGTTAGTGCAAGTTGGGTAAATATGCTGTTTAAATATAGGCACCAATACAATATTTGAAATATGAGTTGTCTGGTCATTAGCCTTTAAAAAAAGGTTTATTTTTTAAACTTAAAACAGTAAATTTTTTGCCTCATTCCTTAATCTCTTGCTAACCTTTATCTTAGTTTAGTAGGCCACTGTGATTAGGCAGCTGGGCTTTGCCAATGTGGCCACTCCATAGGAAGAATGCTCCATGGAGACAGGACTCATGCCCGACCTGTGTGGCTGCTATTGACCTGCTTTGACACACTAAAGGTAGTCCTTTCCCTCCTCTGGTTGATGAGAAAGGGCCCATCTTTCTGAGGGCCAGTGGGATGACAACCTTTCTCCTCTTCTCCAAAGCCTGCATGCCTAAATGGTGGATAAATAGCTGTCCTCCTTTCATCAAGATCCTTCCCTTTCATTCTTATTGGGCCTTGAGAGTAGACAAGATTTGTCCATATTTTCTGTCCCTATGTTCACTCATTTACTCATTTGGAAAAAGAAAGAGAAAGAGAGAGAGAGAGAGAATGTATATATATATATATATATATATATTAGATTAAGAGAAAGAGAGAGAATCTATTATATTTCCACTCTGGAACTAAAAAATAGATTTTAATCAGACTCATTGAAAGGGTAAACAAGGCAAAGACATTCACTTTCCTCACAGAGTTATATTAATACTACAATGTCTCCAGTATTAATTCTGTAGAAACTCTGGAACACAGCTCTAAGGTCATTTCAGTTGACCCTGGAACAACATAGCAATTAGGATTAGTGACCTCTCATGCAGTTGAAAGTCTGTGTATAACTTTTCACTCCCCATAAATACTTATTGGGGAGTCAACACTAATACTTATCTACTAATAGCCTACTGTTGACCAGAAGCTTCACCGATAATATAAATGGTCAACTAACACATATTTTGTATGCTATATGTGTTATATACTGTATTCTTATAATAAAGTAAGCTAGAGAAAAAAGGTTATTAAGAAAATTATAAGGAAGAGAAAGTACATATACTTTTCATTAAGTGGAAGTGGATCATCATAAAGATCTTCATCCTCATCATCTTCACAATGAGTGAGTAGGCTGAGGAAGAGGAGGAAGAAGAGAGGAGTTGGTCTTGCTGTCTCAGGAGTGGCAGAGGTGGAAGAAAAATCCACGTATAAGTGGACCCTCATTTTAGTTTTACTGGGGAATTTCAGACTTTTATCAACAGGTAAAAATATGTGTAATTAAAGTTTCAGACGTCAATGAACCTTTCCAATGTAATGGAAATCATACTGAATGAGGGTGGTGATCTGTGTATCTCTTAATAAGGCATCTTTTCCATTATATAGCACTGTAAAAAATAGTCATGTGAAAGTCAATACTAAGCCGGGCATGGTGGCACATGCCTGTAATCCCTGCACTTTGGGAGGCCGAGGTGGGTGGATTACCTGAGGTCAGGAGTGTGAGCCCAGCCTGGCCAACATGATGAAATCCTGTCTTTACTAAAAATACGAAAAATTAGCTGGGCGTGGAGGCATGAACTTGTAATCCCGGCTACTCAGGAGGCTAAGGCAGGAGAATCGCTTGAACCCAGGAGGCGGAGTTTGCACTGCTGCACTCCAGCCTGGGCAAGAAGAGTAAAACTCAGTCTTAAAAAAAAAAAAAAAAAAAAAAGTCAATACTAATCCAAGAGGTATGACCCATGTTTACTAGTGAGAATCAATCACAGATACCACTGTTTTCCCTCAGCTTCCCTCCCTAGACTTTGTGTTTGTTTGTCCATTTGTTTTAGAGCTAGTTTGTTTATATGTGTTCGTTTCAGGAGAGAAAAAGGGGGAGATAGTGTACTAATCTGTTCTCACACTGCTATAAAGAACTGCCTGAGACTGGGTAATTTATAAAGAAAAGAGGTTTAATTGACTAACAGTTCCACATGGATAAGGATGCCTCAGGAAACTTACAATCATGGTAGAAGGGGAAGCAGGCACATCTTACATAGTGGCAGGTGAGAGAGAGAGTGAGAGAGAGAGAGAGGGAAAAATGGAGAGAGGGAGGGAGGGAGGGAAGGAAAGAGAGGGAGAACAGAAAAGAGCCCCTTATAAAACCATCAGATTGTGTGAAAACTCACTATTTCAAGAACAGCATGGGGGAAACTGTCTCCATGATCAAGTTACCTCCCACCAGGTCCCTCCCTTGACATGGGGGGATTACAATACAGATGACAATTTGAGAAGAGATTTCAGTGGGGACTCAGACAAATCATCTCAGAGAGAGATTCTCCTTTTTGAGTTCATGGGCCCCATTTGAAGCCACTCTTTTTATCAACAGGGCTTCAATTGCCAGGTGATCTCCCCTAATCTCTGTGGCCAAGCTCCTTATAGTTAAGCAGTAGCACCTGATGGCCGCTTGCCACTCAGCTACTTTATCAAAGTCCCAGGAGTATAGCTGCCTCTTGAGTAAATCCTGGTTTTATTTCATTCCCATTTTTGTCCCCATTTTTTTCTGCATTAGTTGTGATTCTCTATGTGTTTTACAGATGTTTGTGTAACATTCTTTACTGCATATTTTCCTAGTAGGTAGGTATTTAGATGTTTCCTTTTTTTTTGTTTGTTTGTTTGTTTGTTTGTTTGAGACAAGGTCTCACTCTGTCGCCGAGGCTGGAGTGCAGTGGTGCAATCTTGGCTCACTGCAGCCTTGACTGCCTAGGCTTAAGCAATCCTCCTGCCTCAGCCTCCCAAGTAGCTGAGACTACAGAAACATGCCCCATGGCCAGCTAATTTTCATATTTTCTTTTTTTTTTTTTTAGAAAAGCATCTTGCTGTGTTGCCCAGGCTGGTCCCAAACTCCTTGCTTCAAGTGACCCTCCTGCTTCGGCCTCCCAAAGTGCTGAGATTACAGGTATGAGTCACCATCTCTGGCCTATGATTCTTTCTTAAACTGACACTTTTTTTTCTAATTATTTAAGAGCACTCTCTCAAATCGTTAGAAGAAAAGATCACATTAATAATGTTAACACTAGCTAGTTCTGAAAAAAAAATAGACTAAATCCTCTTCAATTCTTTAAATGTGAACTTCCTAGAATTTCATTCTCCTTTAACCCTCCATTCCAAGGCATGTGCCAGAATGATAGGCATTACCGGCTGGGCGCAGTGGCTCACGCCTGTAATCCCAGCACTTTGGGAGGCCGAGGTGTGTGGATCACTTGAGGTCAGTAGTTCAAGACCAGCCTAGCCAACATAGTGATGAATCCCCGTCTCTACTAAAAATACAAAAATAAGCCAGGCATGGTGGTGCATGCCTGTAATCGTAGCTACTCAGGAGGCTGAGGCAGGAAAATCACTTGAACCCAGGATGCAGAGTTTGCAGCGAGCTGTAATTGCACCACTGCATTCCAGCCTGGATGACAAAATGAGTGAGACTCCGTCAAAAAAAAAAAAAAAAAAGAAGAAGAAGAAGAAAGAAAGAAAAGAAAGGAAGGAAGGCAGGCAGGCAGGCAGGCATGCATTACCATCAAAGAGCAAGAATGCTAAATTTTATTTTATACACAATTAACTTTAAATTCACAAAATGATCATAGATGCCTTTAAAATTGAAAAAAATAAAATGACAAAAATATTTGTTGACATTTATTTGGTGAGGAAAGAAAAGCTCTGGAACACACATATGTTAATATTGGTAATCATCAGAGCCAGCTTCACAAGCATGTGACCTGTGCACTCACACAGGACCCCACACTCAGAGCACTTGATTTAATGCTCTGTCATCACCATCTTGAAATTTTTTATTATTATTTTAAGTTCAGGATGCCTGTGCAGGATGTTCAGGCTTGTTACATAGGAAAATGTGTGCCATGGTGGTTTGCTGCACCTATCAACCCATCACCTAGGTATTAAGCCCCGCATGCATTAGCTGTCTTTCCTGATGCTCTCCCTCCCACTGCAACCACCCCCCGACAGGCCTTAGTGTGTGTTGTTCCCCTCCCTGTGTCCATGTGTTCTCATTGTTCAGCTCCCATTTATAAGTGAAAATATGTGGTATTTGGTTTTCTGTTCCTGCTTTAGTTTGCTGAGAATAATGGCTTCCAGCTCCATCCATGTCCCTGCAAAGGACATGATCTTGTTCCTTTTTAAGGTGGCATAGTAGTCCATGGTGTATACGTACAACATTTTCTTTATCCAGTCTATCATTGATGGACATTTGGGTTGATTCCATGTCTTTGCTATTGTGAATAGTGCTGCAGTGAACATACATGTGCATGTATTTTTATAATAGAATAACTAATATTCCTCTGGGTATATACCCAGTAATGGGATTGCTAGATCAAATGGTATTTCTGGTTCTAGGTCTTTGAGGAATCCCCACACTGTCTTCCACAATGGTTGAACTAATTTACATTCCCATCAACAGTGTAAAAGCGTTCCTATTTCTCCACAGCCTCACCAGCATCTATTGTTCCTTGACTTTTTAATAATTGCCATTCTGAATGGTGTGAGATGGTATCTCATTGTATCACCTTGAAATTCTTAATACGTTTTTAACAAGGTGAATTTTTATTTTACAATGGGCCCTACAAATTACATAGCCAGCCCTGGCGACAATTCTCCTTGTGTCCTACAAACAGGGTAACAATATGTCCCAGTTTGCTCTGGATAATCATGGTTTATGCCTATTGTCTGTGTTAGTTATTTCATGGCATTCTTGTCATAATATTTCACTCCTAGAAGTTTAAAATGTATGTTACCTACTAAAATTAATTATTCAATAAAAACTGAAAATTGGCCAGGAGTGGTGGCTCACACCTGTAATCCCAGCACTTTGGGAGGCCAAGGCGGGCAGATCACGAGGTCAGGAGATTGAGACCATCCTGGCTAACACAGTGAAACCCGTCTCTACCAAAAATCCAAAATCAGCCGGGCGTGGTGGCGGGCGCCTGTAGTCCCAGCTACTCAGGAAGCTGAGGCAGGAGAATGGCGTGAACCCAGGAGGCGGAGCTTGCAGTGAGCTGAGTTCGTGCCACTGCACTCCAGCCTGGACAACAGAGCGAGACTCCGTTTCAACAACAACAAAAAAAACTGAAAATCAGTTGTGATCAGAGGTTCACGGGTATACATTAGTACTAAAAAAAGTTGACCAATTGTTCAGTTTCACATATAACCTTACTAATTTAATTTTTCATCAAGAATGTTTGTAGAATATCTTTGCCATATGATACAACGTATGATGCACAAGGATCATACCTTTAGAATTTGAAGTTTCCATATTCGTTGCATTCTGATATTTTATTATTTAGATGTTGGGATTATCATATAAATACAGTGTGAATCAAACGCACATAAACACAATAGTCTGATGAAAACACACACAAGGTGGAGTAAAGCACTGAATTGTGTTAGGATTGGTGGTTCAGATGGAGTTTATAATTGAAGAAGATCGTGTAAATATCTTTCTGTCCGTGTAAAAATTTGTGTGCTTGTTGGAAGTTTGCTTTGGTCCCTTGAATATAGACCCATTCTTGTGCTAAATTCTTCAGATCTAGAACTTGCAGGGTATTGGGGAAGAGGGGGACAAAAGGGGAAAGGAATTAAAGCTTATTCATAGTAAACCAAAGAGAATACAGCAAATTATGTCTTCTTACTCAGTACTGAAGGAACTTTATTTTTCTGTTCCTTTGCTTCCCCTCATTTCTTCCTGTCATATTAAAGAACTAACCCAAAATCATAATCTCCTGTCATTGAATCTTATCTTTCCTCCCCCTTCTCCCTTACATTACCTCCATTGGAAATAGAGTACTTTTTGAGTGAATGGAGTGAGAGGTAGTTGGTAGAAATCATTAAGAATTTTGTAAACAAATCTCATTTTTTGAGAAACTATATAGTTTAATATTCATTTTATTATTTTCAATGGACTATATTTCACAATTTATGATGCAAAGCATTGTCTTCTCAAACTGGCATAAAATATATATGGTGTATGATATAAAAGTGAGACAGATTTCTGCTGAGTCAAGAATGGTAAATTTTCAGGGTGTATTCACTTTTAGTTTTGTTCAGTATAACTTGTTTGGCTAAGAACCCTCCTGAGTATATGTATGCTATTTATTTCAGAAAAACATTTGGATCGATAACAAACAATAAAGCAAGATTCATATACATTTTATCCTTCAGACTCAGTTCCACCATGTAAGATGAAATGAATACTTTCATACATTCCTAGGAAGGCGGCAGAAAACAAATGTCAAAATGCTAAAACACTAAAGTGCCCATATCTTTGATTCAGTTGTTCCCCAGATTTCACGTGTCACCCAAGATGTGGGGAAATATTATGCACAAAAATGTTCATCACAGCAGTATTTTTATTCATGAAGAATTAGAAAGCACATATATGTTTCACAGTAGGGAAATGGTCAAGTACATTATAATATATAGCATGTGTATAATACCATATATACATTTTTCTGTCCTCTTTTTTCCAGATAACATTATAACACAACCATTTTCCAACATTATTCAAAGATCATAAAATGCATCTCAGTGACTGAATTGTATTTTCCTTATTGACCACATCCTGAATCTATATAATTGTAATAGGAATAAAATCTTTAAGAAAGATGAAATGTCCTATAAATGACTTTGTCTTCAAATAAGAATCTAGTCTTGCTCTAAGATGCAAGAATGAGGAACACTTCATTCTTCCATAGTTACTCAAAGATGTTTTAGTTCCAACGTTAGGAACAATTCAAATATTTTTAGAAATATCAGGAGGAGTAAATTGTTTCATTCTTTGCTATGAAACAGAATGTTACAGAGCTAATTCTCTGACTAAAGTGGTTTCTAGTTGACTGAATCTGAGTGATAATTTTCTATACATAGGAGGTCTTTCACATACCCTATATCACCTTTGAGAGCCATATCAAAAATGGGGTGAGGCAACGCAATTGATTACCAGCAGAGAATGCTGTACTTGAGATGCTTTTATCCCCTTCTGTTTTCTTTAAAGCTTTACCTACAACTAGCTGAATTTTCACCTGAAAATATTGTACTCAAATGTGAGGTAAGAAATAAACCTAAGGAGTAAATTCTGACCTGCACATATTTCCACTGGAAGAAAGCTGTGAACTCCATCCCACCGTCCTCACTCTAGCAAAGCACATATGAACTTCAGTGGGAATTCCGCCAAGAGCAAGATGGTGAGGCAGAGCTCGGCAGTGTCAAGTTGGATTAGTTCTGTCTGCCTTTGCCTAGCTGGGTGTTACATAGGACGGTGTGCTTTTATTATGTTTAACCACTTGTGGTTCAATATATTTTTATCTTCATGGACGGCTAAATATGCAAAATGTGGTGCAATTGCCTTTTATGGAGGTGATAAATTTAATTTATAGAATACACATAATATGCATGTTTGTAGAAAACATATTGATCAAACCAGCTTCTTTTACTATACTTAATATGCAGAGAGACTGCAACATTTCATGGCATTAACATATGTTGTCTCAGCCAAACAAAATGAAAGAAAAAAATTAATAATATTCCATTTTTAAATATTTCTTAAAATATCTTCAGTAATTTGTGACAATATTCTCACAGAGGAGTCCATGCCCACAGAATATATTCTTGAAGCTCCCAGAACAACTAACCTGTCATATCAATGAAGAGAAGCAAATTGTTGGGCAATTTACTTTACGGAACAATTTAGTTTATTCTATCAAAAGTCTTCACCCTGGGAGTTCCATGTTGTTATAAGTCAAGTTCCTTAGAAGCAGTCCTAAGACAAAGATATGCATGCAGGTTTGCATTTGCATGCAAAGATTTGCAAGTAACCAAACTGGAATATCCTCCAGTAAGATACCTGTCAGGGAGTGAAGGAAGTAGCCGAAGATTGGAACTGTGGTTAAATTACAACAGAAGCCTCAGGCACTCCTACTATTGCTCTGAATCTGGGATGGCCCTTCATAAATGCCCAAGTTGAGTTAAGACAGCCAGGGTTTTGTACTTCTACACTGAAAAGTCATTGGAAGGGAACTGCCCCCAAGGAGAGGGTGTTACCTGGGGCAAAGTGGTTGCCTTCACAGAGCATCAGCTCTGGATTGAACTCAGCTGTGAGCCATCAGCAGGCAACACTCCTGGTAGCTGGGGATGGGTGTCTTGGTCCTGAAGAGGGATTTGGGCAGCACACCACAGCATCTGCTACAGTCAACCTCTTTCACAACTCAGGTTCACTGGCTTCAAATAATAAGTTTATGACACCTAGGCATAGAACCCTAGATGTCTGCTATTTTCCCATCATGGGGAATACGAAGTGACCAGGTGGCAACCGTAGCTTAAATTTAATGGGATGCTTGCCATAGACCCTGGTAACAGTATTTCCCCTCTGTGAACCAGGACCCCAAAACTTCGCAAGTTTTGGGGGACAGAAAATGCAAATTCCCAAGCAAGTCACTGGGACTGATGGTGAAAAAAAAAAAAAGTTCTCTCTTATCTTTGGTTTTCAGACTAATGTATTCTACCTTTTGGGTACATAGCATCATAAAACGGCCTTCAAACAGCTATTTTATTGCTTTTTCAGGCCAGCATCTTCTCGATGGTACAGGACGTGATAGGACCAGTGAATCCTAAGGTTATGTGTCCACTGCACATAAATCATGGTCTAATGCAATGTGATATGAGAGTCTGTGTCAGAGTGTTAAATACTCTGTAGGCCTTCAGATAGTGGTGCTGGTTGTAAATGAATCTTTCGCCAGTCAGGCCACTGATGAGAGACCACAGTCCTGGTCAACATTTGCAGGTCAGGCTGATGAGACATTGACTCAGAAAACCCATTTAATCTGTGCCCAGACTCCTGACCAACAGAAATGATGGGATAATGTGTGGTATTTTAAGATGTTAAATTTACAGTAATTTGCAATGCAGTGTGGAAAATTCATACAGGCCCTGTGGACAATAAGGCATATACAAATATGAAATATTGTTTATTATACTCAAATCGAATTGTTGCATTTCTTTTCTTTTTTCTTTTTTTTTTTTTTTTTTGAGACAGAGCCTCACTGTCTCACCCAGGCTACAGTGCAGTGGCGTGATCTCTGCTCACTGCAACCTCCTTCTCCCAGGTTCAAGCGATTCTCCTGCCTCAGTCTCCTGAGTAGCTGGGACTACAGGCATGCATAACCATGCCTGGTGATGGGATTTCGCCATGTTGGCCAGGCTAATCTGAAACTCCTGACCTCAGGTGATCCGTCTGCCTTGGCCTCCCAAAGTGCTGGGATTACAGGCGTGAGCCACCATGCCTGTCCTGAATTGTTGCATTTCTAGGGCAGAGGGAGTGAATTGTGATCAACTTGCTGACAAATGACTGATTTGTCTCCTCAGGAGATGGTGCTATATTGAGGGTTTAGCATCCATCTCTGTCGCTTGCAGATTTGACATTTGGCAACAATAGTTGCTATTATTTATCAGCCCTGGTGAGTGGGATCCTACGCTGCTTGCGTCTTGCATAGCTGCCATTCCTGCCTCCATGGTTATTCTGTTCATATGCCCATTGTGCCAATACTTGAGTGGCCAATGACAGAGACTTGGCTCATGTCCACTGGCTTGTTATCCCATCTGTTTGGTTGTTTAGTACATTTTCCATAGTGGATGCCCCAGTGAGTGTCAATTTGTGATATAATGGCCTTCACACTCCATGACCATACTCACATTTCCATAACCCTCACCAAGCTTATTGATGCCAACCTTCCAATCTTTCTCCTTCCAGGACCTTCACCAAACAGTCAAGCTTTTTGCCACTATAAGGCTATATATATTCTAACACTGGGACTCCTTTCTTTCCACACAAAGAGAATAACCCTTCACTACATCATCTAAAACTCTGTTCATTGGGGAGACTTCCCCTTTCCACTGGTTTTCAGGATGAGATTGATAAGCTAGTCAAAAGGGTCACCCCCATATAGCCATAGGCATGAGGCATGAGCTAAGAGAGAGGCACTAATATAACAGTGGTAGATTCACAGGAATATGGCCCACCTCCTCAAGGAGCTTGATCGTGCCCTTTGGCTCTGCCAGTTCCTAACCAACCACAAATGCAGTACTTCCATCTTCTTTTTTTTTTTTTTTTTTTTTTTTTTTTTTGTGAGACGGAGTCTTGCTCTGTTGCCCAAGCTGGAGTGCAGTGGCTTGATCTGGGCTCACTGCAACCTCCACCTCCTGGGTAGCTCCTGCCTCAGCCTCCTGAGTAGTTGGGACTACAGGTGCAAACCATCACACCCAGCTAATTTTGTATTTTTAGTAGAGACAGGGTTTCACCATGTTGGCCAGGCTGGTCTTGAACTCCTGCCCTCAAGTGATCCACCCACCTTGGCCTCCCAAAGTGCTGGGATTGCAGGCATGAGCCACCGCGTCTGGCCTACTTCCATCTTAGATGGCTTCTGGGACCACTTGACCATATGACTTGACAGGTCATAGAGTTCTCAGATCATGATGGGCACTTCTGGCCACTTGGTCATGTGGTATCCAATAGTTAGTATCAGGCCCAAGTGAAAGCCAAGAACAATTTTTCAAATGGTGTGTAATTTTCTCCTACAGATCACATGGCCTTGCTTCAGAACTCATGGGTTCAATATTGTGATTTTCCTATTGTAGTCTGCTGTAAACCCCCACACAGCATCTTTTTCCAGCACTGATAATTCTAATATGAGAAAGTCTGCCAGGTCACATGGCCCAAGCTAAAGAGCTGGTTGTGCTTCAGCCTGGACCTGCTATAGAATTATTTTCTGCTCAGGACCCTACTCATATCTGGACACCTTCTGTGTAACTTGGTAAATAGGCTAGAGCAATATTCACAAGTCTGGAATATGCTACCTCTAGAACCCAAAGTGGCCTACCAGACATTGTGAGATATGTAAGATGTAATAATTTTCCATTCTCTTTGGAGGGAATGTCTTGACATCCCCCAGACTACTGGACCCTTAAAATCTTTCCTGGCTTGGTAGACCCCTAAGTCTTCACAGAGTGTTTGCCTCCCACCTTCTGGAATGCATGTGTCTTACCAAGGTTTACAGCACACTTGCCAGTTCTTGTTTATCTGGCTTGATTAACACAATGTCGTCAATGTAGCAAGCCAATGAGATGCATGCTCGGCATCATGTCCCTTTGGACTATATTATGACAGAAGATAGGAAAGTTAACATGGCTTTAGGGAAAGACTGTAAATATATATTGTTCATTCCACACGAGTGCAAACTGCTTCTATTCTATCTTCTTGATAGAGATAGAAAAACACATTAACCAGATCAATCACTGAATACCATGTACTTGAAGCCATGTAAATCTGATCTAGCAAAGATACCACATTTGGTACAGCATTGCAATTGCTTTATTTGGTCGAGTTTACAGAAATTCAGTGTCATCTTCCAGGATCAATTGGTGTTTGCAAGGGCCAGAACACTGAACTAAATAAAGACATAATTGGGACCACCATGTCTGGGTCCTTTAGATCTTTAAGAGTGGCATTTATTTTTGTCATTTGCCCTGGTATATAATATTGTTTCCTTTTTGCTATTGTCTGTGACAAAAGGCAATTTCAGAGTATTCCACTTAGCTTTCCCACTATGATGGTTCTAATCCTATAGACAAAAGAATAAATGTGGTAGCTCTACCAAGTACCAAGAAATATCCATTCCAAGTATATGCTCTAGGACTGGGAAAATAATCCCTGAGTTGTTTCGTGGCTCCAGTGGATCTATTCTGAGCTGCTACTTAAGCCAGAACTATATTTCCAGGCCCTAAAGATCCTCATACTAAGGGGGTTATAGTGATGCTTTGGGTCTCTGGATCAATAGCCCTTAAAATACTTGGTCATCCCCTTCCCCAGTAAACAGTTACCCAAGTAAATGTACAGAGGTCCTTTGGGAAAGGACTAAGAGGATCATTAGTGAATGTACTTTTTATGATGATGCAGGGTCCTCCCTCAGGAATTCCGGGTCTGAAAACTGGCTCAGATCTAGAAACTGGGCAAGGGATCAAGAATTTTCACTGGAGCAGTTGCTCTCAGCATTGTGATTGTCCCTCCCTGAATTTCTTTGTTTTATAAATTGAGCATGCCCTTGTCAGCTTCTCACCTGTCTTGCCCCTGGTGGCCTAGGTTCCATTAATTGTCTCCATAGCTCTCTGCAGGTAAGGACTCTCTGGCTGCTACTCCAACCTTGTCACTCATTATGAAAATTGTGCATTCCTTGCTGCTATAGATGAAGTGCTACCACCTGGCCTCTCTTACTTCTGTATCTTATCATTCCTATTACTACTGAGAAAGCTATTTCTGTAACAGCACCTTCTACCATGAGCTCTGGCTTTCAGTGAGCAGTCATTGAGCATTTCTGTGATACTCATGTCCCTTTCTCCAACTCATTCCTCATTATTTGGGTAAACAGTTTCCTCTAAGCACTTCCATGGAGCACATTCAAGGTGTTTAGTTTAGTTTTCTAGTCTACTATATTCACTATAGTATTTCCATTTTACTGGTTCTCTTGAGTCCTTCTATCATCTGCTATGGCACTTTCTACTTTGCTTGGTATGAGCCATCACTTTCTGTAAGCTTCAAAGTGCCATTAAATAGCATGTTAGCTCCTTCTATTGGGTTCTTTGACAGAGTATTATATCCTCATTCCAGAAAAATGTTCTCATATCAACAAATTCACTCCTTTTTATGTTCCTTATATTCTACCCCCTAATTCAACACCTCCAGGTTCCAGTTTCCATACATACTCTTCTGGACCTCCCAGGTACATATTGGCTAGGTCTTGCAGCTCCTCAGGCCTGACACTTAACCATTTTAGAATATGTTGTGACATAATTCTAGTTATTGGTCTGGTAACCAGGAAGAGAAGTAGGAATCGATTCTGAGGGAATGGGCACATGTTGTCTTGGTCAGAGGCCTCTGTATTTCTTCGAGTAAGGGAGGAGCATTAGCCTTTAAGAGGGAAGAGTAAGCCACTTCTGTAGACTTGGAGACTTCAGGAAAATCTGGTAATTTGAGACTTAAAAGAATACTGACCCAGGGTCACAATCAGGACCCAAATTTTTTGCAGAGACAACTTGAACGTTAAAAGTTCAGCCTTCTTTGGAGATAATCTGCTCATATTGTTAAGTCCTAAGTGAGATCCTCAGGTTTTTCACTCTCCAGCTGCATGAGATAGGAGTCTCTTTATATGCTGCTAGTGAGGCCCTCTGGCTTTTATACGTCACCTTAATTTGGTGATTAATCTCCCTCGGCCTTTCATGTCTTCTCCAATGCATGGATAACTTGCAACAGTAGCTATCCAGAAGGCCGGGCATGGTGGCTCACACCTATAATCCAAGCACTTTGGGAAGCCAAAATGGGAGGACCACTGGAGCCCAGGAGATCAAGACTAGCCTGGGCTAGGGAGACCCCATCTCTTCAAAAGATAGCTATCCAGTGCTATACTCCTTTAATTACTATCTACGCCTAAAGTCTAAAACACCTGAGATATTGCATTTTGTGATACATTTCTTTCTGCTCGTGTCCTATCAAAATTCAACATTAGTGAAAATTTTCACAGTTGCATCACTACCCTACCACCAGTAATGGAGTTCTGATTATGAACCAGCCAGCAAATAATTCAACTTCAAAATCCCTTTTTAGAGTTTGCCTCTAAGACCAGCCTCATTATCAAGTGTCATAGGTTGAGTTTTCTATAAAACAAACACTGAAGCAGAGATTTGTGGTTTATCAGAGAATGCTCTCAGATATGACATGTGTAAGCGAGCAAAAGAGTGGGGACTTGCCAGAGAGAGATGCTGAACTGTAAGGTAGTCAAAACAGAGGCTTCCACCCATCTCATGTGGAGCTCTGAGGCTGGGATAGCCCACCAAAAGTATCTCAAATTGAGGCATGGATTCACTACTGGATTCAGGCTGGTCCTGGGGAAGGGATGTAACTTGGGGTAAGAAGCTGCCTTTGGCAAAGGGAAATTCCTAGGGTAAGCCAATGGCAAGAAACACCGTGGTCCCTGGGGAAATGAGTGCTTCCATCCCAGTGGGAATCTGGGCAGCATACCCCTGAATTCACTACACATGTCCACACAAGGTAAAGGGGGCAAAGGAATATCAGCCAACTTGGCTCTTCTAATGATGGAGAATATAAGCCCAGGTAAATACAAGCATCAAATAATTCCAAATCCTACTTGCCTTCAACTTCACAAAACAATGCAAGACCCACCATCAAAGACAGAGAACACTCATCCAAACTCATTCTTGCCCATCTGTGGTGAGGCATTCTGTCCTTTTTAGTCATCCCTGCTGGGGAAAAGAATCAGGACTGTAATCCCAAGCAAGTGGCCACACAAATAGCTTTTCACTTTCAAATAATCAGGTCAGCTATTTTGCAAACATCCACATACCCATTTTGTGTACCTTCATTCATGCTATAAAACTTTCCTCAGCACTGCAAGCACTGTTTTAAAAACAAAACTTATTTAAAATAGACCATGAAGCCCTAAGATGTAAGGGGGATATGTAAAAACACCTAACACAATGCATACTCTATATGAAATACAGAGTCATAGTCCTCCGTAATAATCTCTTACTAATCAGTTCTGAGCTTTATAAAACAATAGGAGTGAAATGACAATGCTGTCATTTGTATATTCTCCCTCAGTTCTCTAATGGAAAGCTTTTTTTCTCTGCCAAGTCATTCCTGACAGTGTTAATGATTCACTATAAAGCAGTTTCTGGGCTATGATTTGTGACATTCAGACTGGATAGATGGGAGGGCTCGGCGGGTTTCTGGGGAGTGTTTTGGATGCAGAAATGCCTTGAAGATAGCACTTTATTATATTTAGGACAAGTATGACATCCCACTTCAAGGAATAGGCCCCTATACATATTGAGAAGGGATTTCTATGGTTTAAGTGGGGAGGAGAAGCTTGGTTTAAAAGAATGCCTCTGTGTGTTTTTTGAGGCGACATAAAGATAGGAAGCAGAGAAATGGAGGCAGGAGGCAGAAGGATTATGGATAATGGAAGAATTTTGCCTGAGGGTATATGCCTGCTTTGCCTATTCCTGTATAACTAGAATATTTATAATTCAAATACTTATCTTTAATAATTAAAAACCAAGGAATATTAAAGACAAAAGGTAGAGAATATTATGTACACATGTGTAGGCATCATGCATTAAATCCCCACCCTTGCAAAATACAGCAAGAGGTAGCTTTAAAAGGAGGTTAAAAAGTGAATATTTTAAAATGTCTTGAAAATGGAATTTCTAATTCACTCCAGTTCTGCCAGCAGTGATACCCTCACTTCTGATTTCTACACACACCATCAGTCATGGGGATAGGTACTAAAAATATCCAGCATGGTGGTTTGACATCAACAATTAAAAAGTGGATACAAATATTTCAGATTTCAAAACCATAAGGCTTTCCTCCAGATTTATGAAAACATTGGCTATGCACAGGAAAAGGAAAAGTCATTTCCAATTGTTTCACAGAATACTTCATTGCACAGTCTATGTAAACTACTAGTTACAATAGAATGTAATATTCTACCACCGCCAGGAACTCTCTCTGATCTTCTGCCTCTTCTCAGACAGCAAAGAAACAAAGAAAAACAGTCATTGCAGTGGATCGAAAGAATGTTTGAAAAGCGAAAGAGACCTCAACTGTGCCCCCTGGTATTATAAAGCTGTCAATTATAACCTTGATTACAATGAAAATACCGAAATAAAAAAATTATTCATGGGGGGAATTCATTTAAAAAGAAAAAAGAGAGAAAGAATGACCCCAAAAACCATAGTGTTTATTTCAACCTAACAATTTTAAAGGTAATAAAAAATAATACAAACTAACAGAACAAAATTGTTTATAATACAGCAGCAGAAAAGCAGAATGCTTAGCAGCCAAAATATGAACAAATTAAGATGCCAGGTGAAATGGTCAGGTGTTGTTTTTGAAGAATGTGGCCTCCATGGCAGCAAGTATATGCATGATAGTATCAACTCACGACTAAAACCAGAGGCGTTAATATTTACACCTTTGCTAATTATGGCAAGAAAGAGATTAACGAAGAATTAAATGTTCCTGTCTTTTTACCTCCCCATCACACCAAGTAATTCCTGGTAGAACATTAACTCAACCTGACAATAATATCCTGTGGGTGGAGAAGTAAAAAGGGGGACCCACATATCTTTCTGTTCTTTGCTTATGCATTTAAAAAATAGTGATAAGCAATGACTAGGCATTGATTATGGCCGACGACAAAATGAAAAGTCACACTTAAGATCCATTTTGTGAACTGGAATAAATTCATTTCTTGAACTGGGATTTGGGCTTCACTGCTATAATACTTGATGCACTAATTACCTTTTGTCCGCTCGAGGCGTTGCGGCTTTTGTGCTATGGAAAATGACAAAGCACCATGGACCAATAGCATCATCATCAAATCCTATATTTTCCAAAGATACTGTGTATGGGGTCCCAGCTAGGGTTAACAAATCAGAAGAAAACAATGATTTGCTAAATATTAAATTGGAGGATAATAATAGAAATCGCCCTCTTCAAATAAATTTTGTAAATCGAAAGAAATTCTAATTTAACAAAAATATTGTACAATGCCTGCCTGAAGATGGGACATTTGAATGTACAAACTTCTCCAGATTTATACTACCCAAATATCTGCAAGATTTGGAAACTCAGCAGTTGTCAGCATCATCTAATACTTTTCTTGTGTTCAGTAATGAGGGGTAGGCTCACAGAGAGGGGTCCTTATCTTCTTCTACTTTTGCTGTTTGTCTTACATCCTTCTTAGCTTTCCACAAAGTGCAATCATAATTAAATTCTAAAGCAAAGGATGAAGTCAACCGAATCATCATCCAACTAACTGCAAATGATGATGGTGAGAATGACAATGTTACCACGCTCTTCTTCAATTCTGGCTCGACAGCATTTAACTCTGACCTCCTGCAATAATCAGTGCCATGGGCTGCTTAAATGCTATGCAAAAGCATTTATGTTTTATTTGTTCTAAATTTCCTGGCTATTAATTTCACAGTGTGACCTCCTATTCTCCTATTATTTGGCAGATTTCACTATAGCCTTCAAAAAGCTAAAGATTTCCATCAAGCTACTTTCTATTTCTCCGGCCTGTCTGGCCACCTTTTATAATATGTAAAATTTCCTGTTTCTTTAACCATCCTTGTGACTCTTTTCTGAGATTCATGTTACATATGTCTTCACAATACTTAGGAATTTATTTCATTCCTTAAATTTAATAGAGGCTTGCATTCCTTAATCGTTTTCTCATTTTCTCAAAATTCCAAGAGAAAATGCTTGTTTGTTGTGGAGTTTGTAGTGAATAGTTCTTATGTTGTTGAGTAATTTAAAGCTTTTCCTTGGTATTTTTCTCATTCACACATGAGAAACTGTGGGGGACAAAGAATGACCTCGATTACACTCAAAATAGAAAAACAGTGATAGCGTCAATTCGCACAAACTAGGGGTCATTGTAATTTCCTCTGGATTTTTCCTGGAGTTATGAACCTCCCACTTTTGGCCTAGATCTTAGAACTTAGAAGGAAAAGCAGTTCATTTATTGCTGCTCCAATTGATCCCAGAGGGGCTTTTGGCTATTGGTTGGGGAAATGTATATCTCAATTCAAGGCCTTACCTGTTTTCTGTATATGAATGTAGGAATCTATAAATTGGACTTGCTTTGAGGAATTCCAGGCTCTAGAGCTTTTGTGGCACTCTGGGATCTTTTTGAGCAGCTGCTCCCATCCATCTTTCAAAAATGGTCCAGCGAGGAGCACTAAGGTGGCACCCTCGGTACTGTCAGCCCAATCCTAAAGAACACACAATTCTAAGTGGCTTTCTAAAAGCTCAGCTCCATCGTATTTACCTCCATGCACTCCATCAATAAAAGCTATAAGGGATTTGTAAGAGAGCTATTGAATAGGAATGATAAAAACTGGAAACCAGATTGCAGAAAAGAATGAGTAACAGTGGTTCCAGATCAGATAGTCAAATGTTTAAATTTTTTATTTTTTTTAATTTCATCTTTTACTTTAGATTCAGGGAGTATGCAGGCAGGTTTGTTACATGGGTATATTGCATGATGCTGAGGTTTGAGGTACAAATGGTCCCATCACCCAGGTAGTAAGCATAGTACAAAATAGGTAGTTTTTCTTCCTCCTCTCTCTAGTAGTCTTCGGTGTCTATTGTTTTCATCTTTGTGTCCATGTGTACTCAATGCTTAGCCCCCATTTATAAGTGAGAACATGTGGTATTTGGTTTCTGTTCCTGCGTTAACTCACTTAGGATAATGGCCTCTGGCTGCATCCATGTTGCTGCGAAGGACATGATTTCATTCGTTGTATGACTGCATAGTAGTCCCTGGTTTATATATACCACATTTTCTTTATCCAACCTGCCATTGATGGGGACCTAGGTTGATTCCATGTCTTTGCTGTTGTGAATAGTGCTGTGATTAACATACAAGTGCATGTAATAGAAGGCTCAAGCCTACACTTCTTGTGAGGGCAACAGAAAGCTTTCATTTGTTGGAATATTGTGGGAACTGAAACAGAGGAGAAAGGAAGATTGACAGCACTAGAGAACCAGAGAATAACTAACGAAGTGAGTTCCTACACAGTATATGAGTATACCCAAGACTTCTTTCTTGAAGAGCCTGTCTTTCCTCCAATAACTCCTCTCTAAGAGTTCTTGGAAATCTGCATGCTCCAACTTAACATATAACATTGATAACAATGAGTTTGGCGTTAAAATATTCCCTTAAGATAACTGATACTCTCATTTTACAAATGAAAAACACAAGCACGTGCCACATGTTCCATGTATTAATACATATATGTCAGTAATATTGCAAGAAGCAGGTGAAATAGCATAAAGTATCAGAGCCCCTACAATGCACATCCATCCAAGAGTGGATTAGTAAAGTCATCTTCCTATAAAAGGATAGTATGTATAGGGTTTTGATTTTCCAAACTTATTTATATCTGTTATTACATGTTATTCTCACTGTGTCATAGAGTTGGGATACATTTTACCCCAGTTTCTACAAAGCTGAGTGGGAGGAAAAGTGGTCTGGAGATGATTATGGCAAGAAAACCTTTAAGTGACACACCAAAGGCAGTAAAAGTGACAGCAAGTTCTCCAAAATAGGATGCCAAATCCGCCCCCTACTTTTCTTTGCCCTAGATGGTGCTTTATGTTAAGGATGTTATTCCAAGCAGCATAATTTTACATTAAGCTATTAAAAAATGGCACAAATATACCATCTTCTATCCAAAACATACAGTAAAGACTATTTAATAAAGATTATATAAGCAGCTTCCTCAAATTCCCAAGATTTCTATTGGAAACAAATAAAAACGAATAGAGAGACATTGGTAAGATTCTGTCACATTAGAATTATTATCAAATTGACTGATGGACTATAAATAATAAGCAGTTATTAGTAATGTGTCATTCAATTGGGGACAGTAGGGTTCTATAGGGATAGGATTAGGGCCAGTGCTAAATGAAATGTCCAAATTAATGCCCTGATGGAAAAAGTAAATAGCTGTGAGCATACCAAAATAGAAAGAACTGCAAGCACAGTGGAAGATCTTAGGTGGAAAAATTTAAATGGAATGAGATTTAATTTAGATAAATCTATAATAACTTGCTCATGGGAAAGTAATTCCTATCTGAGTAATAACAAAATTCTTCTAAAAGAACAGTAAAGTAGAAAAAGGATTGAGGGTAGTGGCGAATATTTTCTAAGCATTAAAACTGAAAAATCATTGGGGAAATGTTTTTAAGCTAAACCCAAATCTTCAGAATTCCATCATTTTTAAATGAGCTCTAAATTTTAATTCTAAACTATTATTTCACATTCACTAGTTTGATAAAACAAACTGCCACCTGAGTATCCCCATCTATGACTTCAAATTACCTGACCAATAGTTCCACCTTTGTTTGATGCCTGGAGTTTAGAAACAAACAATCCCAAAGGTTGATAAGATCAACACTGTAAAAGTCCAAACAAACCCATTGCACTTAAATCCCTCTACTTCAAACAAGAAAACAAAGAGCAGTAAACTGGTTCCAAGAGAGAAGAATCTGGTAGAGCCAGTCATAAATTAGTGGCAGATGCAAGATTGTAAACTTGGAAGTAGGTGATATTGCATTGTTTTTTAGTCTTTTCTTTTAATACTTCAATACAGATAGTTCATAAAAGAGGCCCAATAACAGTTCAACAGTCAAAGTTAAGAAAATGTGATCTGATTATTTGACAATTTTGATAAAAATGAAAGTAAGACTTTAGCAGACATGTGCCATCAAACTCATTTCTTTTTCTCCCTTATATATAGCCACTTACCGGCTACTATGCCTGCATGGCCTCGGTTTCTAGCTGGAGTGAAGATGTAAACACTAAAACTGAACAGGATCTAAATCTGGCAATAAAAAATAAATTGTTAGTATGTTCCTAAAAATGATTCACTTGCTCAATTTCAGATTCTTTTATTATGCAGTTGGTCTGGAACTCTTATTCAAAATATAACCATGTTTGCTGGGTGCGGGGCTCACGCCTGTAATCCCAGCACTTTGGGAGGCTGAGGTGGGTGGATCACTTGAGGTTAGGAGTTCGAGACCAGCCTGGCCAACGTGATGAAACCCCATCTCTACTAAAAATACAAACAATTAGCCAAGCATGGTGGTGCGTGTCTGTAATCCCAGCTACTGGGGAGGCTGAGGAAGGAGAACCTCTTGAACCCAGGAGGCAGAGGTTGCAGTGAGCCAAGATTGTGCCACTGCACTCCAGTCTGGGTGGCAGAGCAAGACTCTGTCTCAGAAAAAAATTAAAATATATATATATATATATGTCCATGTATACCAGCAGCTTTTTAGTTTGTTTTTGCTTTAAACTTTCCTTTCTACACATTGAAAAAAAGTTACTAATTACTATGATTACATGACTAAGTGTAAAACTCTCAAGACAGGGGAAAGTTATGTCACTAAGCCAGGGTTGCAATGAGTAATTCTGAAGCATTTAGTGGGGTGAGGTGGGAGGTTGGGGGGTGTCAGGCAAGACCAGGCAGAAAGCTTTAATTTCAGTGAATCATCCATAGAGTAAGGTGTCATAGAAAAAGGTGTAACCATTTCTAGCTGCACTTGTTTAAAATTTTCATTCTTGGTACAAAATTGGAGATAATGAAAAATTCAAAATATTTATATTTCTACATAATTTACTTATATGTAAATTAATAATAAAAGTAACTATTTTTCTCCAGTGTTCAAAGTTCCAAAAAGTGTTGGGTTGAAACATATCATTTGAAATTTTATGAAATTTAATTTAGTAAATGTCCATAGTCTTCTCCAATATCAGCCCTTTTTCTAATTTCAATGAACAAAATTTGCTGTCATTTAATTTTCAGAGTTTTCTTTGGCAATAGATGACTTTAATTTTAAGAGGTTGAATATGGTGCAATAATGGCATTATTTTTGGATGACTTCAACTCGCTCTACTGAAACCGAGCTCTCAGACAATTTTCACTGATCAAACTCAGGCCAAATTCTTGGTTCCTCAAGTTTCATTGATAATTATCCCTGGATAATGTTCCTAGAGATCAAACCTTTAAATGTTTGGATTAAACTTTTCCATTCAGAAAGTTAAAAATGGATTAAATCCATTACAGTTTTAGATAGGTGACCCTAAAGTAACAAAAGGGACATCTTACAGAAAATGTGCTTATAAAATAGGCTTTTAAAAATTACTTTCTTCTTTAAACTCCATTGTAACAGCAGAAATATAATCTGCTATGGACATATATAACATTCCTTTCAAGGCAAATATTTTGTCGTGGCTACTTGTTTCTGATGTGTCTTTGAGGACATTTAGTATACCCTTAAGGTAAGAGCCATCAGATGGCAATTCTGTCTCAGGCACGATCTGAGAGGATGCTTTGAGGGTGGCACCCCAAGTTGAAGCATGTTCACCATTGTCCTGCCTGCATCATGTTTATTTAACCTCATGTAGACTCACCACATTGAAGACAACAGTAGCCTCCAAAAAAAAAAAAAAACCAAAATGACAAGATACAAGAATCCAGGGACTACAGACTCATATTAAATCTCTTCTCGTCTGTTTGTATGTTGTTCAATCATGTAGAATGCCTTGCACTGTGCTGCTCACATATGATTCTATGTATCATTTACATAAAGTACCATCTTCTTTTTTTTTTAGAAAAGTGTGACATGAGAGCTTTGAGGATACTTGAAGCTAATTTCCAAAAAGGAGAATGCTGTAATGAAGCCATTGAACAATATTTGAAAGCAACTTGCCCGCAGTATAGGAATAGCAATTTTAAGAACTGTTTCAAAGAAAGCCACATTAAGAAGTAGTGGCTTGGAATGTGGGAAGGGGGTGATATAATTCATATCTACTGTGTATAATGCAAAATAAGAACATAGAGGAGATATGCTCATAGGATTATGTTTATTTCCTCAGAGTGTTTGTTGGGAGCTCCTCCTCACTCATGATGACACCAAGCAGATAGATAGACCTGTATAATTCTGTCGGTCTCTGAATGTAAAGGTCACAAAAATAGTACTGATCCAGCATATAAATACAATTATGAATGTTCCCTGGCAGGCATGCATTCCTGAATCCTAAGAAATCTGGTTGGCAGTTAAAAAAATCATTTGTAGCTCCCAGTGTTTGATGTTAAATTCAGGAACACATATGAAAAAAGATTCAAGAAACATGAATCAGAACTATTGCTTCACACCGCTATGATTAGCAACATGCATATTTCTAAATCTAAGTTAAGTTGTTTTCTTAAATGACTGAAGAAAGAATTATTTTTTGCAAAACTAGATCATGTATCTTACACCATAGTGACTGATTACAGGTCTTTGGCTTAGTAGGTGATGTTTCCCCAGAGAAGAAAGTATTTGTACTCTCAAGGAAATAACACTCTGCAGTGTTATTCGATGTGGTGGGTGCATTTATTTTATGATTCCATCTACCTGAACTTTCTGGTGTGATTCCAGAGCCCTCCTGCTTTACCTTCATTCCCTATTGGACTATGAGCAGCCCAGAAAAGTCATAAAATCAGGCAGTAAGAATGTAATGCATCATAGATATTTCTTTATACATTACAGACACTTGAAGATTCATTAACTAAGATAATCACGTGAAAGTGAAGGAAGGATACAGGGCCTGATGCGAGTAAGGCCCTCAGTAAATGTTCGTTTATTTCCTTCACCTTTTCCTACCCTCCTTCACTCAGTCTTTCTCTCTTTTACCAGCCGTGATCTCATTGCTGCATCACTACACCGTAGAAAGCAGTCTAATCTCGGTGATGCCAATGCATGTAATATCAGCCTATGCTGCTGAATTTGGGATACATAATATGGTATCTGCCTAGGCTCCACTTTCTCAAGTTGCAAAATGGAGAGCTCATTGTCTGATCCACTGTTCTGCAAAGGGAAGCTACAAGAATCAATAGCATAATAGACAGACTTTCTTCCACACATTCTGTAGGGTTTTGTGACCTCTAAATATTTAATATATGTTTCCCCAGAACCCACCATAGTTCCTGTGAAGCTATACAGTACAGTTCAAGGATAAATCCAGGTCTTGTAATGCCTGAAGCATATACTATTTGGGAGACTGTCTGTAAGAAATAACTGTCAGTGTCAACCTAGGTCCAAAATATTTCTTTAAGATAAAAAAGAATTCATGACAAATTACAAAGATTAAAAGCTGACAAGTACCACAAACATCACAATATCCAGAAAAATAATATAACGTTTATATTCATTAACTGCCTGACACTTCCTCTAAAATGCCACATTTTGGCTGCATACTTCTTCATATGACAATAATTTTCCCTCTTTCATACAGTGTTGTTAATAAATTTTTTTAATGGTTTAGAAAAGCTTTGGCCCATTTTGCTCTGTCAATGGCAGTTTTGATGTGTTTCGTCATCTGGAACCACTAAAACAAGGTGTGTCAGATGGGCTAAAACAAAATCTCATACATTAGGATGCAAAAACAGGTGACTTCACACAGTCATACTCCATATTTGCAGTCTTGTTACAGGCTTATGTCTACAAACACAGGAATTATTAACCTCTACTTTGCATGATTCACATCAAAAAAGAAAATTAATGTGCTTCATTTTATAATCGTATAAGCTGCTAGATCAAGTATATTCCATTTTGACTAGTTTTCAATGAGAATCAAATTCTCCACATAATTTTATACATCCAGGAATTAGGCTTTTCCACAAACAAGTTCCAGCTTTTTATATTTAAAGCATTTCTTTTTTTTTCCATGACCTACGTCCTTCTGATATCATAAATCAAGTTAATATTACAATGTGGCAAATGGCTCTGTAGCTTTGGTTAAGACCCCAGATGAGCTGGTGGAGTGGATAGTAAGAATACTCCTGATAGCCATTCATACCTTGGAAGGGCTGGGAAAAAAAAGTAATTATACATCAAAGGAACTGGGAAACACATAAGTAACTCACTGAACCCAAACCAAGTTTATAACCAGCTGAACTTTCTCTTCAGCCAAATCCCCAAAGTGCCAATCCATCACTGCCTGGCATAAAGGGAGGTGTGATTGGGGGAGATCAGAGTCGAAACAGTCCCAGCAGTTATAACTGATATGGTGACAGTGGTTTAATTTGGCAAAGTTTACAAAAGCGTATGACCATGGGAACACATTAATTGAGCTCCTCCCCGTGGAAGTCGTACATACAAGTGTGGGGGAAGTGTAAAGCTCCATTAGCTTCATGGTGAACCTGTCTCCAATGCTGTGGTTAAAACCACAAGCTTTGAGGTTAGACACTCAAGGTTTCAGTCCCTTCCTACTTGTATGATATTCAGTAATTCAGGAAGCCTATCTAAGCCTCAGTGTCCTCACTTATAAAATGGATATGATAAAACTTGGCCAGGTGCGGTGGCTCAGGCCTGTAATCCCAGCACTTTGGGAGGCCAAGGCAGGTGGATCACCTGAGGTCAAGAGTTTGAGACCAGCCTGGCCAACATAGCAAAACCCCGTCTCTCCCAAAAATACAAAAAAACTGGCTGGGCGTGGTGGTGGGTACCTGTAATCCCAGCTACTCGGGAGGCTGAGGCAGGAGAATCACTTGAACCTGAGAGACAGAGGCTGCAGTTAGCCAAGATTGTGCCACTGCACTCCAGCCTGGGAGACAGAGCAAGACTCCATCTCAAAAATAAAATAAAATAAAATAAAATTGATACGATAAACCTTGCCTTATATGATTGTTGTAGAGTTTAAATGAAAATTTATGTATGCAAACTTCATATTCTAAGGACTCAATAGTAGATAACTATGTTTATTAAGGTAGTAAGTGCTCAGAATTTGTCACCCTTTATAAGATAACCAAATACTCTGCACTATTACTTAAAGTAAACCTTTGGTTTCTAACACCTACAATTCTACACCAGTTTATTTATCTTAATCTCCTATCCAAAAACACACTTAGCCTTCTCTCATTTTCTAATTCAAAGCCTTTATGTCATTCAAGACTCAGCTGAGACCTCATCTGTTTTTCTAGTATTTCGTATTTTTCAGCACTTGTTTCTGGGTCCATTCTCTGAAGGTCTATAGCAACACTATCCAAAAGAAATAGAATGTGAGCCGCATCTGTAATTTTTAATTTTATGTAGCCAGGTTAAAAAATTAAAGCCAAGTCAAATCGATCTCATTAATAGTTTTATCTAACCCAATATATCCAAAATATTATTTCAACATGTAATCAACATTTTTAAATTACTAATGAGATATTTTACGTTCCCATTCCATACTAAGTATCTGAACACTGTGTGTATACTTTACACTTACAACACTTTAAATTCACAATAATCACATTTCAAGGACTCAATAGCAATGTGTCTAGTGGGAGCCATACTGTACAGCACATGTCTATAGCATGAATAGTTTATATCATACTATTTAATCAGCATTCAGTAAAGGTTTGCTGATCCATAGTTTGGATGCATTTAGTCATCAAAAAAGGAAAATGCAACAGGCAATGTGATTTTCTTTCACTTATGCTACTTTTTGCCTTCAGTGAATGGTGCTTATCCCAGAATGAAAACTCTTGAGTATGTGGAATAATGCCAGTTGCAGACTAGTATTAATATGTCTGCTCTGGCATTCTTGTGAATAATACAAGAGTTAAGCAAGGAGACTTGTATGTGGTAATGCCTTGCGTATAGAATAAACCATCAGACTGAGGTGCTTCTAGATATGAATGGAGACCAATATAATCTCACCACCACGTCTAAAAGTGGGGCTCCAGTTTTAAATGTTCACTTACCAGTAATCAAAAATTAGTTTGACTGTTGATTCACAACTGTCTTATTAAAGTAGAGGTTGCTTTCAAAACACAACCAGGGAAGTCACACCCAAGGCATATCACATCTTGTGTGCTACAAAATACCCAGGTCTTTCTACAAACCTTTTAAACTCTGACATGACAAATAATTTATAATTTTTCTACCCTGAATATTTTTCAAAGTTTAGATACTAATCAACTCACATGGCATAAATATACAAGACTTTCAGACCATATAAACCCACATTGCATTAATATTCCAGATTCAAGTAGACACTGGATTTCCAAACATGGTTTTTGTTTCTTATAGGCATGTAAGAAAACATAGTTTACAATATGGAAAATTTTCAAGGTACACTGAAAATAGCAGAAATTTTTAAAATGTATGACTCATCCAGTGAATCACTGAATGTTCAAGGAAAATTTATCTTGGTGTTTTATAGTTATTAGCTTTTTTAAAAAAAAGTTAAAATATATTCTGATTATCAGGCTGACAACAAGCAATACTTTTCATATTATATTACGTTATTTGACTGAAAATGTGTTTCATCTTATTTCTTTTCCGGTATGTAATAAAGTACAACATTCACAAAGCTCACTAATGTCTGTTCTTGTATTGAAAAACTACTTCCCAAACATATTCCCCTCAAACATATCCCACAAAATACATTCACAAACACAGTAAAGGCAACTTCAATTACTTCTCAATGTTGGAGCATTTTATTTTTTAATTTTTAGCTTTCTTATCAAAATCTTAACAAAAGACTTGAGCAAATTCTATTTTCTCCATCAAACCTTCTTGAGCAGAGACTCCGCTTCTTTCTCTGAATTCCTGTGTGAATACAAACTTGGCATCCGTTGTAATCTTCCCTTTGTTATGCTTACTTTTCTATGTACCTAAATCCTAGCTCTACAATACAGTTCTAAGTTTCTTGAAGCCATAGGCCCTGTCTTATTCGTCTCCTGTGGCTCTCAGCAGAGACTTGGATAGAATAAACATTAAATAAATGTGCTAGAAATCATGACGATTTTGATCATAGTTTACAGGAATATCGTTCAGCAGACCAATGACATGATATAGCAATGTCAGCCATTATAAATGCACAGGAATATTTTCATATTTCTATCTTTTCCAATTCGACTTTTTGGCCATCTTTTTTAATAAAAGTTCTTAGTGTCTCATTGGCATTTTCATTCCAAAAACTCAAGTTGAATTTAAATTAAAATAAAACCCTAAAACGTCTAATTATGTTCTAGCATCAAACAAAGCTTTTTCTCCCTTACAGTTATATTTTAAATGTTTTCTTAGTGTCTAACCATAGTTAAGATTCCAGTTTACAAATATACATCTACTGTGGGTTTTTTTTTTTTTTTTTTTTACAAATTTAATAATATCCTAAAGCCTAATTTTGTGTATTGGATTCATTTAAAATGTGGTTGCTACTCAACAATTTTGGAGGAAAGTATATTACATCAGATGTAACATTTAAACTAAATCCAGAAGTTAAAACTCTCTATAAATAAGAGAAACAGAAAGACTCCCAAATAAGAAGCATGAAAGCCCAAGGAGGAAGTTAATGTGCAGCACAAAGTCTTTTGGCCTCATGAGCACTGCGCCCAATGGATTCAGCTGCAAGAAAATGAAGCATCTGGCACGCAGAGGGGAGTAGTGCAAGTGTGTGGGCTTACTGATGCCAGACTACAGAAGTGGCTCAAGAGTAAGAGGCCATTGATGAGAAGAAGGTTTGGATTAGCTGTGGCCTTGAAGTTACCCCTGGAAACTGAGTAGCACTCAGTTGTGAGAGGTGCATTAACCTCTTCAGACCACTAGGGTTCAAAGTGTTCCATAAGAGGTAATTTATTAAATGGGTCCTAATTGCTTAGTAATGTACCTTCCAAAAGTCACTTCTCTGTGCTATGATTAGGCCTGGGACTTGCCAAGTGCTGTCATTCTCTTTGTAACTCCATAATGGAACTCTAGGATGTGGGAAGCTGATCCATTGGACAGCTGTATATCTAATCCAGGTTCAGAATCCTACCAGTGAAGCCAGACAACCTTTCATTTAACCCTCCAGTGTGTAAACACTGAAATACAAAATTGATACACCTTGTTTTGAGTGCCTTTTACTAAGTACATATATGTTTTAATAGAATGTGGGTAACTGGTATTCTTCCTTTGAAAAATAGCACATTTTTAAGATTTGTGAAGTATCCCTTTCATTAAATTCTTTCTTAAAACTATAAAAATAAGCATGCTATTCTGTTTTCACTACCCACAACAAATTTTCTCTTGGCCTTTTTTGTTTCATACGGAGGCCAATCAACGTGATTTTCTGATTGGCTCCCAACACAAAACAGAGTGCATTCTATGGGTCATCCACTTGGTATCACTGATTCCCATCAGGACTACTTAGGCACTGGTTTTGTTAATTAACAAGGCCAGCAGAGGGAGTGAGAGAGCATTGCTACAAAAATGAAATCAAAATTTAAAATAATAATAATAACAGTCATATGTAGAAAATCTGACATTAAACTACGGAGGATTATATAGCGTAATCTAAATATGGAAGCAACCTTTATCATATAGGTAACAGACTAGAATCAAAGAAACAGGACTTCTAGTCATTATTATAGTTTTATGATGTTCATGAACCAGCCAAATGTAGCTGTGCCTCACTCATTAAAGTCTTGAAAATGGCCACCACAGTACCCTCCATTAAGATAGGAAAGGCTTTTGCCCTTCATGTAAGAGAAAGTGATTACGTAAAGAATGGGAATTATTGTCATAAGTATAAAGCTGTTATCATTTCTGTCTTTCAGGGCTTTAGGTCATTTCTTAGTTTTGACCACAAGTGAAAAACACCTGGTTAGTATTCCCCCATTCCCTAAGAACATCAGTTTGATTAGATCATGAAGTTAGACACATCTTATTAACATGAACAAATAATCATTAGGTTACAAGATAGCATAGGGGAATGTCTTTCTACCTGAAAGATATTATGTATTCTAATCTCATATTTGTTTTACAACTCCTATTTCCAGGCCATGTAAAGAAGTTACATATTTTCCAGAAAGGTTTTCAGACAAAGTGTTACAGTGGAGTCCTGTTCAAATCCACCACTCAATGGCTTACAGTTATTTAGAATTTCAGTTTCATTCTTAAGGGAATGTGCTGTAGTTGTGTTTTCCAGATATCTTCAATAGTGTTTCTTACGAGATAATTTGTGTGGGCCCCATAACCAGTTTCCCACAGGGCAGCTTTAAGAAAATGACCATCAAAACCAACCAGCCTTTACACCATACTGAACTAAGTAAAATCTTTCTTTGTTTTACAAGTTTCAGATAATCTTGAAGATAGTGCAACTTGTCTGGACGTTTGGCAGAAAAAATAGTTTGGAAAGTAAATATTCAGTTCTGCTTTCTCCAGTAGATGTCACTTTCTGTACATAGGATATCAAGATATATAAGATGCACAGTATCCCTTACAATGATGGCAAAAAAATAACTTTGGGTTCCAGCCATATGTAACAGTTTTTAAGCTATCAATGGTATTTTCTAGTGTTTGGAATCACAAGGAATAATAAGGCAAAATTAATGCTATTAATTAACCATCTTACACATTTCTGTGTAGCTTTGGCAATGGCCATTAAGTATAACATACAATACAATATTGCTAATGCCTTTTCAATAGTTAAAGAAAACTAAGTATTACTCTAAATTGAAGCAGAAAATGTATTTTCCAAAAAACAAACATGATTTCTGAGTAAATAAGTAGTTATTAATAATATACTACATACTTACCAAGAACCTAGTATATGAGTTTAGTTAACCTATTATTATTTCATGCGTTATTCTTCCTGGGTCCTCGCTATCATTTTGATATTCACATCATCTTCATGTGTCTGAAGAAAAAATAGGGTTCTCTGAAGTGTCTCACTATATGCAAGGGAACATAGAACAAGAAAGAGAGAGAAAAGACAGAAACAGAAAGAAAGAAAGAGAGAGAGAGAGAGAGAGAAAGAAAGAAAGAAAGAAAGAGAGAGAGAGAGAGAGAGAAAGAAAGAAAGAAAGAAAAGAAAGAAAGAAAGGAAGGAAGAAAGAAAAGAAAGAAAGAAAGAAGAAAGAGAAAGAAAGGAGAAAAGAGAGAGAAAGAAAGAAAAAAAGCATTATAAATCTTACATTGTATTGTTTATAGCATCCACATGTCCAAGAATAAAAATCAAATGATGGAAGAATATTAATAGTGAGAATTAGATTAATTCTTCTTAAAATACTTTTCAGAATGCTCTTTGCATTTCTAAACATAAGCCTCATTATGCTGTTCTATTTGTATTCCAATGTAGTTAAATTTTATATTTGAGTTGTTTTAATAGATGACTTTGAAATGACAGAGGAGAGCACATTTTTGTTTCTTATTGATCCAATCAAGATTTTGCTTGTAGCTACTATAACTTGAAATAATACATAAGGTTACGGAGGCTTTTTAAAATGTTGATGTCTAGGTCACATTTGATTCAGTGGTTGTATTGACAAATGTGATTTGATAATTGCCAAATTAAGCTCAAGAGAAAATTAGTTAAACAACTACTTTTATTTTCAGATGCTTCAAACAAAAGATATGAAGTTTGGTAGCAAATAATGATAGGGTGCTAGAACAAAAATTCCCGAAGAAGGCAAAATGGGCATGTGGCTTTTACAAAACAAAAGAATCTATCTGGTCATCAAAATAAACAACATCTAAATGATCTCTCTAGGTTTTAAATATTTTGCAAAAAGAGTAAACCCAAAGAGCTCGATTCTTATCTGAGTAGAGATTTCTCGACATGTTAACTGGGAAGTTCTGCTACCGTTCTTGTGTATACTTTGTTAAAAACAAAGAGATTATAAGGGTTTGGGTAATAAAGGGATTTAAAGGCTTCACCTTTAGGCTACCGATTCCACTCCATTTCAGTTTTAAGAGAACTAAGGTCATGAATGTACCCAGGGCATGTAGTTTACTTTTAATTCAGCATGAGTTAGGATCCCACTTTATAACAAACCCTAGGATGTTTTTTTCAACTATTCAGAGCAAATAGGGTTGACAAAAGAAAAACAAAGATTGAACAGGAAGGATAGAAACAAACACAGAGTAATGCTCAGTAAGCTGAATTCCTGAGGAAATACACACCACTGGTGCTTCTTCTGAACATTTTCAAGGACAGAGTCGGCTCTTTACCATTCTGGGTCTTATTACTAGTCTTGATCAATAAATAAACAGTAATCGATAATTCTGAAAGAAAATGATGCCATAATAATTTCGAAATTAGGGACAAGTGGTTAACATCATGTGGCTGAATTACAGTGCTCTGATTTGAACTCTGGAAAGAGCCATGCAAACATACCCCACAATGCTAGTTGTCAGCAGTCTTTCCCTGTGTAAAACAGAAGACAGAGTCCTTGTATGTGTAAACAGCCCCACTCAGGCAAGGAGTCACTGAAGGAGCTGCAATTCCTTAGCACTGGATTTAGGTCTTTCTTCTGTTTTTATACTTCAGTTTTCTCATAGTATTTAATACCTTATTTATTTAATAGATTGGAACAGAAAACTCAGGACACTTTGAAAAACAGCCAATTGCTTAGTTCCATAGCCCTAATAGCCCTAAAGGATGTCAGCAGTGTCATTATTTTTTTAAATAATTATGTCATTACCATTACTTGTACCATGTCTTACAATTATCTGCTTTAAATAATGTTATCAGATATTAAACAGACACAAAATAACATTTGTAGCTTACATGCAAAAACACGAGTAAGTAAATAAATAAGGTGGACATCTGTGTATCTCGTATCCAACTTAAGAAATGAAACGCTAACCAGTATCTTTGGAACCTTGAACCCCTCTTCAGTCCATCCCTCTTCCCTCTTTTCCTGCATAGATAAGATTATTCTGAATTTTGTGTTAATCAGCCCCTTTCTTTTTTCTCCTTTCTTAAATGAAAAAAAATGCTTCATAGGAATTTTGAGTACTATCTGTTTGGAAGAATACAATAAAACATTTGAGAAAATTGAGGCATATAAGCAATATTGATCAATTAAAAATGTTTCTGTTTTAATGTCTATTCAATCAACATTGAATAAATATTCTCTGCATTCCAAAGTAGCCATTAGCCCCAGTCACCACCAATAAATGATGGGATCCAATTCTGTAGTTACTATCTCTATTATTAGCATTCAATTACAAAAATATCAGTATTTTATGAAGAATAAAAATATTCTTACCTACATATATCAATATAATTCTATTCGATGCTCTACACATAAATTGCCCTTTTAATAGATAATATTTTCAACTCATATAGGAAAAGATTTTGGATTCCAGAAAGGATTTCTAAGAAAATGTGTTATATCTCCTTTTCTGGCGTTTTTTTTTTTAACACTTTTTTTTTAACTTACAAGGTTTCTGTGACCCCTTACCCAAAGATAGGATCAGTGTCTAGATAGCAGATTATTCAGCTTCTTAGTATATTATTAAGGGAAAGATCCCTCAAATTACTAAGCCACTCCACCAGCCATGTCTCAAAGATCTGAAGATGAGTAAGTCCTACAGGAGGAGTAGAGCGTGTGTCCCGGGGTCCTTGGTGAGGAGGGACTGGAGAATAAGAGAAAGAATGAGACCAGGGGATGGATCCCTGAGGCATCCTGTCCCTTTCATCCTCCTCCTCCTTTTTCTGCATTCCAAAGTGGCCGGCAGCCCCAGTCACCACCAATAAATGATGAAATCCAATTCTGTATGTACTCAGCAGCAAATAACTGCAAGTATGTACCTGCTTTTTTTTCTTCTCCAGGACATCTCCCCGTGACAGATTCAATCTCTGTATCTTGTACCAACACTGTTGACCCTGGAGTCAACTTTTTAAAATTTAAGACGGGGGCATTCCTTCAGCACTTAGGAGTGTCTAAGTCAAAATTTAGCAACAAAGTATAATAGCTTTTGATTATTTTAAATAAAATATTATATGACAACTCATCTTTGTACTAAAGTTAGAGTGTTCTAAATTTACATATATTATCAATATGGGTGTTTTTGAATTCTGTTTAAAGTTACTAAGAAACATTCCAAGCCTGGACCCTAAAATAGGAAAATGAGATATTTAAGGCATTGGTTGTAAGAATTGTCAATAAGACCCCTTGATAGATTGATTACCTAATGGCAAGTGTGACAAATGTGACAACAGATTTAAGAATAACATTACCACTTCAGTAAACAATAAACATGACTATTACTAATGATTAATTTCTTTAATATTTTAAATAATGTTGGAGGCACCAAAGGTGTTGAAAATTAATATTAGCAGATTGAAAATTTGTGTAATAATTTGTCACAATACCACTTCCATATCTTCTATTCAGTGTATTTCAGAAATATTTTCAACTTCTTACTCTTTATCTTACTGTCACATTCATTCTCTCCTTTCTTTTTCATAGCTATATTCCAAATTAAGTCCTCAGGTTATCTTTTGCTTACCTGGTCTCCCCATCTTCAAAGTTTGCCCTTCAATTAATTTTGCCTGATACTACCAGACTAAGCTTTGTAAATCCAAGTTTTTCTTCTTTTGCTTCTCCTTTGATGAGTTCCAATTTTTCAGGGAAATAATTCTAAACTTTTTAGTATGGTATTTAAGTAATTAATACCATAATTAAATCCTACCTAATTTTCCAGGCTTCTTCCCAACTACTGCAAAATCTATACTATTTCTGTATCTACTATGTAATCATTCTCACATACCATAAAATCCCCATCATCTTCATGCTGTACCTTGCACTTGCCCTTGCCCCTTGTATATTTTTGCCTGCTGAAATCCCACTGCTCCAAACCAAAGGGATTTTATGTGCAAACTGATTTTATGTGCAATCATTGAATTAATCCCAAGCCCTTAGAGCTTCCAAAGCACTTTGGTTTACACTTATAATACAGCACTAATCATGTACTGCCTCATATTTTAATTATGAAAGGTATAGGTTTTATTAACTCCCATGCTCCCTGGATGAGTTTGTACATGACACCCCCTTAACATGTAGAGTAGCACACAATCATCATGGTATTTGTTGGTTGAATTGAATGGTTGAGTATATATGGCAAGAAAAGAATACCACTATCATATTTTATCAAGGTCTTGGAAAAATATACTGAATGTTATTGTTTGTATAAATAATTTATTATAAATTAAATTATCTTTATAGGCATGATGGTGCATGACTGTAGTCCCAGCTACTTGGGAGGTTGAAGTAGGAGAATCACTTGAGTCCAGACGGTCAAGGCTGCAGTGAGCAGTGATTGTGCCACTGCATTCCAGGCTGGGAGACAAAGGAAGATCCTGTTTCAAAACCAAAAAATAAACAAACAAACAAACAAAAACCACAAAAAAAAATTCAAATAAGATTAAAACCCAGCTCCTGCCTTCTAAAAGCTCAAAACCTAACAAGGGAGATGGGCACCCAAACACTATTAACTATAATATAATGGCATAGCATTCTTTAAAAGGTTAACACAAAATACCCTGAAATCACAAAGGAGGGAGAAACTAATTTTGAAGAAAGGAGGTAGTAAGAGGGTGTGAATCATGCTAGGATCTCTGAAGTAGACCTTGAAATAGAAGTAGCTCTTGACCAAATGATGAAAAAGCCACGCCTGCTATAAGCCACATAGGCGATGCATCGCTCAACATCATTCAAGGGCACTGTTCAGTTAAACTCCAACACGGTGGTGCCCCCTGGGACTGTGTAGCATTGTGGCCCAGGGAAAGAGCAGACCTGGCTGAGAGGTGTGCACACCATGTTCAGCAGTTGTCTTGACATCACATATAAGCTCAGTTAAAATTGTACTAAGATCTCACCTTCCAGTTTGTGTTTTCTAGCCCTCCTTTCTATACGGTTTAGGAATTCTTTTTACAACCTCTATTTAAAAGTAGAAGCCAAGAATATGACAATTCTGTTCACTCCAATGTTCTCTAGCATAGTTACAAAACAAAATAGGTTACAGATTAGAATTATCAAATCAAGATACAGCTTCACAATTTTTTTCATTTAATGTTTTTCAAACTTTTTAAGTCATTTTCCTTTCCTCAAATTAAATTTTGCTAAGATCCATATGCAAACCAGAAAAAAAAAGTGAACGGTCAAGACTTCTGCTGGTTCCTTGCAATCCTAAGGATTCAGAGGCACAGTTTGGAAATTGCCAGTTCTAGACCAACTTTCTCTTTTATAATTGAGGAAACAGCGATCCAAAGAATTTGAAGTACCTTATGCAAGTTCATAGTAGCAGTTAGTGGCAGAATAGAAAATAGAAGCCCCTTAACTGTCACTCCACTGTTCTTTCAAGATAAAATTAATTCTATTTACATAGCAAAATGAGCATGAGGTCCAAGGGTCTCTCAAGGTGACATTTAGGATCGAGAGAGACTGTTTCTTTTTCGTAAGACTTCATTGGAATTCAGTATTTCATTGTTAAGTAATTCAGAATCAACGGTAAGTCTTTTATCTTATTCTATCTTTCTTTCATTTAGATATTGAATTACCAAAAATGACAGCTCCTAGATTCTTTAACTTCTTGATCCAACACAAGGGGGATGGTTAAAGAAATTTATCTCAGTGATGGCCTTGACTAGTCAGGACTTTCTTGCTCTAGAAATCAAAATTCAATGTAAAAATCTCCCTCAGTTAAAAAAGGCAGAAGAAAACCTGAAATGACTTGTCTCTTATCTCTGTAGATTGTTAAGGATGGAGAATAATAATGTTTAGATTCCTTGGTGAGTTCAACATGTTATGTTTTAATTTACAGATTAAGTGATTTTTAAAAACTGTATATTCTGCTGGGTGCGGTGGCTCACGCCTGTAATCCCAGCACTTTGGAAGGCCGAGGCAGGCGGATCACCTGAGGTCAGGAGTTCGAGACCAGCCTGGCCAACATGGTAAAACCCTGTCTCTACTAAAAATATAAAAATTAGCTGGGCATGGTGGTGCATGCCTGTAATCCTAGCCACTTGGAAGGCTGAGGCAGGAGAATCGCTTGAACCCTGGGAGGCGGAGCTTGCAGTGAGCCGAGATCACGCCAGTGCACTCCAGCCTGGGACAGAGGGAGACTCCGTCTCAAAAAAAGAAAAAAAAAAACCAACCATATATTAACACACACATACATAGAAAGACTTAATCAAAATCATCAAGTATATAGCTGTTGTAAATTATCCTCCTCGTCAAGAAAGTTTAGTAACTATGACTTAATGGAAATAAATTTAGTTAGAGAAAAAAAAACAATAGTGTTTGCCAGTATAGACCCCTACAACTGGTAATCATTAAATCAAATATTGTGGCTAATCAATTAATAAAAGAAGTTTGGATAACTTAAATAGTCTGATACTATATCATGACAAAGCATTTATTGAAAGGAATAATAGAAATACTTCCTAAGATCAAATGAGTTAATAACTTTTGACAGTCAAGAAATGTTTAGCTATAGGACAAATATAACAATATATGGCTTACAAATATAATGCTAAATGTGCCCTGAATCAATACTGAAAAATTATAATTGCAGACATCACATAAAGACCTTTAAAAAATATCAAGGCCGGCCAGGCGCGGTGGCTCACACCTGTAATCCCAGCACTTTGGGAGGCCTAGGCGGGCAGATCACGAGGTCAGGAGATCGAGACCATCCTGGCTAACACGGTGAAACACTGTCTCTACTAAAAATAAAAAAAATTAGCCGGGCATGGTGGCGGGTGCCTGTAGTCCCAGCTACTCGGGAGGCTGAGGCAGGAGAATGGCATGAACCCGGGAGGCGGAGCTTGCAGTGAGCCGAGATCACACCACTGCACTCCAGCCTGGGTGACACAGCGAGACTCCATCTCAAAAAAAAAAAAAAAAAAAAAATTCAAGGCCATAGCTTTTGGAAATCATGGATATTCTTGATTATTAACCATACAAAAGTCATCTTAGCTTCTTTCCTAGTGGAGTAGGAAATTGGCAACAGTACAGAGGCCTCTCTTTCTGGTTATGCCTCATCTGCATTTCACTTCCCAAATCTAAATGTCTGTTGTGAAACATGGTCTAGCCAGAAGATATAGATTAATTTTCTAAACAGACCACAATTCCCCAGCCTCTTCCAAAAATTAGTGCTACTGTATGCCATGATTTTCATGTGATGTCTCTAGCTTCAGTCATCAAAAAAAGCAGACAGAAAGCAATAAAGAGGCTTGCAGAGTAGTATCATGAAGAAATACATCATAACTTAAAGATAGTAACCCAAATATAAACTTATGAGAAAAAATCAGTTGGAAATGATTCTGCTTTAAGGTAAGTCCTAAACAAGTTTTTGATCTGTAAGTCCTATCATTTCAAACAACTCTTCTTACGCACACTGCATGCGTATGCAACGCGTGCATGCACACACACACACACACATACACACACACCAAAAAGCCACTGGTACAAAAAAGATCTGCATCAAATTAATAGTTACTTGCTGAACAAAAATAAAAATGTTTTTATTTAAATTACAAGGTTACCTATAAGGTATTAGGTTGGTGCAAAGTTGCAGTTTTTGCCTTTAAAAGTAATGGCTACACATCTCTAATCATTCCAAAGTATTTTTACAAATTGTTCTTATACTTTGAATTCATCTGCTCCCTGCCAAATAGGAAAACAACCACTAGACAGTATGCTCTACAATTGAAGTTATTTTACTGTGAAGAGATTTAAAGTTGACCAGCCTCTAAAGTCATGTGTGCTAGATGCTAATCTTTATTTTGGAAAGCAACTCTACAGAAGTCACTGCATGTTGAATTGTTTAGCAGAGCAAGCAAGCGCTCTTCAGGCATAGGCCTGACACTCTGTCTCTGAAAAGAAAACTCTGTCTTGGTGAGGGAATATGATGTCCAACCACTCTCTACCTGGCTGGGCTCCAAGTACATGACGAATTGCAAAAATACAATATACAAAAGGAATATTTATGTGTCTTCCTCCATCAGATACACAGTATTTTTTCTCCCATGTCACAAAACTTGTAACCGCAATTTACAAGTATATGCACAAACTGCTATTGATTTAACGATGCATTTCTTTGATGTCCCTTGCCTTAACCTCATTTATAAAGCTGTTTTGCATTATTTCAAACTGTCAATGATTTGTGACTCATGAATATTCAAATCTAATTTGCACTTACCTTTTTGGTATGCATGCTTACTTGCAATATGTCTCTACATTTGCCCTTTTGTTTTGTATTTATTTGTGGATTATTTTATTGAAATAATACTCTTTTAAAAGCATATTAAGTCTATTTTAAAACAACAGGAGTGGTTGATGATTGACTTTTCTTGGTCTCAGTGCACTCTGTATTTTGCCGCTTAGCAAGTTCAGTCATTCTGTAAACATGTCTCTAGTATTAAAAATAATCATCCTTTTGCTAATAGATGTCAGTTTCAGTGGGACGGATTTAGTTTGCTCAGCTATATGTCTCTAGGAAAGAGTCAACAAGTTTTAAATGAACTTGAGCCTTACACAAAAAAAGAAAAAAAGGAAAGGATTATTTCTGGTGGAAAAACAAAAAGTTCATGCAGAATTGAGCCCTTCATGTCAGTGTGGATCAACTTTTCCACTTACATTGTGGAATGCCAGAAATGAAACCTAATTCTCTCAAGCACTAAAAAACCCTTTTAGATGTCTTTCAGATGATGATAGCTAAAGGAGACACCCAGGACTTTGTGGATTGCAGGCATGTCACTAGTGATTGAAGCTCCAAAACAGCAGAGCAGGGAGCCATCTGCCTATAGAATGGATTTCTTGCAAAACCTGTTCAGAAACAAATGAAAAGTGTTGTTATAAAAAAAAAAATGGAGCAAAGCACACCACTTTTGTAATTGATTTCTGGACTCAACTGTGATTTCCAAGAAAATCCAAACAATTAACTGCCCTACCTTGCCAAAAAATTTTTTCAAATATTTATGTTTCATGCCAGCAGCTAAAATAGAAAAATACTTCATGGCATTTACAATACGATAGTTGCAGATTTCCTTACTTTTCTTCATGCTCAATTTTTAAACTTTGTTTTAAGCTGTAGAGAAATCACTGGTCACCTATTGCCTTCCATTGCATGATAAAGTTGTCCCAAAATTTACTAAATTATTCTACACAAAAAAATAAACACAGGTCCCAGTTCATCCCATCTAGCCAACAACATGTTTCTTTTTTACAAATTTCTCATAATAGCTCAATTGTAGATAATCCGTCAGGTGATATGATCTCCTTCCAAATGCTACTAAATTGCTATCTAACCTTTTTGTAGTTATTTTTTATTTAGAAAGCAAATATTTTTATTTTAAACAAAAACGTTTTGCTGTCATATTTTATTATTGATGTGTTTAAACAAACATACTCTGTCTAAAAGAGTTCATGTTTTCCCAAATTTATCATTTTCTTCATGACTGTTGATATCATTATTATTTCCTCAATTTTGAAAACCAAACATCACAGATTCACTGGGCCCCATAGTATGCTACCCAAAGCTATCTATCAGGTAAACCCCTTTACAGGATGCTATTTTTATGCACGTAACTAACCAATTTGTTACATGCTGATTTTTGACCCATGAATCAGAGGACTCCTCCCTGGGAGATAGAAAACTCTTAGGAACAAGGGTTTTAGCATTATGTTCCTTAATCCTACTACTAACTTGCTTTGTAAACCATAGTAAATTTCCTGAATCCCTAAGAACCTTAATTTCCTCATCTAGGAAACAGGGATGTCCCACTAATAATGATTGTGCCTACTTCATATTGTTATGAGAATTAAATGAGATTATTCAAATGCAATGCTCAGCATACTAGCTGGCAGTTAGACAATACTCAATATGGAGCTGCTATTTCCATAGCCCAATTTTTGCCAGAGTTGTACCTAGTTTCTCATCAATTATACTTTAAAGTAAGCAAACTTTGTCTTCTCAAAATCTATTCCGTATTTCCTCCACTGTATATCAGCATAACAGTTAAAGCATTTGTTCCCAACTCTAGGGCTAGGTCTAATCAATGATTGGCTCAGGATCCATGGTTAAGCCTTCCAAAAAGTCATTCAAATGAGGTATGAGGGAAAGTTTGCTGGGGTCTTCTCAATTTTTTTTTCACACATCTTCCCACAACAGCATCCAGAGAAAGAGAAACAGGCACTCTTCCTCTCAGTGTGGTTGTGGGAAGATAAGAGGCTCAGAGCTGCTGCAGCCATCTGGCTGCCAGCCTGAGGATAAAGCTGATACACATAAGATGGCAGAGCCAAGAAAATTGAAGGGAATGAGAGATGGAGCTTGCCCCACCTCTTGCCAATGGCATAACTTTATTCCCTTATTGCTTAAGCCACTTAGAATTGGGTTTTCTGTTACTTGCAGCCAAAAACATTCTAACTGATTCAGGGAGGCAGGCTAAAGAGCAGTCCAGTGCCGGAGTTTACAGGAGCATATAAACATGTTGTAACTCCTCCTGCCTTTTCTAAGTCAGTAGCCCAGCCACATCTCCACAATGTGTCTGTCTTTCTGAAAATAGAAAAAAGATTCAGAGCACATCTTCCAAGATTACTCCAGTCTCCTAAATAACCAGCAGCTCTTTTTGCCTTTTTTTTTTTTTTTTTTTTTGAGATGGAGTTTCGCTCTTGTTGCCCAGGCTGGAGTGCAATGGCACGATCCCAGCTCACCACAACGTCTGCCTCCCGGGTTCAAGCAATTCTCCTGCCTCAGTCTCCCAAGTAGCTGAGATTACAGGCAGGCACTGCCACGCCAGGCTAATTTTTTGTATTTTTAGTAGAGATGGGGTTTCTCCATGTTGGTCAGGCTGGTCTCAAACTCCTGACCTCAGGTGATCCACCCACCTCGGCCTCCTAAACTGCTGGGATTACAGGTGTGAGCCACCGCGCCCGGCCATCTCTTTTTGCTTTTGTAGAAATAGAATTCAAAGCAAGGGCACCCCTGTCTTGCTTTTGTAACCTCATTTCAGATCCGCAGTTTACAGAATTTTAGCGCTCAAAATGTACTCTGAATTTTACATTCTTCACGTCCTGGAAAATCACAACCTAAAGTAGAATGGCAACACATGCATCTAATCCAATGGCATGAATCTAAGTAAAACTTATTTTATGATTTGGTTTACGATTCTTTTGTTCCTATTTCTAGCTGACCAGTTTAATTTGATATACATAACCTAAAAATAAGCTGGTGTCTTTACGCTTCTTTTTTTTATCTATATAAGGACAGATCTAGTTTGCTTTATCTCTTAGGAACCTGAATAATAGGTTATATGATCAAAAGAAGCAATTCTCAGCTAAAAATCTAACAATGCACTTTTCATGGTCCCAGATCAGTTTGGTCTTTCTCTACCCCCTTCCCACCCCATCTGCCTCCAGCTATCCATGATTTAAATCTTATCAGGAGCTCTCATGATTATAGTTCTAGTGTTCCTTTGAATAAGCAGTGAGAAAAGAAGCCAGGTAATTGTGTATTGCTCTAAAATATATGGAACCACAGATCTGGAGACATCTTTAGATATTATCTAAAGAACCAGCCACAGATAATGCCAGAGACATGCCTAGGGTCACGCTGCTTGGAAGCAAGTCATCTGATTCCCTAGCCAGCATCACTGCTACTACACCACCATGCCTCTCAGGAAAAGTGGCTCTTAAAAGATGTATGGGTAAATAAATTACTAAATTTAACCTGTGGGGTGACCCTTTGTTGCTTAACTTATTTTCATGAGAATCTAACTTTATCATATCTCAGCTTTATGGTTATTTTTTAAAACTATGTATTTTAAGATATAGAAGGTCAAGTCACTACCTATTTTGCTGAAGATTTCTTTACAGCATGTTAAAATATGTCCTTTTCGGTGTTGCTGAAAACTGGAATAAAAGTAGCAAAAATATGTGGTTTTCTTATTGGTCCTCCTAAACTGAGACTTGATCAACTGGTGTTGAGGGCCATTGTGACTGTGGTCTTGCACTTGTTACATGGAGGACATTCATAGCCCACTGAAGGAGGAGCTCCTCTATCCATCCTGCAGTCCAGCAAATATCAATACTTGAAACCAACAATGGAGACACCGTGGCTAACTATAAATCTATGGATTTTTTACAGAAGATTTTCAAAAATCTAGAACTACCAAATGCTACTACCAGTACCAAAAAGCCCATATATTTCAAATGCCATAAAACACATACTTTTCATGAATCCATACTCTGTTAAAACACATACTTTTCATGAATCCATACTCTGTCAATCTTACTCATATATGTGAATTTCATAAATCATAGTCTCTCACACACAATAGTCTCTCACACACACAGAAACACAGAGTAAAAAACAATAATAACTGGTATTTAGAAATCAACTGATTCAAAATAAAAATTCTGACTTCCCCACAGTGGATGGGTATCTCTAACTTAAAAGTTTTTGTTTAATTCACAGTTGAAATAGGATCCTTAAAGAGATTTCATTAGACTTCATTTTCAGAAATATTTCAAAATTAGCTGCAAACCAATCATAAGTGAAAAAAACATCTAGAGTCCCTGGGATTATTGACCAACAGGAAAGGGACAAATGAGATTGTATCCAAGTATCCTTTCCATGACATCTTCGCTCTTCTTCTAGTATTCGTTAGGGCCACCTAAGGATTCAACTTAGGAAGTGTGGGGGGAAAAAAAAAGCACAGCAGAATCTAATTTAAATTTATTGCCTACCAGTATGCAATAAGTTTAAAAACTTCAATGACACTGTCTGGGTGTGGTGGCTCACGCCTGTAATCCCAGCACTTTGGGAAGCCGAGGTGGGTGGATCACTTGAGCTCAGGAGTCTGAGACCAAAACTAATAAAATAATTTCTAGTGATTATTTTATTAGTTTTATTCAATTAAATAAATTGAATCTGTAGTTAAGAATCGTTTTTTGTAAAAGAAGGCCAATATTATTTTAAAAAAGTTAACTTTACATAATTTTTAAGAAACATAATTTCAATCACATATTAAGTTATCTAGAGAATAGAAATGGGAGGAAACTCTCCCTAACTCCAATCAAATGTTACCAATATTAGGCAAAGAAGATTTGTGTGTGTGTGTGTGTGTGTGTGTGTTTGAGACAGGGTCTCGCTCTGTCACCCAGGCTGGAGTGCAGTGGCACGATCTCCGCTCACCTCAAGCTCCGCCTCCCGGGTTCACGCCATTCTCCTGCCTCAGCCTCCCGAGTAGCTGGGACTACAGGCGCCCGCCACCATGCCCAACTAATTTTTTGTATTTTTAGTAGAGACAGGGTTTCACCGTTTTAGCCAGGATGGTCTCGATCTCTTGACCTCATGATCCGCCCGCCTCGGCCTCCCAAAGTGCTGGGATTACAGGCGTGAGCCGCCGCGACCGGCCAGGCAAAGAAGATTTTTTAAAATTTAAAGAAAAAAGAAAAATGATTGTTCGTTATCTCACATCAATAGAAATTTAAAAATCTTAAGCAAATATTATTAACCTAAACCTGGCTGTGTAGTATTATACACTTCAATATAACCAAAACCATAAGAATAGTTTAATATTAGAAAGTTTATAAATAAAATAACAGTAACAGAGTAAAGGAGAAAAAATATTTATTACATATAGAAAAATCATTTAACAAAACTTAACACTAAATTTTTTAAATTCTTGGTGAACTAGGCATGGAGGAAAACAGCTTCCTTCATCTGATAAAGTTTATTATCAATTAACTGCAGTAAATAACTTTCTTAATGGAGAAAGGCTATAAACAAGAATTTCAAATTAATAATAAGATAAGGATGTCCGCTATTTAGAAATGCTTTGGTTTGACATTGTCCTGGAGATCTGGTCCCAGATAGGGCAATAAGACCACACCCCTCTCTCAAAAAAAAAGAAAGAAAGAAAAAAGGGGGGTTGGGGAAGGAAGAAAGAAAGGAGAAACGAAAAGGAGGGTTGGGCACAGTGGCTCAAACCTGTAATCTCAGCACTTTGGGAGGCCAGGGCGGGTGGATCGCTTGAGCTCAGGAGTTCCAGACCAGCCTGGACAACATGGTGAAACCTCAGCTCTACCAAAAATAAACAAAATTAGTTGGGCATGGTGGCATGCACCTGTAGTCCCAGTTACTCAGGAGGATGAGGTGGGAGGATTACTTGAGCCCAAGAGGTCGAGACTCAAGTAAGCAGAAATTGTGCCACTGCACTCCAGTCTCAGTGACAGAGCAATAGCCTGTCTCAAAACAAAAACAAACAAACAAAAATAAACAAAAATAAACTAAAAAAAAAAAAGCAAAAAAGAAAGAAAGTAATAGGATTGGAAAGGAAGAAATAAAACTGTCATTTTCTGTAGACTATATTATTATCTAGTATCTACATTGAAGGCCCAAAGAATTTGTAGATAAATTGATATACGAGACAGGCAGGCTGAAGATACTTGGAAAGCAATGGAGTTGGTGGAGTTGGTACACTGGTTATCCATACAGTGAAAATGAAAGGGATTCTTACCTCACTTCTACACACAAAATTCAATTCCCTGTTGTTAAAGAATTAAGTATAAAAAGAAAAGACAATCAAATTTGTTAATAAATTTTATAGAACATTTTTTTAAGTTCAGAATGCAAAATATTTTTTATACAAGACACAAAAAGCATGTCATAAAAGAAAATATTGATAAATTAAATTACAGTAAAATTTAAAACTCCCGTGTATCAAAACACATGTCAAATAAAATTAAAAGCCACAAATTGGAATAAGATGTTTGCAATATGGAATTTATAAAATTAATAATTAAAAAACTCAATATAAAAATGGGAGAAATACATAATAAACAGGTATTTCACAAAAGAGGAAATATAAATAAAGAAAAAGCATATTAGATGTTCAGCCTTATTAGTGATTTAGAAAATGCACATTCAAAGCCACAGTGAGATACCTTTTTACACTCACCAGATTAGCTTGGCAAAAAGAAAAAGAAGTCAAACATTACCAAGTGTTAGGAGAAAGGGTTGTAGATCAACAAGATGTCTTCTGTACTACTAGCAAGAGTGTAAGTCAGTGCAATCGCTCTGGAAAATAATTCACATTATCTTGGAAAGTTGAGCATTTGAATACCAAAACATTGGAAAATGTACTCTTATATTGATACTCTAAATCTAGAAAAATCTTTGTACAGGAGCATCAAGAGATACATACCAGAATGCTTATTGCAGAACTCTTTTTAGTAACAACAAAAAATGACAACAACCCAGGAGGTAATGACAAATAAATTGTATTATAATTACAGGATGGAAAATCAAGCAGACATTTAAAAGAAAAAGAGTGAACTATCACTATACACACAAAAAAGAATCTTAAAAATGCAACATTGAAAGAAAAAAGGAACCCAGAAAAAGTAACTTGAGTGTGATACTATTTTTACAAAAAAAAAAGCAAGATGAAACAATATATTGTTTAGGAATATGTATACATACAATACAAATATAGATGTATACAGAAAGGTTAATATATTAATAATATATACAATATCATTTTATTGCACATAATTTATATTAAGTACATATAGTTCAGGAATGCACACATAGAAAAACTATTAACAAAAAATTCAGGATGGTAGTTACCCTAGGAGGAAAGCCAAAAAATGAAAAGGAAGGAACACATGAGTACAGGCAATGTTTCCCTGCTTAAATTTGGTGGCTAGTTTATAAATGTTTCTTTTATTATTAAACATTGTAACATTTAAGTAGTTATATGTATGCTTTTGAATATAACACATGTTTTACTAAAAATAAAAGTAAGAAAATAATAAGTGATCATTTTTTAATCAGAGTAATGTTACGACTAAAAGGATGGGAAATAACAGATGGAAATAAGAGAATATTAGAAAAAACTCAAATCAGAAATCCTTGGTTTCAGTAGAGCAAGAAGTGAAGTCATCTGAGAACAAGAGGAATGAGAGTAGTTAGGGGCTACTGAGTGTGTCATAGAGAAAGGAAGAAAGGAGGAAAGGAAAGGAAAAGTATGGATAGAGAGAGGGACAGTGGGAGAGCAGGGGAAAAGAGAATGAGTTATTGTCAAAGAAATGAGTCTCCACAGAAAATGGATTGTTTCAGGAGGACAACTGAATTTAGAGCATAGATGTGAACTGCACACTCTGAGGACTTCTTCCCTCAAAAATGGACTATTCAAGAGGAACCAAAAATGACTGGGGATTAATATGGAGATTGTCATGACTGTGTATATATAGAGAGAGGTTAATATATTAATAATATATACAATAACATTGTATCACATATAATTTATATTAAATATATATGGTTCAGGAATGCACACATAGCAAAACTATTAACCAAAAATTCAGAATTATGGTTACCCTAGGGGAAGAAAGCCAAAAAATGAAAAGGAAGGAATTTTTGTCATGACAGAAAGTTCAAAAGTGAGAGAGGCCTTGGGATGCACACTTAAATATGTTCATATCCTCTGGTCTATTTTCAGGGATCCATTCTAAGAAATCATCCTGAATTCTGAAAAACTTTCATACCCAAAGATGCTCATTACAGAATTACATATAAAAATGAAAACTATGTATAAATAAACTTAGTACCCAGTAACAGTGGAATGAAAAAGTAAACCATTTTACTTCATTGATGACATCTATTTAAATAGAGTCATAAGGAATTTGAATACTTGAGCAAATTGTATGCAAAGTGCAATTACAACTACATGTAAGAAATTATGCATTAAAAAAATACACAAAATACACTAAAATTTTGGCAGCAATTGCATTTGGATACTTTGCTCATTGGTCATTTCTTTCCTTTTATCTTTTCTGCATTGCTACATTGTCTTTTTTTTTTGAGATGGAGTCTCACTCTGTTGCCCAGTCTGTAGTGCAGTGGCGCGATCTCAGCTCACTGCAACCTCTGCCTCCCGGGTTCACGCCATTCTCCTGCCTTACCTTAGCCTCCTGAGAAGCTGGGACTACAGGCGCCCGCCACCACACCCAGCTAATTTTTGTATTTTTAGTAGAGACAGGGTTTCACCGTGTTAGCCAGGATGGTCTCGATCTCCTGACATTGTGATCTGCCTGCCTTGGCCTCCTAAAGTGCTGGGATTACAGGCGTGAGCCACTGTGCCCGGCCTGCTACATTGTCTTTAGTAAATATGTACTACTTTGAAAACAGGAAAGCAAATTAAAAGATACATGTATTAATTGTATTAGTTTACAGTTTAATACATTTATTAAAGTGGGTTGAAGATCAAGAAAATCAGGATATGACTAATGAATTGGCAGAAAATAATCAAGAAACCAGAAAACACAATAAGGGCCACAAGGAAGAAAGAATCCTTTGTATTTAACAGAGGGTAATATAGTGGGTTTAAAAAAACTGAATCTCTACATTTGAGCTGTTGAAAGTAATTTTCAGTTCCACATTGTAGCCATAGATGTGGGTGGCTAAAACGGACATATACGTGTGCATACACACACACACGTGCACACACACACACAATGTGAGTGGGAATGGATTTGGGGATATGAGGTGGACAAGAAAACAGTGGACCAAGTGGGGATGATCAGGGTAAGTGGACAAGAGCAACCTGAATGAGAATTAGCCAAGATAATGTAATTTTGTAGTTTGAACTTCAACAAAGATTCACAAATATTTAGCAGCATTACCATGGTAAATTATACTTAGGCATCAATTAACGTTGAGAGAGAAATAACCAATTTTGTAAAGACTGTGTAAAAACAAATAACCTGCTTAAATTGTGTTCTATTTATTAGTATGTTCAATTGTATATGAATGCATCCTAGGTCCTAAAACAAATGGCCCTACTTCATGTTTCTTCTTCACAAATACGTTCCGACTTAGTTTTCAAACTGTATATCTATATCTCAAATAAGCCTGGTCCAATTCATTATACAAATAAGACACAATTGGTAAAGTACATGAATGAAATCTCTGAAGATGGCATTTTTCAAGTGAGTCTCTGTATAATATCACCTTTGAAGTTTATTCTACTTTTCTTATCATACACTCTAGTCACCAAGGGAAAATTTATTTAAATGTTTCTGTTTCCACATATACCTCAGCCAACCTCCTACAGTAAAAAGTAATGCAATATTGTATGTGCTTTTTTGGTTTTATTACTAATGTATATACTAATAAAAGCTAAATCTTAATTCATTAGTATCATTGATAATTTGGAAGAATATAGAAGGCTAAAATGTAATTGAAATGAAACACATGACTCTTGCAAAGACTTAGTTCTGACCTAAGAAAGCCTCTTCTACTCTCAATTCCCCGTACCCCACTCAATCTCTTTAAGTCTCCCATAGTAGCCTAGGTATATTTCTACTTTTGTTCATACCAAAATCTTTTTATACGCCTGCCTCTGTTTTCCTCTAAAAACCCATTGAAGCTGAGAATATATTTAATTAATCTTTATATGTCAACACTCATAAAAGCACCTAGAGAATATTGCAAGCTTAATGAATATCTATTTGAACGACTGAATGGATGTAGGAATTAGTGATTGAATATTTTCTATCCAGTTATTAATGCTATTACATTACAGAACATCTCTGGCTCAGGATTCAGTGTTCTGGTTCTATATGAGTTCACAGCAGAGTATTATATTTTAAAGAATTATAAAGCTCATACTTCTACACTGCTAATCCAAAAATCAGCCTTTATTTAAAAATTAATTTCAGTGTACCCTATATAGTCTTAAAACATTATTATGCCTCCTGATAAAACTTCAAATTATATGTTCATAAATTTGTTTTTAACCTGTCAAGCATACATTGCGCCCCCTGTTACATACCCATTTTATTGTTATTGAAATCACTGGATTCTAAATTGCAATGGCATTCCTTTATTTCAGCAGTAATTTAGCAGGGACAAGCCCAATGATACATGGAAAATGCTTATTACCTCCTACACCTCTGCCTCTAGCTCGTCTAACCCTTTTTCCAACATCTATGAAAATAAGAGTTCCCTCCTTTCTCATCTGTTTTGCTCAACAAGATGCAGAGGGAAGAACAATGAACTTCAAGCAGGCAGTTCAGGGATTTGGTCCCAGGATTGTTACTACCTTCAGTTAATTAGACTTTGAATGCTTCTCCTAACAGTTCTGAGTTTCCATTTCCTCCTATATAAAATGAAAGGGTTGCACAAAATGATAATTGTAAAAATAAATAAAAGCTCTATTTATTAAGCTTTTACTATATGCAAAGAACTGCACTATGTGCTTTACATGCATTATCTCATTTAATTTTAATCCTCTAAACACGTTTATAAGGTGTATCAGTCAAGGTCCAGCAGGAAACAGATGGTACACATCAAATTGGGTAATTTGAGGAGAGCTTAATAAAGGAACTTTATTAAAAAGGTGTGAGCAGGGTGTTAGGAAACCACGAGGGACAGTACACTGCCCCAAGGCTAGTACTGGAGAAGGACATTGTTACCTAAATCCAGAAATGGAACTCTGGGAAGAAGACTGCTTGAGCTGTGGCTGGAATGCAGCCAGCCCTCAGGGACCCTGGGAATCAGCACCCAGACCTCGCTCTGCCCACTCTAGGCAAGCCCAAGAGGAAACAAGGGCCATTCTAAAACCATCCGTACCAGCCTTCAGGGGCACAAACCAGGAGGGGGAAAGTAAAGGGTGGACCTGCAGGGGCTGACAAATGTGTCCAGTAATATCAACCATTGTTATGCTGAGTTTATGCATGAGGTTAGTAGAGTTTAGAGGAGTCAGGTGACTACTAAGAGTTCACAATCAGCACAGGCCAGACCTAGTATTCAGCCCCTTCCCGTCAGACTCCAGAGCCTGAGCTCTTGATGGCTTTTTAGCCCTTGGAGTCCCTTTTTGTCTTTCTAGGGTTAAAAACAGCCTCAGAAGTGATCTGATTCAACCCTCTCCCTTAGAGATGTTTGAATAAGATGTCTCTCCATTTAGGACATGAGCCTTGCAGAGACCTCAGTCGCCTTTGAAAAGCTAGTGGTCTGTGTGCTCATTCTTCCTGTTCCAATACTGTGGCTTGTATCCTGACATGTAATTTTGATTTGTAACCCTGAATGAGACACTTGTAGAGACAAAGTTGTCAGGCAGTCAAAAGGAGAGAATGGCATTTTTTACTATTAAAATTTTTTCTTTCTTCTGACATTCTCTCCTCATTAAGCAAACTTAAGGAATTTTCCATTGACGAAGAGTTGTCTAGTGAATAGCTTTGCTTGGGGTCAAGGTGGAGAGTAGGAAGGGCAGTAAATTGATGACTGGATTTTCCAATTTCATGTGCTGGAGTCAGAACACAGCCCAAGACTCTGTTAAATGTGTTCCAGTAGACTATGGAAGAAGTGAGCAGAAGGCAAAATGTTTAAATGCAGTGAAACTAAAAACTACCATTAAACATATTCTTCAATATTCCTATGAGGGTCCTTAAGATAAGAAAAGGAAAGGAAATTCTCATAGAATAGTCAGAGGTTGTTAATTACTCTTTGCGTGAGAATTAAATTTGCTGAAGAGGGACGACTGAAGTAATTATCTGAGGTCAAGGGCCCTATCCCCAATCTGTCTGCTCCTCTGTCAAATAGAGATTTAAAAAACCCATTCAGTACTCTTAGTAATGGGAAACTCTTCCTGTATGTACAAGCACTTTTTGGCCTACAAACAGGTTGTAGTCTAAGATGGTCTGTAACTCAGTTGTTGGGAATATGAGGCAAATCTTCTAAAAGCCAGGGTGTTATAAATTGTGACTCAGGGCTGGACCAACCTTCGACAACCGTTTAAATCTCGAATCTAACTCAGTGTGAGTTGCAAAACTACTTCCTGGTATGAAGCAAGAGGAAAATGACAATACTGAGAACTCAGTGCTTCTGTCCCAGGTCAGGTCCTGAACCTGGCATGTTCTCACTGCCCCTCACACTCTAGCACCTTGAGGCTCAATGCAAGAATGGAACCTGAAAGTTTCAGGCAAGTGCCATGATTTGCCATCTTCATTACTAACAGGATGTAGGAAGCTTTCATGGGTGAACAGTGGCCCAGATATCCCTCCCCTCGAACTCAAAGGCCCTTTTTGTTTGTTTGCTTTTTACACCAGAGTGAAGGATAAAAAGTGGAAGAGTTATATGTTTGTTTTTGATTATTTGGAAAACTTTCCGATTTTAGCAGAATGTCTGCCTACAAGTAAAGAGGATCTGTGAATGAAGAAAAGGAATGGTTTGATTACCTTTTTAAAGATTATCCCCATAGGCAAGGCAGGCCTGAGAGTGCGCTCTGGGAGAGAAAGTTCAGTTTGGGGTTCCCTTTTAACTAACTGGGTAATACAGTATTGAGAGATTGACTCTTCATAGGAAATCTTCAAAAACCTGGCTACAGAACGTCTTTTTTTGAGGAAAATGATTTCCCTGCCATTGAACCCTAGCTAAGCAAGACTTTTGAGATTGCTTTAATCATCAGCGGCTTCAGTGTCTTGGTAGTGAGTGAAAACGGGATTAGGGTGGAATAAGGGGGAGAAGTTTCCAGTGACCCGTGGTGAACCAGTGTTAAGAGACCTCCCCCCTTCAAATAGGCCCTGCATGTGTAAAAGTCAATTTCTACTTTATGAGGGATTAGAACCAGAGAGCGGCTCATATTTAAACCCTGCAAAGATAAGGAACGGTGAGTTTACCCCAAATTAGCTTTCAAAATAGCTCTGATCTAGTAATTTGCCCAGTAATTTCCCCAGACTGGGGCAGGTCTGAAGAATTTAAAAAGAGGAGGAAGTGGTATCTGATAAACCTATGGTTTAGGATAGCTGAATTTGGGGTGGAGGGGGGAGTGGAGGAAGAAGGTAAAAGAAGAGGAAGAAATGTGGGGAAGGGAGAGAGAGAGGAGGGAGAGAGAGAGAGGGAGAGAGAGAGAGAGAGAGAGAGAGAGAGAGAGAGAGAGATCGAACTCCACCAGGTTGCCTTCATTTCCCCGCAAGATTTCACCCACTATGAGCTTCGGTTGTTGCTTTGTTTATGCAAAGTTAGTCGGCCTGAGACACAGGGAAAGTGCTGAGATCCACGCTGAAGAACGCAAAAATGATTTTTAAAATGTAAATGAAACCACGCACACACACACACGCACACACACACTGGGTCGGGGCAATCCCTGCCCGTAGACTTAGAAATGAAAACACGCCGAGGAGGGCGGGCGGGAGGCCGCGGCAGCAGCGGGGAGCGTTGTCGGTGACCGAAGGAGCTCTGGTGAATATCAGGTTCGGATTAGTGACAACTCAGAAGTCACGCCGGCGGTTGGGGGAGGGAAGTTTGCCAAGGTCTCAGAACTCGACGGAAGAGACAGCGGCTTCCCTTGGCGCCGGGCGGAGCGGGGCGTACGCAGAGAGACCTCTGTCCCGGCCCGAGCCAGCTCACCCCCAGCTCTCACACCCCGCCCTGAGATTGAGTTTGTCAGCGATCATAAAATGGGAATTGATTATTCCAGCCACCATTGATTAGGGAAGAATGCTTACTGCAGCAGCGGGGAAAAGGTTAAGAGGAAATTGACCTTCTTCCTAGGTGACATAAAGTCATTAGGTAAATGAGATATTCACACTGGAGTTTTAAAAGGTCACGCTCAATTTTTATTTGTAGCCTGAAGAGTCAAGCTGGAGCTGGGGCTTAGGGCAGGGACCCCGCTCTTCTGGACAAGCAGACCGACAGGGAGACAACTGTCTTGCTGCGCTGGGCAGGGCCAAGGTGGGAGGTGGGTTATTGTCTGGGGAGGATCGCACTGGAATTGGTGGAGTCCCGGGCCCCCGAACTCTGCGCCTCCTGCCTGACCCGTGTGTGCGCCTCTGTGCATGTGTCCCTCTGGGGCCCTGCGCTTCGCGCGGCGTCTCCTCCGTTCCAGTCACCCGTCAGCAAAGGGATGCCGGGCAGAGGCAGACGATTACAAACACTTACCCTACCATAGCCGGCCACGTATCACACAGAGTGAAAGTGTTTTGTTTTGTTTTTTAAGGAGAGGGTGAGAGATATATTTATGCACATATTTATCCCTCTAATTATAGGAATTAATCCTCTTACTTATGACTAAAAGGTAACGTGGAAGGACGTCTCTTTGATGTGGAAAAGCACCATTTGTGACTCACATTCAGACTGATTAAGGAATAATTGTTGTTAAACGCTTTACAAGAGGAGAGTGTTTAATTGAGGGGCATTCGTAATTTTACGGCTTAGTACGAAATTAAACGTAATTAAAAACTCAGAAATTCCAACTGATTTTCCAATTATTTTTATTGTCTGAGTTAATTATTACACAAGGGTATCACTTTGCCCTAAAGGCATTTTTTTAAAAAGCAAGCATACCTTTTCCAAATATAGCAGAGAAGCGATTCAAAGCTTTCTCCAGGTACAAGCCTGGTAAAGGACCTTCCTTCTTCACTCCCCTCTCCTTCGGTCCCCCGCGCGCCCCTCCTTCGCCTCCGGTAATTAAGCGTTTCAGCCACTCTCCCCTCTCTCTGAGTTCCTGCAACACCTTGGGATGTGAGAAAGTGATGGCAGTTCTCTTCTGCAGATCATTACAGCAAAACTGGAAGTATCTGTAGAAGGCTGATGAATTTCTTGCAGTAACACTTGTCATACATGGCGGCGAGATTTTTTTTAAAACAAGCTAAGTAAACACAGCTCTCTGGGGGCGATCCCTCGATGCCTCTGCCTTGGGGTGTGTGGCAGGAGGGAGGTAACACCCAAGTACCGACTGGAAGTTGTTTATAAACTCGCACACGAAGACGTACAGATGCACGCTGGAAACTTTCTTTGGTTTGCACTTCTATTTCTTTATTTATTTACTTATTTGAAAGAAGGATGGGTATGAAAGAGCTTCTCAGTTAGATTATGAATGTTTTTTTAATGCTGGGATTGACGGCAAAAAGCCAAGCTATGTTTGTATGTGTAGCTTCTTTAAATGTCCAAATAGACTTATTTAAGTACATCAAAAGGTTTACAGAAAGTGCTTCAGTGTTATGGAAATGAAAACACATCCTCACAGCTAGTCCAGAAGTGGCCCTGTCTTCCCTATCAGACTTGGGTATCTTTCCTATCAAACCCTGAAAAAAAATAAATAAAAAACATAAAATTGGGGAGAGCGTGGATTTATAAGTTTCAATTCATCTGGACGGAGAGTATGGAGCGATGGAATGTTTGTGTTTCAATAAGTCTTTAATTTCTCTGAGATTTTTAGGACAGGGACTTCAGTGGATTCTAGCTTTCTATCCGCTTTCTATCCCTTTCCCCTCCACACCCCATAAAATAAATGATTGCCACTGATCTGATGTGCCAGGTGAAAATGGGTAGAATTAAAACTATCAATTCTGTTTCCAACGTGTGTCTTTCACTTGAGTTCAAAAGCTTTTAAAGTTAAAACGTGCCGATCATTTATAAGTATTATTTCTTTTTCTACCATCGAGGCTTTTAAGTAAAAAGAAAGAAAAGGTGTTTACATTTCCAAATTCATTTTCCCTGGAAGATTTCAATCTGCCAGGTAATTTGATGATGGACCCTTACGGTATGAGAACGTCTACCTGGTGAAGCCTGGTTTACCCGAGTGCGGCCAAGTACACTCAAGTCCAGTTTTTCCGTTTTTTTACTCCAATGGTATATTTGGAGCTGGGATGTGGATATTTAAATTCGAAGCTTTCCAAGTGCCTCAGTACTATTTTGAAGAAGAGGTTAGAGTAGGCAGAATTGGGGAGAAAGGAAGAAGGATCTCTTTGAAAGTTAGAGATGGTGAAAAAGACATGTAATCCGATGTGGAAAATTGAGTAAAAGAGGTAGTGCACACTTTAGCTTAGGCAAAGATTGCTGAATCCTTTGAAGAAACTGACACGGATTTTCCAGAGATGGGGTGGGTGTAGGGGGGGAATCCTAGGGTGGGCATTTTATGTAAATTAGCATATTTGAAATATAGTACAAATCCAGTATAGTAAAACTGACAGTTCTGACAGTATTGACAACATAAATATATGTTTGAACACTGCATTTTCAGACACTTAACCGATGAAGCAATAAAAAAAATTCGACTACAATATTTCAAATAATCGACATTGATGTTTTGATACATCTTTTTATACTCCAAATCGATCTATCACTCTGGGGCTGGTCAATTTTAAGTAAAAATGTGCTGCTATTATTTGTACCTTGGCTAATGATGACCTAATAACAGTCCCCAATTAATTACACCCGAACCGTGCTTTTTTTTCCTTCTGCAATGGAGGTGGGGGGCAGTTCTTGGAAAACAGAACCCACTATTGTGCCATCCTTCCCCTCCCTTGTATTCCATGTTTGCCACGGGTGGGGGTGGGACTTCAGATTTAGGAAGGGGTCTTTGTCTGGTTGATCATAGACGTCACAGGCTGAGGTCCCCTCACCTGAAATAACCACCCTCTGGGTCTGTATTGGGAATACGGTCCTCACTTTTACTTTGCAATGTCAAAACTAAATTTTAGAAAATTCAATCATAACTCTCCTTCAGGTCCCATGTCCTTTCCTCTGTTTCAAGGACTAGATGGAAGAGATTTGCTCAAAGATTGGAAATTTCTCTCGGGCTGTGTGTGTATGTGCGTGTGTGTGTGAGAGAGAGAGAGAGAGAAGAGAGAAGACAGCGCGCGCCACATGAGAATTTTAATAAAGTAGGGACACAGCCAGGTCCAAATCTAAAGCACCTAGCCTGAGTAGAATCTCTCCCACAGCCCCATCCCCTCTGACCTCCCTACCCGGCGTTCGATTGTTTACCGGCTACTGAAGAAAAAAAAAAAAAGCTACAAATAAGAAAGACAATGACCTGCAAATTGCAGGAAAGCAGGGAGGAGACTGTTGGGTATTGCATCCCAGGCGTGCCTCCTCCCGCACTATGACTGTTGGCTTTCTCTCTTTGCCCTGTGAGTTTTCCAGTTCTTTCCCACTCCTCTCCAGATTTGGTGGAGGTGGGGGGAGGGGGAAAAGAGATAAAGCTGATTAATTGAAGGAGTAAACAATCCTGGACAGGCCTAGATACAAACTCGAGCAGTCCATTGTGAGGTACGGATCGGGCAGAGGCGGTGGAGGACCGCTCGCACCCCCACTCCGACTCCATCTCGCAGGCTAGGCGCCGCGCCGTGCTGTTCCCCCCCCCGCCACCCCCACCTCCCCCGTTAAGCCCCGACCCTTCCTCAATCTCGCACTGAGACTCGGCCTTCTGACCTAAAACTGAGCTGGGCTCCTAGCCCTGAATTCCAGTGTCTGATTTCTTTCCTCCAAACTTCATGAATGCAGTTTTAAGCCTCTCCAAACCACCGCCAGCTGAGACGCTGGGACTTAAGCGGCACGCTAAGCAACTTTAAGATGCTAATCAAAGGCAAAGGATGTGTGTGATCCGCGCTGGGTAAGGGGGAGGAGGGATCAGAAAAGAGAGATCCGTCGCCAGAGCATCTCCCACTTGCGAGAGTTACTAGCCTCTGGCCGGGGCTTTCCAAGCCGCCTGCGCTGAAGTAGGGGTAGGAACTAGACAAGAGGCCGCAGGAGGACAGAAAAAAAGAGGAAAACAATCGAGCGGAAGAGACGAGAGAAAAAGCAGGAGAGAGGAAGAAAGAGAGGAAAGAAGAGAGCGCGGGAAGGAGGAAGAAACAGTGAGAGCAAGCGCACGTCGTGTTTGGAGCCCCGCCAGATAGCGCTAGAGGGCTATTTATTGAAGTCCTTTCTATGAGATGGTGAAGCCCCTAAAATTGGGAGAAATAAAAGAAAAGGGGGCATAAAGGAAAAAAGTATAATAATTTTACTCCATTTTATTTAAAAAATAAAGTGTGGGGTGCTTAAACGTTATTAATGGGAGGAGGCGGAGAATAAATCATTATAGAAAGTTTAAGTGGGAAAAGGACCAAAGAACCAAAAACCACCACCACCACCACCACCACCACCAACAACAACAAAAGCAAACAAAAAAGTCCCCTTCCTTCTGTTGATCCCAGCTAGGAAGAGTGAGTAAAGTTAACAGGTAAGGAAGCCAGTGGAATTATTTCTAGGCCAACTTTCAGAGCTGCTGGTTACACTGCTGGGAAGGTCAAGAATAGTTCACAAGGATGAGCCGATGTTTATGGAGAAGGGATGTTTTAAAAGTAATAGATGGCTGCAAGGGGTGGAGAGGGAAAGACAAACACGTTATTGGAAACGCCAAATAAAATATATATCAAAAATTCCAACTGTCAGCCAGCAGGTCTTGAACAGAAGATAGCCCCTTCTGCCTTTGTCCCAGCGATGCTGGGCTCAGGGCTGTTTCTGCAGGGCTGAAATCAAACTCCTTGAATAACAATTTAGAAATACTCTGAGACGCTTGGAGAAAATAACTAGACTACAAAAAAAAAAAATCACTGTGTCATTCAGAACCCAAAGAAAAGTGCTGGGGATGGAAAGAGAAGACCTAGTGACAGAAGTGGAGTCCAGAGAGAGAGAGAGATGGAGAGAGAATAACATATTTTTGATCACTGTTACTTGCTCAGTTCAGTAATGCAAGAAATAAAATTTCTTTCAAATGATACTTTACTTTTAAGTATTGACTTGGTTTTATCCTAAAATCTCTGGCATTTCACATATCTAGCTTCTCATTTTAAACCTGAATTTTCCTTTTACCTGAAGGAATTTTTGAAAATCAAAGTAATAATTCATGTCTTTTTTCAAAATCAGTAAAGAGAACTTCCCTCCCGGAATAAAAATTAACCTTACAGAGTTTTTAAAGATATGCTTAATCCAAAATATTCCAAATCAAAACATTAAATAAAGTTACAGATAAGATTAAGGTTGGACTTATTTGCTTCTCTAGCAAGGCGTCAATTGTTCTAACTGTTGTAAGAAGACAAAAAGGATTTAAACCTGGCGATTTTAATACACAGATTAACACTTTGGACTTCTCAGTTCTGAGGAATTTGAAGTTATCTGTGCTAAGAAGCTATAACTTTCAAGGAAAAGAAAAAGAAACAGCTACACAAGCTCCTTAAGGAGTGTGGGCAAATTCACCTAGAGTCTGGGTTCATAAATTCTTGGTTCAAATTAAACACTCCCCATAAAGCCAATGCCCTTCAAATTAAGGGACTATAGTGGAATTCAATTATTCCTTTTAAATCTTAAATGTTACCTATAATAGCATTCCATGTTGGCTCAAAAAAAGAAAATGAAAAATAGAAAAGTAGCAGTTTTCAGAACTCTTGGGGCTGCTTCAATAAGAAAGAGGTGATTAAAAACAGACTCTTAAATTTGAGAGGCCCGATTCCCCCTTCCACTGGTCCCCACCCGCTTGGTCCCCTCCTTTTCACCTCTTTTTTATGCAGTACCCCCACCCCCACTCCAGAGCTAAGTAGCTGATTTGGGATTCTGAAGAAATAGGTTTCACCATCCATATTTGTTCTGGGGCACTTGTAAAATGCGATTTGTAGAGGGTCTTTAGCCTTCTGATTGTCTTTGAATTGTTTTTACTGAAACAGATCTTTTGCAGTTAATGAGTCCCCACGCAGCTGGACAGCTCCTCTCGGACACTGAGAACTCTAACCCCAAAATGACCCCAATTTGACACCGCAAGATGAAATTTTACCGCCTGTTAAAACCATTTCCAGCCTGGGCAGAAGGAGCTGACTGTTGACGGAGGTGTGTGCCACCTCCTGCGACCCCCATTTCGTGCCTGTCTCCCGGGCCTGCCCCACCTACTTTCCTTTCACCCCAAATATGGGAGAGCAGATGAGCCTGGAAGCCTGGGTGGGAGTGCCAACGCTGACAATGGGGCATTAGCAAAATGCCACCAGGATGGAAATCAGTAAGTGCGGGTACCCTACTCCTTTGGAATCGCTTCTATTGGACTGGAAAATTGGGGATGAGGGAAACCAGGAAATTCTTATATGTTAGATGAGCCTTTTTCAGCTCTATTAATAAAACACCCGCAAGTTGCTGATTAAAGGTAATAGTGTTTTGAATTCAGCAGACTGACCAAGAACCAATACCTTGAATCGACTCCAACTTGATCTCCTCATGTGTAATCCACTACACTAGGACTGCTATTTTAAACTAACAGTTTCATAAGTGACATGCAACTAGATCAGTAAGATCTCTTTCGTTCAAAGAAATTCTGGGTTCTCCCCTGAGACAACTGGCAAATTTTAAAAAGACATAGATTTCCTCCAGTAGGAATGCACTTTCAACACTCTCACACTTTTTTAACTAAAAGTCGTTGAAGTTAAATATGACTTTTTGACAATATCTTAAAATGTCATATTTCTCTCTCCCTCCTACACCTAACCATATTGTTCCTGTTGTTTGCTTTAATGTATTCAATAAAATGCAAAAGAAGTTAAGAATATGAAAGAGAGAGACAGAGAAAGGCGTTAAGGTTAAAAATGCCTTCTGCATCTGATAAAAACACATGAAAATAAAGTTTAAACTTTTCTTTTTTTGTAAAACCCAAGATTATCACCAGATAATCAACTCATTATTAGCTTACAATTGTTTGAAAACATAGAAATCGGCCGGGTGCGATGGCTCACGCCTGTAATTCGAGCACTTTGAGAGGCCGCGGCGGGTGGATCAGGAGGTCAGGAGTTCGAGACCAGCCTGGCCAATATGGTGAAACCCCCGTCTCTATTAAAGACACAAAAAATTAGCCGGGCGTGGTGGCGCGCCCCTGTAATCCCAGCTACTCAAGAGGCTGAGGCAGGAGAATCGCTTGAACCCGGGAGGCGGAGGTTGCAGTGAGCCGAGATCGCGCCATTGCACTCCAGCCTGGGCGACAAAGCGAGACTCCGTCTCAAAAAAAAAGAAAAAAAAAGAAAAGAAAAGAAAAAAAGAAAAAGAAGATAAAGAAAGAAAAGAAAATATAGAAATCATCAATCTGTCTGAGTTGTTTTTACTCACACTGCAAGGGAAGGAATATTTTTCTAAAAATGCGACTTAAGTTTTTCTAAATGAAAGCTATAGAGATGCTAACTCACTTTACAGTATCACTATAAAAACAGAAAAAGAAACAGAAGGTAGCAATGTTGAATGTTTAAACCCTGCAAGGCAGAGGTTCCGCATGAAGTTGATCTTTACAAAAAAAGGTTTATCAAGGACACTGAGGAATTTCTTTTAAAAAGAAACGTAACTGGCACTTATTGAACAAGACATTTAAAACAACAATAATCCTATTGGCGACGATAAACTTAAATTCTTAAATTGAATTTAAGAATAATTAGAAGAGTAAAAACTGAGTACAAATTTCTCAGCCAGCGGCGCTGCACCGGGAACTTGGACCCACCAACATCAACAGCTTTGCAAAGTCGAAAACGCTCCGCAGCGTTTTTGTTTTTTTCCCCTCCCCACCCCGCCGCACTCTCAAACCTCCCGGTCCCGGCTAAACTGAATTCGCGTAACTGTCGATTGAAATAAAATTCTGGAGACCAACTTTTTCTTTTCTCTTTCATCTTCTTTTCTTTTTTACTCACCTTCTCTTAAATGTCGACGAGCAACTCAGCAACAAATAAGGATACTTTTAATCTTGGAGTTCTTCTAGGAAAAAAAAGAGGACGTGGAGGAAGTACCCTCCCCCCAACCTTCAGATTTCCTACCCGTCGGCTCTAGCAGGCTTGAAGCCCGGCAAAAAAGAGTGGCTGAAAACCTGGGCTACACTCTCCTCCCTGAAGCTCCGTGAGTCTGGCCGTCCCTGCTCGGGCCATTGGGCAGAAACCTCGCGGCCCGCAGCCCCTCTCCCTGGCGTCGCGCTATCCGCGCCTCTGCCAGCCCCTTCGCACTATCTTTCTTTATATGTGAGGGCCGATTTCCCGCAGACATCATTGTTATGATGGCTCATTTAATCAAACTGTTTAATTGCTCTGGTAATCACTATCATCATCACAGGTGCTCAATCATTCATCATTTTTGGAGGGCTTTATTGACCTCCGGAGTTCATTCCTCAGCCCTATTAAAACGAGGCCAAATTTCTCCGACTCCGCTTGGAGTCTCTGCAGGCTGCAATCTTAGCCTAGTTTCTGTTGCTCGAAAGCTTACAGTGAAGCAGGGAACATGGAACGGGGGCCAAAAAAAAGAGCCCTCCCACCCGCCCTCCTCCCCGCTCTCTCTCGCTCTCTCTCTCTCTCTCTCACACACAACACACACACAGAGTACTTTATTCTCTCTAATCAACCTCCCCCATCCCACCCTCCCTCCGCGGGAAAGTCGGTTAGACGCGGCTCGCGGAAGACACTACTCTCCACTTCTCAGAATGGGTTCAAAGTTGGGGAGGGATGCGGCTGTTGGAGAACAACAGTCCGCTTTCCACTCTCTGGGCCAGGGACTGGGAGGGCGAGAGCGAGAAGTTGGGGAGAGGACGCGCTTCCAGCGCCTGTCCGCCCGGCCGCGCCACAAGGGGCCGAGGGGCATGGGGGCTGCTGGGCGGCAAGGCTTGCGCGGGGTGACCGTGGCTCCGCCCCCAACTCCGGGCTCGTAGTGATTGACGCGCGGCCGCCGGGAAACCAGCCGCGCAGAGGTGAAGCCTGGTGCAGCTCGGGCCAGGGAGGACAGGGCACCGGCCACAACTAGTTTCCACCCAAACGGTGTGGGGTAGTTCCCTTCGTTTCCTTTTCCTTTTTGGAAAAGTTCTTTCGGAGCTGGCCCCATCTCCCTGACCCCGCGAAATCGCCCCTGTGTAATTAACACAGCCATTAGCAGGCGTTACCGCGGCCCGCCGCTGCGCCTCGGGCGACCACAACAAAGCTGGGCTGTGAGCGCCGGCCACTCCTCCTCGCCCGGCAACTTCTTTCTCCCCCACTCTCTCCGTCTTTTCCTCCTGTGCTTCCCAGCTCTGAGTGAGATCCACTTTGGAGACGCACACTAGTCGCGCGCGCGCACGGGCGCGCGGGCGCGCGCGCGCACACACACACACACACACACACACACACACACACACACACGCCTTTGGCTACATCGGACCCAGATGACTGCCTCCTCACTTCCTCCCTCCCGATTCCGCCGCGGCCCCCAAAGACTCTCGGGGTGGCCCCTTGTCCGCACCGCTTGGAGGGAGTGTGCTCTGAGTTAAGCTGGTCTCTTCTGGTCCTGGAAAAAAATGAGTATTGACAAGGTTGCTGGATCTGCGCAGAAAAGAAAGTGCCACTTAATAAAAAATTTAGCCCGGCAGTGGTACCGTCTGCAGAGCTTGCTGCCCTTGGACGTTAGCAGGAAGCCTTCGGGGTGCTGTAATCGGCGGGCAGAGGAGAGGGAGGCCGCGGAATTAAAAGGAACAAAAGCTAGAGCGCCATGCCAAACGTCCCCGGCAAGACCCAGTTAGGCAGGAGCCGGGAGTGATGGGAAAATGAACTAGAAGTAAGTTTTTTTTTTTTTTTAAATGAAAAGATCTGAGGCGGTACCGTACTTTCCCTGTGGTTTTCTGCAGTTTTCCTCTCTGCGCTCTCCCTGTCCTCTTCTCTCTCCCCCTCTCCCTCTCTCCCTGTTCGCGCGCGCGCGCGCGCAACACACACGCGCGCACGCACACACATACACACACACTCACACACACAGACACACTCTCCTTTTCCTCCCCCCCGCCGTCCCCCATCCCCGTGGAGGAGCAGGCTTGCTGATTTGCTCGGGTCCGCCCGGCTCGAGCCTCCCCTCCCCCTCCCGCCCCCCCGCCTCCCCCACCCCCCCAGCCGGGGCTGTCCGATCGCACTCGTTGCATATCAGAGGCTCGGCGCGGCGCGCTCCTCCTCGCTCCCGCTCCCCACTCCCGGGATGTGTCTCCGCCGTACGACGGGCTATGGCCACCACGACTTCCGGGTTCCGTCATTTCGTTCTCCCGCCGCCGACCCGCGCCGCCAAACTGAGGCTCTTCAATAAGCCAGGCAGCAGCCAACCTGCCAACACCTACTGACACTCACTCATCTCCCAGAGAGAGAAAGAGAGCGAGAGAGAGCGAGCGCGAGAGAGCGAGCGCGAGTGAGAGCGAGCGAGCGAGCGAGAAAGAGAGAGAGGGAGAGACAAAATACCTACCAGGAAAGGGGGGGAGGAAGTCCAATTTTTGCAAACTATTCATTTTTTTTTCTTGATTTTTCTCACTGCTTTCTTTGAACAATACTTTAAAGAGAGAGGATCGTATTATAGATACCGCGGGGGCAAAGCTAAAAAAGGGGGGAGGGGGGAGGAAAAAATTCAAGAAGCAGAAACCCCTCGCGGAGTTTTACTGGAAGAAAAAAACGGGTCTGAAAGATTCCTCCTCTTCATCATCATCAACCATCATTCATTCACTACCTTGACATTCCGGGCTTTGATTGACAGCTGGAGTGGCAAAAAGCCATGAAACACGACAGTTCGGTTACATGTGGGCTGCTGACGGGCCGCTCGTAACCTTCAGTTCGGGGGCTTGACAATTTTTTTCTTCTTTTTCTTCTTTTTCTTTTCTTTCTTTTTTTTTCCAACTGAGGGGAAGAGAAGAGAAAGAGGGGGAAAGGAGGACCGAAGAGGAGGAGGAGGGGAGGGGGGAGGAGGAGGAGGTGGAGGAGGAGGAGGAAGATCAGGAGGAGGAGGAAGAAGAGGAAAAAAGAGAAAAAGAAGAAATATCACAGAAAAAAAAATTCTTCGTTGTCTAGACTGGGCTTTTTTTCCCCCCTAAAAAATAGCATATTGGAGAATTGGGAGAAGTCTCTTTGGTTTGGAAAAAAAAAAAAGGAATCTTCAGCCTAGATCACTTTCTTATCCGGACTGGGATATTAAATATACGACACATCCAGGAGTTTATTGGAGCGCAGACTGATGGCGCAAAGGGTAGGTTTAAATCTCCAACACTTACCTAGATATAAATCCTCTCCTAAGAGGGGCCTGTCCCGATGCCTCCTCTCCCTTCAACGCTTCTGCTGCTGCTCGCTGCTTGATGATGGCGGCCAGTATTTTAAAAAATAGCAAAATTATTCATCGGCTTCTTTCCCTCCCGTGCCTCTGCGTGTGTGCGAGTGTGTGTGCGTGCGTGTGTGCGTGTCTGGGCGCGCGTGTTCCAGCGCTGTGCGAGCGGGCGGGCGGCGAGTGCGTGTGAGTGGTGTGTGTGTGTGCGTGTGCAATCGTTACACGCTTTCGCCTCGCTCCAGCTTTTACCCCAGCAGCGCGATTCCCCCGGTTCTCCTGCTGCCGCTGCTGCGCCGCTGCCGCCGTGGCTCGCGCGGCTCGGGGCGGGCACGGGCTGCGTAGGAGCCGCCGCCGGGGCCGCCGCTGGGGCCGCGCTGCCGCAGCCGCTGCGCCGCCGCCTAGACTACTAGCCTGGGCTGCTTGTTTTGTCTCTGAAATTGACAAGGACGCAGGGAATCCGCTGCTAAATAATGTTTCTGGTAACTTTCACGTTATTCGCCCCCCCACCCTCCGCTCCCTGCCCCCGGGGAGGCACTGGCCCTAGTCTTTCCTAGTCCTCGGCGTTCTCGTGCTGATTATTAGCGTTTTTCTTCTCTTTATTTTGTTTCATTTCGCCTTTTGATTTATTGGATCCTCAGAGGAGGCGAAGGGGGGTTAGGGGTGGGATCCGGGGCTTCCTCCTCACACTAACTCCACTTCTCCCTCCGTTGGCTCGCTACGGTTCTGTTGCCTCCGGCGGGAGCGGGGCCTCCCGGCGCCCCCTCAAATCCCCGGCCTCGCCGCCTCCTCTTCCTTCTCTAAACGTTGCTCTTGGTTCATGCTTTTTCATTTTTAAATTTAATAACATTTTTTCCTCACAACTTTTAACTCCGTTGTTTTGGCTGGTTTGGTTTCTGTGTGCTCAACTTGTGCTCGGTACTTTTCTCCTTTCTGACTTTGTTTTTATTTTTATTTTCTCTCTCTCTCTCTCTCTCTCTCTCTCTCTCTCTCTCTCTCTCTCCCCCTCTCCTCCTTTTCCTCCTCCTCCTCTCTTCTCTCTTACCTCCCTCCCTCTCTCTCATCTTTATCCCTTCCTCTCTTTTCTGTTCGCCCTCTTCTCCCTGCTCTTTTTCCCTTTCCACCCCCCTCCTCTGTTCTCCCTCACCTCCTGCGCCCCCTCCCCCTTCCCGGGTTCTGACAGTACGATGAGCTGCCCCATTACGGCGGGATGGACGGAGTAGGGGTTCCCGCTTCCATGTACGGAGACCCTCACGCGCCGCGGCCGATCCCCCCGGTTCACCACCTGAACCACGGGCCGCCGCTCCACGCCACACAGCACTACGGCGCGCACGCCCCGCACCCCAATGTCATGCCGGCCAGTATGGGATCCGCTGTCAACGACGCCTTGAAGCGGGACAAGGACGCGATCTATGGGTAAACTGACCCCCCGGACCCAGCTTACTGTGTGTGAGTGTGAGAGTGTGTGTTTGTCTCTGTGGGGGTGGGAAGGTGGACGACTAAGTGGGGAGTTACTTCTGTATGGTGGGGGGCGGGCGCCGCTTGCCTTAGGAAGGGACCGTGGAGGGGGCCTGCTCTTCTGCCCCTGGAGTCAAAGCCCCGAAGAACTAGCCTCTTTCGCTCTCACAGCCCGACCACTCCAGACCCCACAGCCTGGAGTGACTGAGTCCCCAGAATCTTGCCGGGGCCTTCTCCCCGAGGACAGGATTCCTGGCCAAAGGACGCAGGACTGCTCGTTTCAGGCTCCCTAACAGAGGCCTTGACGAAGGAGAAAGTTTCCTGCCGATGAGAAGCAACTTTGGGTTTTTTTATTTTTTACTTTTTTTTCTTCTGTTTCCTACTGAGGGTCTGGGAGTCACTAACAGCAGCTTGAGCTGGGATCAGGGCTGCTTCTGTCGGCCAGGAAGTCCTAATCACCCACTTCTTAATTCTCTGTAAATAAAGGGGGCAGACCTCGAAGTGCAGCGAGGTGGAAGGGACTCTTGCTTGCTTGGAGCCGCTCTTAGGGGGAGTAAGGAAGATGGCTGGAAATTATTTTATATTCTGAGAGCACTTGGCGAGGGGTGAGATGCACGATCCTAACGTGTACCACACGAGCTCTTCCGGCTGAGGGTAGGTGGGCAAAGCGACGGGATGCCGAGGGGAGGGGACAGTGGGTAAACAGCAACTGAGCCCCAAGCCAGAGGCCGCAAGCATCCCGAAGTGTGGCTAAGCCGCCCGGAGGAACACAAAGGGCATACGCGCACGCACACTTAAAGTTTTAAAACACGATTTATTTATTTTTGTCTGCTGCAACGCTGGGAGAAATGTGGTCTTTGGAAGGAAGCTCTCCAGTGTGTAACCTTCCTATTATTTTGGCCCCCACACTGTGGCTTTAGTAGAACAGGAGCAAACAAGTTTATAAGGCAAGGAGGTGGAGAGATTAAAAGAGCATTCTCTTGCATTTATGAAGTGTCACTCCGGTGTGTATGTAGGTGAAGCCTTTGGCCTCGTCTGAAATGCCCATTAAAATGCAGAGTTAAAACTATTTTTTTTTCAATTTCACACAGTGTTCCCTTCTTGGGAGGTCAGGGCTGGGTCTCAGGGGTTGGTTCCGCGGCCTCCGTAGTGTGGGGAGTGGATCAGAATCGACTCGGGCTCCAGACTGCCTGAGCGTCTCGGATGTTTCATTACGTTCCAACTGAGGCTGTTTTTATTTGTCGGGCTGCAGTGGCCGGGGTCTTCTCTGGCCAGATCTGAGGGACCTCTGAGCTGCGGGAGAGGGCCAGGCCCTTTTCCCTTTCTGTTTCTGGCTTAGGCTCGCCTGATGGAGGAAGGGTTGTAAAGTGTGGTGCGTGCCTGTTGTATTAAAGAAGGACTCCACACCCTCCAAACTTGTTGATTACAGTTCTTGCTCCTTCCCCTCTGCACCCCGTCTCTGTGTGTGTGTCTCTGCGTGGCGCTGCCCGTTAGGCACCCGTTGTTTCCTCTGTTAGCTCTGGTCTTTGAGAAGTGCGAGCTGGCGACCTGCACTCCCCGGGAACCTGGAGTGGCTGGCGGAGACGTCTGCTCCTCCGACTCCTTCAACGAGGACATCGCGGTCTTCGCCAAGCAGGTCCAGCCTTCTTGATCCACTCAACTTCGGGCAGTCCCTCACTACCCCTCCCCTTTCCTCGGAGCTTTACTTGAAAGGAGGAAAGGCCAGGGACACCCTATCTGTTCCTCTGGCCCAGTCCGCTCTCTACGCCTCCTCCCCATCCCTGAGCCTGGGGGCGAATTGGAAGTGGAGATAAATATGGGTGTTTGTTTTCCCCCCCAGCAGGAATACAGGGGTCGACCCTCGAATTAAAGTTGACCTGCTCCTAATCTGGGGCTTGGCCTTTTTCCCCCGCCTCCAGCTACTTGAACAAGAATTGGGGAGAGGGGCTGTGAGGGACCCGGGAGTGCCCGGGAGGCAAGGAAGCTGGGCGCCTCTCCGAGCGGTCCCAGGCAGCAGTGGAGAGCCACAGCCTCTTGGACTGCTGGATATGGAACTCGAGGCCCTGAGAACGACCCTGAGTTCCTGGCTACAGCTTAGTCGTACCAGGTCCCCCTTAATGGGGCCAGGACCAGAATGCCCTGATTCTTCTTCAGGGACTCCACTAATTTAAGGCACCAGTTTCTTTCTTGTATTTTGCCAAAGCCCCTTTCCTCTTCTCCGCCATTGCCCTCCACCGTACCCATTCTCACATTTCAGCTTTCTTATTTTAAATGGGGTGATCGTTCAAGTTGACTCTCTGTTTCTTACAGGTTCGCGCCGAAAAGCCACTTTTTTCCTCAAATCCAGAGCTGGACAATTTGGTAAGGCTCTCTGTTCCTTGTTTTTCCCCAGCCTTTGCCCTCTCCCATGCCCAGAAGCACCCACTTTCTGCTGGAGCTCTGGGGAGTTAGAACAGAACCCTCTTTTGGAGCTCTAGGGAGAGAGGGAGGAAGGGAGCAGCTTAGAGCCCCCGCACGGGAGCTGGCGAGCGAGGAGCAGGATGAACGCGGTGGGGAGCGAAGCCCAGGGAGGCCGAAACGGGAGACCGAGCGCCGAGAGCGCGAGCAGGGGATGTTTCCCAGGTCTCGGCCCCAGGAGTAAACTGCGAGAAGTGAGTTATTTCCTCTGTTTGCCGGGGCAGGCGGCCGAGCCCCGGGCGGCTAACCCGAAGGATGTAACCACTGGCACGGCTGAGGGCGGGCTGGGGGTGGGGGCTGGGGGGCGGTGAGGGGCAGGCCAGCGCAGGCCACTTTTAGGTGCGATTCTTTTGCTAATTTGCACGATTTCAATATTAAAAGTACTTAAATCCGCTTTCAAAGGCCCTGCCTCAGCATTCATCTTGAGTATTTCCTTCTTTAGTGAGGAAGGATTTCGCTGGGTATGCTGTTCTAAAAAGCTTTTTCTATCCTGAGAAGGGACCTTTTTTTTTTTTTTTTTTTTTTAAGGAAAAAAAAAAAAGTTGTCCTGAGGTCGAGGGAGGGGATGTTTAAAGAGGACTAAGAGGAGAAAAAAGGCCTGGCCCGAGGAAAGCAGTCTTACAAATAGCACAGTGAACATCAGGGGGAAAGATATTAATGCTTATGCTCAGGTTGAGTCAGATTCCTACCCCGTGGCCAATGAGGCAGAGATGATCAGTAATCACTTGATTTTTCTGACTATTTCTTGATGTTTAAGTTTTTCCTGGCCACCTGCCCGTTTCTTCTCCCCAGCCCAACTTTCTCACCACCATCCTCACCCCACTCCCAACCCCAAGACAGGACCTCAGAGTCACAGAGCTCTAACTCCATTCCCTGAACTTTTCTTTCAGATGATACAAGCAATACAAGTACTAAGGTTTCATCTTTTGGAGTTAGAAAAGGTAAGCAGGAAATAACGCTCCCCGTGTTGATTAAACCATTTCCCTCTCCTAGTTGAGTTGGGATGTTTTTAACAAACCTCTAGTGTGAGGGATTGAGCACCTGGAGATTTTGAGCATGTAACCATGTCCATCCTTCAACTCGCTTCTCAACACAGGGGCTCAGAGGGTGGGTGAATCAGGACAGCCTTGCCTTTAAAGTAGCCTCCTCCTCCCCAATATTCCCCTCAGGCATTCAGGATTATTTTGAAATGCAGCAAACCATTTATGTTACTGGACACTCAGCCTGCTTGCATCTTTATTAGCTCAGCTCACCCTCGGCCCTGGGTTTGCATTAGGTGCAGGCAGAGTGAATCATCCTTGCTGGGTGTCTTTACATTGCTCTGCAGCTCAATTACTTTCCCCTGGAAACATACGAAACCCCTAGCTTATAAAATCACAAACGTTAATGCTCTCCCCAGCTCCAATGTTGTAATGTTTTGATGTTATTATCAAATCAGATTTAATTCCCTGGACTCCCACTCTGAACCCAGTTATTTCCAGTCCTGTTTCTTTCTCTCTCTATTGTAACTTGTTGCTCAGAGAAGTCTCTGGAGAATAATATCTGCTGCAACAATTACTCTATTGTTTCCTTGCCTTCAACTATTACACCCTTTAATTAGAGTTAGTTTGGAAGACATCACACTGTTGCTCTTTGCAAATGTAACCTTGCAACCTGGTATTTTTCCTTTCTAAAAATGAAACAAAACAACAACAACAACAACATGAGCTAAACCCTCCACCATGACCTTCGTTCTAGGTCCACGAACTGTGCGATAACTTCTGCCACCGATACATTAGCTGTTTGAAGGGGAAAATGCCCATCGACCTCGTCATTGATGAAAGAGACGGCAGCTCCAAGTCAGATCATGAAGAACTTTCAGGCTCCTCCACAAATCTCGCTGACCATGTAAGTCTGCTAGCCTTTAGCAATCTTTTAAGGCCACTGGGCAAAGCATTATTTTAACCTTGTTTTAACATCTAGCTCCACTGATTTAGTTTTCTTTTTAAATGACTCCGTCTCTTTTGGGGTCTTTTCTTCTCTTTCTTGCTTTCTCTGCCATACCCTTCATTTTCATTTCTCCTTTCTTGGACCCCCTCCTATTTATGTTGAGAGCCAAAAAACCAGAGTTGATAGAGTGATTTGTGCTCTTAATGTGTAAAGTTTTCTGGATTTGGTGACTTGGGTGTTCGCAAATTCTGTTTGATATAGTCACCACTGTGTTTTCTGCTTTCTTAATTTTGTGTAATCAGTGCAGCAGGGATAGAAAGAAGCAAGACAGTTAGCTGGACTGGTCTGGAGAGAGAGGACTGAATGAAAGAGAATTGAGTGAGTGCTGATTTCCTAGTATGTCACAGAGATGACAATTCTGAGAATTATTGGCAATCTTGCACTGCATTCGAAATAAAAGGGGTGAACAAACACATTACAATTCTCAGGGCTTTTGCTATAGAAACTTATTGTCAGAATAGGGACTTATTGCCAAATGCCTGAAGCATCTTCATAATAAAAGACAGTAACCTTGATGAACCAATTATTAACAATGTATTACAGAAAGCTGAAGGGAATTATGATTGAGTAACCATAGGTTAGTGGTTGAATTTTAACACTTTAACAGTTGGTGAATGAGGATGGAGAGTATAGTAAGAAATGACTGTGTATGTCAGGCCAGGAAAGGAGATTTCTTTCTATTCTCTCTGTTTCTAATCCTATTTTGGAACCAATCTAGTGAGTCTGATGCTAAAAAAAAAAAAAAAAAAAAAAAAAAAAAAAAAAAAAAAAAAAAAAAAAAAGCATATGTAGTGAGACTGAAAATTTGAAAAAGAAGCAAAGAGAAGAAAGATTGCAGCTGGTAGGAAAGGCAAGAGTGGCGAGGTTAAAGAGTGGGTGTGAACAGCAGTTTTATTTATAGGAACTCAAGCCTGGAAATGGGGGACAGGGTGTCTATAGATTACATTCAGTTGAACTCACAGCCTAAATAATATAAGCTGTAGTTTAATAACTTTGTGGCCGAAATATTAATTTGACACTCCGTGTGAGTTAAACAGGCATTAAGGCTTGAAGGCAGTTTGTCCCTACCTCCCATCCCAATTCCTGACTGGTATGAGAAATGAATTGGGATGCCTTAGTATAAACCTTCTATGAGGTTCTTCTCTCCCCTGCTCCAGACAAAAGTTTTGAAAATATGCAGTCATAGATTTTCATAATTAACCTTTGCACTTGTATGGGAAGCCAGCCTAAGAACAAAAGTTAGAAAAAGTCTAGAAAAGAAAACCGCAGTCTGGGATATCCAGTTCTGTGACAGAATAAATACTGCGGTGTTGAAGGCTCCTATTCTTATCTCTTTACCCTTACCTTTTTCCATCATGGTGAGGGAATCTTTGGTGATCTCCTTTGTATATTGAGTGAATGTAATGAAATCAAAAGGATGCAGCAGTGGTTATGGAAAGTTTATTTGCTGATCTGTGGCTCCACAGTGTGTTGTGGTCCATGAGGCATGACACTACCTAAGAAATATTTACATTTGTTGTTTTTTGTGTGTTTATTTTCATTGTTTTCTGTTTCTATATTTATATTTATTCACATTATTGGGAGACTGGGGAGGGATCTATTTACATGGTTTGTAAAATGAGAGGTTCACAGTTCTCGGAGCCAAAAGCTTTTCTCATGATATTTCTAGGAGTACCTACTACTTAGTTTTCTAAAACAGTTTCTTGGCAACTCTTTTTCCAGTGGATGTATACAGCTAGACCATGTTGATGTTTACATAGAAAAGATAAGATAAAATAGGCTGTTTAAAGTATTGGCTGATAGACAATATCAATTTATGAGACTATTGTAATATTTAAATATCCACTCAAGAAGGAAGTTGTACCTAAGAGGATAGTGCTTTAATAATTTATCAATCATCATCTTTGGATAAAAGAGTCAACTGTAACATTTGTTGCTCTCCTTTCAGGCCCCCAGTCAAGTAAATATGACAACTGATTTATTTTGAACCCATGAGGGCTTGCCACTTCATTGGGTGTCATAATTTAAAGCCTTTTATTTCCTAGAGATCTGAACTATAACATTTTTACTTTAGCCCCCTGCTATTTGTTTTGAAAGGAAGCAATAATTTGTTCCACCAGCACACCAAGTAGAAAACGGAGAGATTTGCCACAGACTTGTATTTTATGCAGGGACATGAGAGAAAACCTTGGAGAGTTTTCACCATTTTTGAGACTTTTGTACCATAGGTGTATTGATTGTATTCATGTCCAGGCTTCCCCCTTCAAAGCAAATCCTCTTATGCTTTTCAGCCTCTTCTACAAAGTTGCCTTCCTTCAACCCCCTAGCCAAACACAAAGTAAAAATAACAAAGAACCACTACCTGAAAAGTGGTGTGAGTGGGACATTTTCAGCATGTAAATGTGCCCAATTTGAATCTTCAGGTTTATTTTTCATTTGCTTTGATATGCATATTTAATACATTGCCCCAGGCTGGATCTCATTTGGTGAACACTGGTGCAGGGGTGATGATGAGCCACTTCAGAAAGGCCCAGACAGCGCGTTGTTTTCTTGTTTTATCTGTTGGCCCACTATTCTGATCTGAGCTTCCTCTTGGTTTTATTTGCACATGAAATGCTGAGAGCATTTCAACTTATTGGCTATGAATAATGACAGCTAAAAAAGAAGTGTAGTTTAATTTGTTGTATGCCAAGGTTTCTCTTGTGGAGGTGACAGTTTGTGACAGCTGTTTGACACCCCCAAAACACATACACCTCTACTCTTATTAAGTGGTATCCAGCTTCATTGTGTGTGTGTGTGCATACTCGTGTGTGTGCATGTTTAAGGAAGGAACATGCAAGGAGAGAGAGAAAAGCAGAGAGAAATGCATCAGAAGCAAAATATTAGGTACCAATATAGTTTCAGTATTCTTTAAAAGAATTTGAAAATGTAAATAAATAAAAGTAATAAATATAAATATCTTCAAAGCAAGTATATTGGCAGACTTAAGAATAAGTTTTATATATTATTAGTAAATCCTGTTCACATTTCATAAAGTTATATAAATAATTTGATATAACAGATGCATTAGAAGAAGACAACCATAATATTCTTGCTTTCCATTCCTTACATTCAGTGAGGTTACTGAGTTTATTCATTTATTATTAACACTTACATATGATGGGTGTAATGGAAAGAGGAAGTTTGGAATTAAATAGAAAATAAAATAAGCAATATTGATTACAATTTCGTTGTATTTAGTAAATTTATAATGCATGCTTATGTTTTTAATATTATAATGTATTTTGTCTTTTACTATAACATAATAATAATATTTATAGGTAGGAAAGAGCTATTACAATATTTTTGGAATATTGGGGAGAAAAAAATATATAATAGTCGAAGGAAATAGAACTCTGTTTTCCAGCTGCAGTTCATGTTAGTTTCCTAGACATTCAAATTTATCATGTTTAAAATAAATATGTCTAAAAAACAATTTTTAAAGAAGTTTCAACTTGAAAACTGCTGTGAAATGACCAGCTTTTTCTAGCATGTGGAGTTCCTGAATAACAGGTGATACTCACATTATCTATTTTACACAATTTTAGATCAGATATTTAGACCTAGTACAGACAAAGAAAATACATCCTCACATTTACATGTAAAGATATTACATGTAAAGATATTACATGTAAAGTTCAGACAAATGAAATCTACTTGCTTGAAGTATATTCTCTGAGCTAAGCTCTATTTTCTTGAAGCAAATACAGTTATACAATTATATTGTTATTCCTAGTTAGTGGTCATAAAGAGCTACATTTTTATTTTATTTGAAAGAATTCAGTAGAGGAAAGAAAATACAATTATGTCTGTTAACAGTTAATAGCAGATACCTTAAAATTGCCTGGATCTACTAACACCACTAAGAAAAGAAAACTTATTGTATATTTATATGTTGAAAGCTGTAATTTAAATGAAGATATTCTGGTGTTTTCTTTTGCATCTCTGAATATATCAAGTTTATGTTGACACAGTTTGTTTGTTTGTTTGTTTTTTCAAATGGGTTAGGTCAGAGAGGAGACTCTCCAGAATCTTATTTCTGATAGAATATGGGCAAGTGACTCTAGATAAATTCAATTACTACCTGAAAAATTAGAGGGAAGTGACAGTGAGGGGTGGGATAGGTTCAAGTGGTTGTTCTATAGAATATCAAGGGGGAAATAATGAAATTGGATAATAATATGAATGCTTTATTTTATTTGCTAGTTTCTTATGTTTTAGTGTAAGGTGAGACCTTATGGTATGCTATTCAAAGCCTCTGGGGCCTATTCCGATAAAGTTCTACTTCTGAGCTCTGTCCACCAACTCAAGGAAGCATGGCTGGGTGCGTGGATTTTCTGTTGTGTTGCTGCTGCGTGGTTTCTGGTGGTTGTTAGCTTTCTTAATTCCCCATTAAGAATAATTATACTATTTAAATCATTTAGACTGTGCAGTTGGAGTATGTTTTCAGTGTAACTGTGATGAGATGAAATTAAACAAAGGTTGTAATTGACAACCACATAGACATTCCCTATCAGATTTTTTGAAAATTGGCATTCTTTAATTCATTTTCTTTTTTTAATACTAAATGTTCTATGGAATATCCCAACACAATTCAAAGTTTTAAGAGGCATTTTATAATATGGCATTACACCAACAATACAAGACATTTCTGTCTTCTCTAAAAGTTGCTCGACTAAATGGAGAAATCATTTGCAAAGGGTGCTTGCCACTTCTGTGAGAGTTGCTTACATATTAATCCCAAAGCTTAATAGAGAGGTAGAAGTGGGGAGGTGAGGGAAGGACCCCAGCTTTATTTACATTTTTAAAGAGTGAGTCCAGGTTCTGAAAGCACACATAGGTCTCCTGACTTCTTATGTCAACTTTACAACACCGGAGTTGAAATTCCAACATTTGTTCAAACCACACAATTAACATTTTTAACTTTTGTAGACTTCAGTACCCCAAGATAGGAGTCCTTGTTTTATTTTTAAAAATATTTTTTGCATAATGTTAATTAGGAGTTAAAACATTATAAAGTTATGGGAAATAAGTAATTTAATTATGTATGTTGATACAAGTATATCTTCCCTTTGTTGTTTAAATATATTGAGTCAAATTAGTTGTACATGCTTCATTTACTGATTAAAATATCTTTATGTATGTTTACTATTACTCTCTACCTATGAGCACATACCCTGAGTTACTTTATTCTATTTTCCAAGTTTACATGTAATTTTTCTCTTGATGTTATATAGTTGTGTAGGTTCTAGAAGTTATCTGGTCTAACTTCTTAATTTTAAAGAGATAAAGGAAATGAGCCCCATAGAAATGAGGTACATCACTTGCTTAAGTTCACCTGACTGGTGAGAGGTGGCATGCCAGCATCTTAATTCCAATCTAATGTTTTCTTTCCTATACCATGTCCACTGCATTGCCTTTTCATTTGGGATCTAAAATGAGTTTCAGATTATTTTAGATAGAACTTGTATGTGGCATGGCCTTTGCTTTTCTCCTTGAAGCCTCATACATTTTACTTCTCCATTCAGTTTTGTATTTATTTACAAACACTTTATACATTTCACCCCACTGGCCCCATGGAAGAACCATGTGCCATGTGGAATCATTTAAATAGGGAAATAACACCAATTCACCGAGACTTATTAAGTATTCTCTTATAGGTAGGTCCCTCATGGAAATGCCATAATGGTTTAAAATGTTACAATTCCAGTGTATCTGCAACTTCAACAAGAGAGGCACACATATGATTTGCTTCCTATGCCCAGAGACTCCTGTCCTCTCTATGCTCTTTTCTAGATTTAGCAAAATTCAATGATAGTGCTAAATCAATTTTTTTTTTTAACTTTCAAGGGAGAAAACACTGGCACAATTGTGTTTTCTAGGGAAAGCTGTGTGTAAATGAGAAACAGAGTAGAGCAGCAGAGCGCTCTCCTGTGGCCCCACTACTACAAGCTCTGCCCATATTGTCTCCTGCTTTTATATTAATTACAACTTGCATTATCAGCTGTGAGTCTGTAGCCCAGCAAATAGAAAATACTGCCCCTAGAGACCTAGCTTCTTGTATCTATTTTCCATCTCCTTCTATTGTGCTCCACTCAGTATTCACTGCTTTTCTCCTGGTAACACTGCTCTGTAACACAATTACGTAAGAGCAAGAAGAGTACCATATTTGACTCCCAATTACCAAAGCCACTGGGAATAGAAACATGTTCACTCCTTGCCCTCGGGTGTCTTCATGATTTTTTTGGCTGGAGAACAGGACATATATTGTGGCATGCATATACCTGAATGCTCAGTCATACACGGGCACCCGGCGAGCGTTTCTCTTTATTTTTCTACTTGCATCATGTGTTTTTACATGCTTTTGTATGTCACTTTGGTTTCAGGATTCACTAAACTTCTGCATATAATTTGGCAGAAAGCCATGCCATTTTTCTTGAAGGATGGAAACTTGTAAACTCTAAGGGGAAGAATAGAAGAAAGGAGTTGTGATATAAACAAATATTTTAATCTCAGGGAAAACAAATTGTTAAAAGTAATAGGTTTTGTCCATCCATGTCAGTGACAGTTTTTTATGACCAAGGAGGAACAATTTTTTGTTGACCAGATTATCAACATTTGTATTTGTATATGATCACATCACCACCTTGTGTAGCTCAATACAAACAACTTGTGGTAACTCCTCAGCCTTGAAACCCCAGAGGGATTTATCTGTTCTTCCTTCTTTCAAATCAGATGACTATCGTGTGATAGTCCTTAGTTGGTGTTCAGTCTCTCAAACAAGACCATAATACTTGAGACACTCTATGGGAAATAAACATGACACTTTTTCAGGAGAGCATTTTTAAAGAGTGAGAAAGAAAAGAGGGAAGAGATAAGGGAATGGTAGGTTAAAGAGTGAACTTAAGCATATTTTGGGAATGGGCAGAAAACCAAAGACCCAATTTATTTGGAAGAACCAGCTGCTCTTAAAAGTAATATTTGCTTCTGTGGCTTATTTTTCACCCCTTTACTTTAGAAAACATCTCCTTCAGATACCATTGAAAGAAATACACTGAATTATAAACGAATGAGGCCTAACTTGAAAACTCAGCACCAGTTTAGCTGATAGGGACAAACCAGTGTTTTCAGTTACAGGAAGTCCTTCTGAGTGATCCCTTCAAATCAATGCAGCACCTAAACAGAAAGACTTGCTCCGGCTTCATATAAACGATTATATAATAGCTATTGGATGACATTTGCCTTAAAACATAGTTGAGGTGTTAGTGGTTAATTATTATAATTTTCATGAGGGGTAAGGAGCTTTTATAGCAGCCAGCTTAATAAAAAGCCTGCAGTGCATAAAATTAACATCATTGCTGTGTACAATGAAAAGTTTAGCTTAGGTGAATATGTTGCAGCTATTGCATTTTCTAAAAGAAGCCTCTAGCCTGTGTTGTCGCAGGACTAAACTCACACCATGCTATTGCTTCTTTTTCTTTTCTTTCTTTTTTTTTCCATGTAATTCTTCTAGCTCTTTATCTCATTACCGCCCGGCAAACAGCTGACACGAAGAGGCTTCAAAGCTTGAGGAGCCCCTGTATTCTGTTTGCCTTTTGCTTGAAACTATTGGAGTGGTTTCTAACTTAGATTAAAAAGAGAGCTCACAGGCATGACTTTGTCTTTCTACAGGCAGCAGAAAACCTTGACTTTTATTTTATTCTACTCAATTTCATTCCCTAATCTACTTTCTCAAACATATCCTTATTTTAGAGATCTATACCTGTGCCATATTTGTAGTCACAAAATTTCTGCTCAGGGTTTTCACTTTGAATCAATTGCTTGCCTGATAGCAGTGCCAGTATCATTATTTTATATAGATGTTATTAATCCATAGAGCTCTGGATTATTATTTCATAATCTATCAAAAATGCCAAATATTAATTCACAGTCAGTTTGCTGCAGATCTGTAGGGGGAAAAATAAGTTTTGTAGTTCCAAATAAGAACATTTCCCTATTTTTTTCTCACCTTGGTTTCTTGTTTTATTTTGGTAACATCATCCATGCTATATGTACACTGTAGAGTTGATGCTGAGAAAAATGACAGACTGACTTCTTTTCTTGATGAACTATACATAATGGCAACATGGCAAGATTACTTTCCCTTGGTCAAGAGGTTTATTTGTTGCCTATACCCACGTGGCTCTGTCTGAATTCTTATTTACCAATTCTAGTAAGAAACAGTGTATACTTTGATTGGTTTTTTTAGTGATATACTTTGTATATTTTGATTGGTTTTTTTAGTGATATACTTTGTATACTTTGATTGGTGTATAATTTGTATACTTCGATTGGTGTATACTTTGTAAAATTTGTATACTTTGATTGGTGTATACCTTGTATACTTCAGTATATACTTAGATTGGTATATACTTTGTATACTTTGATTGGTTTTGAGGAACTATTTTGCCCCTTCCTCTGGCCCCCAAATCATTCACTTGCCAGTAGGTCTGTGGGCTTAATTGAAGTCGTCATATGCAGGTGACAAGTGTACAGCTCTGGCTTTAAGGCTGGACTGTTTCGTATGCTGTTCCTCCTCTCCGTTTCTGCCAGAGGAAATTCCATCTCTTGCCTGCCTTCATGTGGTGCTGATAAAGTCCTTCCTGTACATTAGAATTCCTGTTTTCCTTTAAGCAACAGCAGGGCATTGGGAATGATCAGGAAAAGGGAGGAGGAACAGAAGAAGAATATACTCAGCCAAGTAGCATGAGCTATAACTCTTGGTTTGCCTTGCATGTCCTTTGAAACAAGTAGTTCTTCTAGGAAAAAGCACTGCTCAGTGAATTTCAAGCTTCCATGAAGCTCAAGTGAAACTCCTCTCTAGCTTACTAGATGGACAGTAGTTCACACATGTTTCCTTTTTTTAAATTATTTCTACAAATTAAAGCAAAAATCAATAATTTATTAGGTATTGATACAGTGATTAATATCATTACCTTTGTTGGTTATATAGTCAATCAGTTGATAATTTTGAGAGTTTGTATAGGTTGTTTTAGGGCAATGCATTTGAAAGATGTCAAGGGCTGTCCCATACATTGTGGAGCCTGTAATTTTTTTAATGGAGTCATTGAATTTTGCAGATGTGAATGTTCTGAAGTATTGAGTGTCCAAGAGCATCGGGACCTATTTCTTAGTAGAATGTACCCTAATTAAGATAGCGAGAGTAAAAATGACTTTTACATTTTTCATAATTTTTTTTTACTTTAGAAATTAACTTTGTTTAGGTTTAAATTTGTATATAATAAAATTTACCCATTTAAAGTATACACTTAAATTAGTTTTAACCAACATATACACTGGTGTAACCATCACCACATCAAGTTCTAGAACATCTTTTCTTTTATATACCTATTACTAAAAAGACAGCACACCATAACATGGCATGCGTATATGCCTACTGCCACAAATACTAATATGTATACATTTTTTTGTCTCTTTCTGTGCCGTTCCTTTTGGTTCTTCATTGATGGCTGAAATGGTAACTGTGGAAAAATTCCTTGGTATCCTGACATCAGAACCCTTCTTCTTGGCGAGACCACGATGATGCAACCTCAACCCACTCAGCAGGCACCCCAGGGCCCTCCAGTGGGGGCCATGCTTCCCAGAGCGGAGACAACAGCAGTGAGCAAGGTAAAAGGTCAAACATTTTCCTCGTGCAAAGTAGGCATGACTAAAATAACTTCAGTATTTTATGATATCAGTACATCTGCCGCCATGTAAACAGGAGAGTGGCAGGTTAGGGAGTAGAATCAGCTGCTATTTAAAGAGACAGTATTTCCTCTTCTTAACTTACTTTCCTTAAAAAAAGAAATCAAAGTGAGCTGTCTAATCTTTAAGTAGGCATTACAATAACAATTGATTAGTTCTGCCAATTCTTTTACAAATTTGGTTATCTACACTTTATTTCTGTGTGTATAAGTGGAATCACAGGCCTGCTTTACTGCTGTGATGCAGTAGCTTGAATTGTGCTATAAATAGCATATTTTGCCTGTAATATCAACTATAAGCATTCTCTATAATCAAGCAATTATGCCTCTAAAGCACATAAAATTTAAAAATCTGTTCTTATTAGCTCTGGAAATATTGTGGAATTTTACATGGAATCTTATCTTGGGAAGGTAGATTTTGAAATTCTTAGAGGATTATTTGTCCCCATTTCCATTCAGCTGACATGGTGACTTTTGTCACAAGTCCTAAAAATTAGAATAATCAGAGGGCAAGGGGGACATCAACTGCAGATGTTGAGGAAGCCTAGTGCAATTTAGAATAAATTTTACTATTTAAAACTCACCTATTGCACAGAGAGCAATTATATATTGGTAGGAATGACTCATCTATGGCTAAAATGATAATTTAAAGGAAGATGCATTATTGAATGTGGGCCAGGGAAGTGTATAGATTTTACTTTTTAATATTTTACATTAGATGGTGTCTGATCTCCTAGGTCTATTTCATCTCTATTATGACTGTGTTTATGGCCACGATATTTAAGTCTTAGACAGGCTTCCAAGTAGAGGACAGTTTAACAGCTCGAGCTGTAGTTATATATGCCATTTAAAAGAGGGTGTTGATGTAAGTAGGGTGCCTTTTGTCCTCCAAGCTTCTGACTAGGAATTTTGGATTTCTGAGGTTCTAGAAGAGTCTAGAAAAATGTCCTTTCTAGGATGCCATTCATTTGTGAATGGGTCCAAATTAGAATCTAGGTTTAAGCAAATTGAAACTAACACAGCGATGAATCATATCAGACGGCAAATTATGGAAGAACTTGCAACTTGCACCTATATAATATATACTGTTTTATATACTGTTTTATTTTACCAGTTAGTTTCTATATAAAAGATAAGTAAATTATAAGGCATTTTCAAGGTAACTGGTACATAGGGTCAATGGATCTGCAAGCAATGACTTAACTGTGGTTCCATGTCACAGTGATGGACTTCTCAGCATGGTTAAATCTGGAAAGCTTTCTATGACTCCATCCTTCCCACCACCCCAAATTGCGGCGACACAAAGGGTGAAATGTATCTATTAATAAAAACAAAATACTCTAAACATTGTATAAAAGAGGGGAAAAGGAGAAGCCGACTTAATGGTCTAATGAGGCTATCTTCCAGAGACTTCTTGTGTGTGAGGCTCACTTTGACCTTTCGCTTTGCTCAGGAGCCCAGCGCCTCATTTTTCACATTCTTGCAATTACGTTAACGCTTCAAGCATTTCTGACTCCAAGTCAGCTAGCAACACCAGGCATAACTCAACACTGTGAGTTTTTCTCCTCTCTGTAGATTCATTAACAGGTCACCAAGGTCCCAACTGAAATTTAAAACTGACTGGTTCTGTTGGGTTAGTTGAGTTATGGCAAGGGAGATAGCAAGAAAGGGCCAGAGAGAAGAGGAGGTGGGAGAAAGAAGAACCCAGGTTTTGGAGTGGGGATTACTTGTAATAACGAGCAAAGCATAAAGTTTTAGCGTTTCGGTTAGTTAGTTTTGTTTTTTAGGAAAGAGAAGAATTCTGAGACTGATATATAGGTAAAAACAATCACACAAACTTCTGTGCTGTGGGTAGATGCACCCACTTATCCAATGCTGAAGGATTTGATCCCTGTAGGATTCTGTTCCTTTAATCATGTCTCTGCGGGATTAAAGAATGGACATGGTAGCTTATGTGTATGAGTACTAGGAAGTCAGTCATTTTACTGTATCGAAGTTTGAAAGAAAAAAAAGGTATGATTTCTATAAAATGGGGACTATTTTGGCATAGAAAATTTCCTACCTGGCTTACCACATCAGTGATTAAAACACATATATAAGAGCATTCTGGCTTTTTACAGCAGACTTTAAAATTTGAAGGCCAGACTTGAGTGTATGTTGTCATACTCATGCCTATATTAGTCTTTTAAACAGGGTTTCAAGGTATTTTGATATTTTGTCCCACCGAATTGTCCAGAGTAGTTTCAGTGGGAAAGATTAATTATCTGCTTCAGGGCAAAGTCAACAGAGATATTGACTGAAATCGCATATGCTTATCCTAGGTTAAATCTTAGGGTTGATGTATAATGGAAAACGTGGGAGAGAAATTTATGTCCTTAGTATTAAATATATTATAATGTTTCATTGGAAATCAAGTTTGTAGTTTCGCAAAGAGTTTTCGCATTCAGAATTTATTAGCAAAACAGGCATATGGAAAACTGTAAAATGATTCAGTTTCAAAACAAATTATGATAAACACAAAAAATAGGGATGAATTGTACTAAATACAATGTTTTCATACACATTTTAAATTAAACTTTAATAGCCACATGCTATAAAACAATACATGTATTTATGTTGCTTTATAATTTTTGTGATTATGTTTACTATAATGATTCATAGAAACTTTACTTTGGAACCTAAAAATACCTTGTTTTATGACCTGATAGTGAAACAGCTACAGTTACACAGGTGAAAGTTCATCTTTTCCTCCATAGTGTTTCAGCAATGAACCAAAAGGAGGAGAAAAAATGTATATCACATTTTTAAAATATCTTAAGAAATAAACTTGGTAAAATGTGAAACCTGACTTTACTATCTTTCAAAGAGCACATGTCTAACAGTAAGCTATATAAATATGAACCAGACTTTTCATTCACTGATTTCTCTTGCTAAAAGCAGCCAAAGGAAGGGAGTTTGTCTTGTTAGTCACATTAGACGGAGGAAGAAAATCTGGTTTTTCAAGGATGGAATTAGGGTGCAGACTTGGGGCTCTGGGGAAGTAACTGGCCCTCTTTGTGTCTGGCTTCCCATCAGTAAAATGGGGTTTGATAATAAGTCTAGAGATCCCTAATTCTGTACCTGCTGAGTCAAAAGCTGCTTTGTATTTCACTGTGTATTTTGCCAGAGTAACGACTAGGAAGCAGCCCCTTGTTCCTAGAGCACTTTGAGAGCCTTAGATGAAAGACACAATATATGTACAAAGTATTATTATTATTGATGGGTTTGTGTAGCTCCCATTAACGCTGATGGGAGTTACGCATGTGAATTGGCAAGAGAATAGACCCCTCAGTGTTTAGAGCACATGAAATTTACATTTTTTCCAGTGCTGTAATTGAGATGTTGACAAATTGGAGAATATTGATGAGCCTTTGTTTTAAGTATTTCGTGCCAAGTTTGTTTTATTTTTCCTGGTTTGAACAATGGTATGGGTTCAGCCGCAATGAATAAAAAGGGTAGAGTAAAGATAACTTTGTATTTCAATATTTTGATGTGCCAATATGAAATAAATTGTCTTAGGCAAATGGAATATGCTGTTTTAATCATTAGCTATGCATGAAAGAAAAATTGATGTTGACATCTTTGCTGTAAAATCGTTGTAATGGGGCCTTCCTTACAATTCATTTTTGTAAAATTCATTTTGTACATTTTGCAGCAATTGAACAATCCCTGCACTGTGAATAGGCAGGATTCCCAGAAATACCGAGACAGTTGGCCCAGTAACTGCTGAGCTCACACTGCACACCACACGCACGTTAACCATACTGTTGCCAGACCCAGTTAACCTAAATACATTAGCATTCTAGAATCTATATTGCTCTAATCTTTCAGGACACAGGGCTGTACAAGCCAGCATAGTTCTCCCTAACTCTGCCACCTACCACGTCCCTCTGTTGATGTCCCCATCTATTTTCCAGGCGATGAGGCTAGAATTCCTCATAGCTAGATATTTATTTATGTATTATACAGTTGTTTAGCAATCATGGTGTTGAAACCTACAAATATCTCCTTAGTAGTGAATGTAAGTGTTTATAGGTAAGCAAATGTCTAAGATAGTATTGCACTTTTGAGCTTATAATACATGTTATAGTTATAAAATAGTATTTTTTTCCCACCAAAGTATTCCAGTTATATATTTAAAGAGGAGGAGGGGGCTTCAAACCCACTTACTGTGGGTCCTGAATATGTTCTACTGGGATTTCTTATTCAGTCTAGGAAAACTCTGTCAATGGAATGTTTTCATAGTGGCGGCAATCTCTTTAAAATAACCCTAAATACAATATGACAGATGCCATCTGGCATAATCTTTTGCTAGTTGCTTCTAACTTTTATTTTTCCTAGAGCTAAGTTCATCCAAAACTGGTCACTTACTGTTATGATAAATACAATGACATTTTTTTTCCTTCCTGTCCTCCTAATTGTGTCAAAAAAATTCTGTGAGACTATAATTGATAATTGAACATTGCCATAGAATAAACTGTTGTATATGGACTATTTACATTGCATTTTCTTTCTCTTTTCTCCCCCCAAATAAAATTTAAAATAATGCCATTCTTTAACCATCAGCAAACATCCAAAGATTTTCTGTTGATTTTTCTCAAGACTTTTTAGAGTAGTAACCATTAGAAGTAAAATTAAATTCTTCTAATAAATAAATGCTCTAGGAGCATGTAATGGTGCCCATAAATGCTTAAAAGGTTTCTATAATTGCTGTTAATTTTGAGTAATTTCTTCCTATATGTATCAACTTACTTGAGAAACCCAGATTTGGGATTTCTAGATTTTTTTTTTAACTGAGTCATGTAAAGGGATGTCTCCTGATGCCAGTTAGAGTTTAATTTAGAGTAGTAATTAAACTTGAATACTGCCTCATAAACAAAAGATAAACAATAAACCAGCCACGTTCCCTGCTGTTTCATAGCTTTCTTTCCCAGATGTTTTAGCCTGATAATTTTTACACAGTGAACTACCTAACATGGAGTTTTGTGGACAGAGGTAGAAAATGAGTTTTCTTTTTTGGTGTTTTTTTTTTTTTTTTTTTTTTTTTTTGGTTGTTTTTTCCTGGCAATCCTTTTTTCCTTCCAAAAAGCAAAATGCAAAGGATTTTTCATTATTTAGATTTTTTTAAAACTCTGGTGAAATAGATATTTAATGGAGATGTGCTTTAATGGTAACTATGGTTTTTTTCCTTAGATATTGCTTTTTTTTTTTTTCAAAATTAATTTGGTCATGAATGTCTTTCACATCTGGTAATTGAAAGAGAACCATATTTTTATTTAAGTAAAATCTCGATAATAAGTCAAAGAAAGAAAAGCTTGACAGTGGAGAATTTTTCTTTTTACCCTTCTTGCCACTTCTCACCGGCATGCATTCCCACTCACGGCCAGTGTTACTCTATGGCTCTGCTCTTCCTTGGGCTACAAGGGTTTCTCTGTCCAGTTCTAGACTCTTCCACTGTCAGCCATGATCTTTCTAATTGTCAGGTACGAGTCAGCCGTTCAATGCAGAAGCCATGTTATTTTCACTGGGTGGGGTAATTACTGAAAGCTGAGAATAGCTGCACTAAAGACAGAGGGATACTTTCATGATCCCATTAGCATAAGAGTGGGTAAATTATTCATGCCAAGTGAGGATTCTATGGGGAAAAGTATAGTTAATGCACATAGTTTTTAAATGTATCCCTTTCTGCTCTGAGACTAAATTCTTGTTGGAATCAGTTCTCAGACATTTACGGGAAAGCTCTGGTGGCGTGTTAGATGCAGTTCATCTCTCTCTGTTTGCAGCGCTCTCAATAGAGACCATCTGGCAAAGATCCAAAAGGTGATTAAACAAAATGATCAGCTCTTGTTGCTGTGTTACATGTCCAATACTCTGGATTAAAAAACATGACCCAGGACAGTCAAGCTAACGTCATGCCGCGCCCCCTTCCCCCTCCCCTCTCGGTATAAGAATTCAGATGGTCCACAAATGTGTGTGCCATCTTTGTGTCCTTATGGCCCATAATCATGAACAGGTTGTGCAAATGGCTCTTTCTGTAGCACTGTCTGTTCCAGCACCATAGAAGCATTTCATATTAATTGGGTCAGTCTAATATTCATATTGACATGGGGAAAAATTACTAAAATTTATTCTTATAGCAGACAATGAATATGTGTGCTTTCTGCCATGAGGGAAGTGAAATCTGACAACTGGCTTGTGCAACTGATTAATTTTTCTTGAAACTGGAGAAAATCAAAGCATGAAAAACTGTCATTCTCTGAAAGCAATGCACAACCCTTTTATAACTAAACAAAATGGATTGGGTAGGGGGCTTTCGGGGAACTTGTAGAAATGAGCTCTGGTTTTAACGCCATAATCAGGGATGAGTTTACAGTGCCATTCAGAAGAGTCCTCCCTCCTCATAAACAAGCTGATAATCACAGGGAAGCTGACTTCCAATTAGCTTCTCCTTTCCTCACACGGATCAGGGTATTTATATGTCCTCCTTGAGCTTTGATATGTCACTACTGAGTTAGTACATCTCGTGTCAAATTTGAAAGTTTGGAAATAAAATGTTTTATTATGAGGAAATCCTGCTAATAAGCAAGGTAATTTTCAACCAATCATTTCACGACTGAGTTAAGGTAAAAATGCCAAGATTTGTGACTAAGGGACAGATGTATCTTATCTTTGGGGGTCTGCACCAAATGCCAAGGAGAAATATAAATTGAACAAACCAGACATTGTGAGGAAGTGATTGAAGAAATATTGAGATGAAATCTTGGAATGAAATATATATGTATATTTATAACAATGCTGTGAATTGCTTACATGTCACATTTGCATAAGCCTGAACTGGGATTTTATTAAGGGGCAGTTTAGTTAAGGCAAAACATAAGACTATTAACTCATTAGGTGACTCAGAGATTACAGCTGACCATTTAATATTGTGGAAATAGTCTATGACTCATATTATAGGATAAATTTAAGTGCAAATGTCAAGGAAGAGAATAAAGCAGAAAAGAAAAAATTCTCAAAAACCACTTTAAAACATCATCATTCCTTGTCAGCCATGCTTTCTAAGGAAGAGTAAAGCAGTAGGTAAGAAATACAGATGGGCACAGGACTCAGGGAGGGGAAGTGAGGGTCCCCTAGAGTCAGTGCTGTGTGCCAGATGAAAGGGACTCACATAGCCTTGGGGGTCTTAAGGCTATTATAGGGCAACTCATGCTCTGTTATCATGCTGATTTTTCAATTGATTTTTGGCTGAACAGTACTTGTTGAAGCCCTCCAGAGCACCAAACACAGCCTTATGGTGCTATACATTGTAATACACGTGTTCTATTTTTCCCTTCATTGTCTTTACTTTGCTTCAGAAGAATAGTCTGTGATGACGCCATGTTATTTTTTCCCCTTCTTTCTTTCCGATTTCTACCCTCAGAGAGTTTGTTGAAAGTCTTATTGCTTTTTTGCTGGGGAGGAGGGTAGTAGGAGAATCACTTTTTATTTTCACATGTGGAAATTTGCTTTTAATTTGGCCTTTAAAAATATTTTATGTCACAGCAGACAATAATATACACCACTTTTATATACCAAATTTATCCCTCGGTAGTCTTGAGTTATTCACTATCTTTCTGAGGACCAGCAAAAAAGCAACAACGGGGTTTCACTGAAATCTAGTTCCTCATTAAAATGAAAGTGAACCACTTTAGTATCCCTGCTATACAGCAATAAGTTTCCTCAGCTTGCTGGAACACAAGGTCTCGAAAAAAAAAATAATGAAAGAGACCTAGAGGGAGTGTGTCCTTCTCTTCTGCCTGCCTTGGAAATTCGTACAGATGAAAATCCTGTTCTGATATTATCTTCTCTGTGAGCCTTCCTGATCTGCCCAGGTATGAGGCCGTGGCTCCTTCTCTGCACTCCCATGGCACTTTTTACCTCTATTATAACATCTTTCACACTGCGTTGTAATTATTTGATTCCTAGTCTCTCTCTCTCTCCCTGCTTTTCCAAGGTGCAGATTATCACTTCTTCGATTATCTGGCATTAGTATGTCCATTTTTGAAGCAATAAACAAAATCCACAGATTTTTCTTTTTTCCTTTTTTAAGATGTATAAGTTGATCAAAACTTGGTGTGTATTGGTTCACTGATGTGTGCCTGAACATAAATGAACTCTTTGGAACGTATGGATATATTCCATCAAATTCCATTACATCTTTAAGAGATAAAAATTATTTTGTTTTACTGAACTTATGTTGTATTCATTACTGTCTTAAATATGTCAATGGACCATCAGCTCAAACTTAGCATTATTTCGTTGTAGGTAGGTTCTTAAATTTTAGGTTTCTATTTTAAGTATTACTTTAAGATAGTACTTAAAATGGGACTTATTTGTCCTTTAATGTCTTATATTATGTGCATATGGTCAGAATTTGGAGATGCAATTTCATTATGTTATCTATACAAAATGTATAGATGGATGTCTTTAAATGTAATGGTATATCTAATAGTGGAAAATTGCTTGGTGTGGCAAATAGTTCTCATGGACTCAGGATCCATTTTGCTAATAAGTGTTGTTTAGGATAGGATTGACCTCATGGAAGTCATTGGTGGGTCTTCACACACAGGTAAAGGAGCCTGGAAGTATTTCATGAATTTTTAGGCCCCACCTCCTGTTGTCGATTTTCTACACATGTCCTCCAGATTTTCATAGTTTGCATTTGGGCAAATATAATTATTTTTGGTGATGCAAGCAAAACCTTGTAGTGAGTTCTTTTTCATCTACATGGGTTACTGTCTAGAATCTTGAACTATGAGTCGAGACCTATGCTCAAAAGTCATGATTGCATTGAAAAGGGCACAGACCTAGAAGACAGAGAGACATGAGTTCCAATCCCAGTTTTACTCAATATCTGCCAGATTCAGTCACTACATCTGGAAAGTGAAGTGCTTAATATAATCTCACTTATATTAAGAGAGATTCCATGTGTTCAGCAAATAACATTGCCTGGAACCAGTAACCGTTGGTTCCTTTATTACTCTCTCTCTTCCCTTTGTCCTATGCTGACATTAATTAGCTATATGACCTTGGCTGTGTCCTTTAATCTCTTTGGACTTTTGCTCACCTGTAAAATAAGATTGAATTAGATGATCTTTTAAATCCAAGCTCCAGAAATCTAATGTTTCCATTCATGGGTCTTAATTTTTATTTGTACATTTTATCTTTTAACATAAAGGGAGGCCACAAGCTTTTCATCTGGGGTATAACATGAACTTTTTAATTTTTTTGATTTATTATACACAGTGAAGTAATATTTCTGTTTCTTGTTTTTGGTTGCCAGGAGAGCCTTTTTCTTCTCAGTTTGGCAAAAATATGACTAGGCATTAGAGTTTATTTTCTGAGGATAGTGGAATGCCACAATTCAGATATAGGACATCTAAGGTGGTAGTATTAATACCAATAGACTGTTCTATCTGCTAAAATATGAGGCGTGTTTTGAAAACACAGAGCAACGTCTCCATCCTCCATTATCTAATTAGAACTCACTCAGTTGGAATTTTCTATACTTCACAAGTGGAACAATAAACGATCATTATTACAGAGGCTGAGATTCTACCCACTCCTGAAATATGTTCCAAATCATTCCAGAAAAAAACCTAAATAATTTTCAGGAGAATTTTACAGTTACATATATATTTAGCCAAATTATAATTATTTAGACTGTAAATTCATATAAAATATAGATAAGTACCTTATCTTAGTCAATGAAATATTTGTTTAATCAAAACACTTATTCCTTAACCCTTCCAGCTGGAGATATGACTCTTGCCTCAAAACCAATCATTCTTTTTTTATAAGTTTGAAGATTTACGAAAGTAGACTGGGAGTGTAAAATTTCATATCTCTTCTTCCAACTAACATTTGTAACAAATGCCATCCACTAAAATAAAACTTTCAAAATTTCCATGTACTAAATGTGAAAGATGAAAAAAAGTTGATAAATCATTGATTATTGGAAGCTTATGGACTCTACCTCATGGATGTCCTTTTCTGACAGGTTGTCACACACTGGGGCTGATGTGTAGATGCACACCACTCTCTGGAGTCAGGGAGCTCTCACTCTCTCAAGACCTCTTCTTAGTGTAGGCTGTTTAAATTTAATACACAAAGATATTCATTGAGCAAGGCACCTTGGGAATAAAAATATGGAAATCACAAGGGTCCTTATCTTCAACGGCTTACCTTCTCCCAAGATGTGTGTTTGTGTGTGTATGTGGTGGTGGGGGGAGTACCATGACAAATGTGCAAGTAACTCTTACACATGGCAGGTACTCAGTTATAGGGGGAGCTTGTTGCAGATTAAACGGCAGTTTTGGAAGCAGGTGGATCTGAACATTCCTCTTTGCCCTGCCACTTCCAAGCAGCAATATTTCTGAATGTTTGTTTCTTCACCTGTAAAATGGGAATAATAACTGTCTCATAGGGCAGTTGTTAGGATTAAATTAGCACTTGCTTTTAAAAAGTCCATTTTGGTGACTGACTAATAGTGGAGCCCCAAAATTATTCTCTTCATTGAACATTTATGGACCATATAATTGTGTCAAGTACTGTCCTGGGTTCTAGGGTATGAAGCAAACAAGATGTGATCTCTTTCCTCAGCAAGTTGGTAATATTTAGTAAGCAACTCAGAAAGGTAAACGAATAAATACACATGCTTCTAATGTTGCATTTAACATATAGGTTGTAAGGTATTTCAGAAGAGGGAGTGATTACTTCTGTCTGAAACATCTGTGGAAGTCTTCACAAAATTCGGAAGGTTTTAAAAGATTTTGATGGTGGGGGAAGGGGGGAGGGATATTATTAGGAGATATACCTAATGTTAAATGACGAGTTAATGGGTGCAGCACACCAACATGGCACATGTATACATATGTAACTAACCCGCACATTGTGCACATGTACCCTAAAACTTAAAGTATAATACAAAATAAATAAATAAATAAAGATTTTGATGGCCTTCAGTGGGTGTTTCCAAATGGAAAAAGTAGGGAAGGTGCAGGGAGCAGATAAAACAGCCAGCGCGAAGGCGCATAAGTGTGATGCAGTATATTGTGCATGGAGCAACAACTGGGTTGATATTGCTGTTTGTATGAGAGAATGCATGGTGAAAAAAAAGAGGCTGGAGAGGCAAGTGGGTGCGTACATGAAGATCCTTTTTTACCACACTAAGAAGCTTATGCTTAATCCTGTAGAGCACTGTTTACCAAACTTTCCTGGTGATAAGTAGCTCCTCAGATGCATATAAATACAGATTCCCTGGCACACCACAGACCACAGGAATTACACAACCAGGACTTTCCAGTGGGAAATGCTGGGAATCTGATTTTCCAGGCCATATGCCTGGGAAACCCTGTTCTGGGATGTGAATAACTCATTTTAAAGAAGTTTAAGCAAAAGGAGTTTATGATGGGGTTTACATTTTTAAAAATAACTCTTGTAGAATGTGGAGAATACATTTGAGAGAAAGAAGACTCCATATAGAATATAGATTAATAGTCTAGAAGGTGGGTGCGTGTTGAATGAAAGTATTGGCAGTAGAGTTGGAGGGGAGAGGACTGACATTACATGTGGGGAGAAAGGAAGAGGACAAAGTCCACAGTAACATGCAGGTCTCTCCCTCAGTGCAGGCACCATAGTCGAGGTAGTTTTCTTTTTCCCTGCCATGTGTTTGAAGTATGCATATCTACCAACCAGTAGAGAAGAGGAGGAAGAATATTTCATTTGCACATGCAAAGTTGTCAAAGTGGAAACGCTTGATGCATGTTGGGTGAATAATGATTCTTTTTGGGGCATAGAGCACTCACAGGCAATGTAGCATAGTGGTTAAAGGTATGGCCTCTAGTGTTGGCCTACGTGCCTTTATATCCTCAGATCTGTCACTTATCATGGGCAAATCTCCCATCCTTCACTTTACATCTGTAAAAGGAGGGTAATAAATAATACCTAATCTAATAGATTTGGAGTGGAAAGTAGGGATTAAATGAGGTGATTTATGTAAAATGATAGTAATTTTATGCCTCATTCATAGTAAGTAAATGTTATAAATATGTTTTATTTAAAAGTTGCTTTCAAAATAATTGAAAACTGACCCCATGCAACAAACATCATGATGAAGAACTAAAAATGAAATCCCACATTTATCCCTGGAAAAGAGAAGTTATGAATCCCTGGAAAAGAGAAGTTATGAATTGTAAAGCTAGAAAAGCATCCACCTACTCTAAGCCTGGCCCCAAGCCCCAAGCCCGGACTTCTAGTTGGAAGCAGATCTTTTCCTCTGAAGTCTGATTACACATTTCGGACACACGAGGTTCCCCTGGTGCTACAGTAATTGGTTACATGACTTACTTATTATCTTGCTTGACTGTAAGATTCTTGAGGACAGTTTCTATGTTTTAGGCATCTCCTCCCTCTTCTAGCCCCCACTGTGCTACAATAATATAGGAGGCCTTCAATAATAATTATTTTTTTTTGAAAGGAAGATTGGGTCCATATTGTGAAGGACATTGAATAGCAGACTGGGGAGTTTGTGCTTGATTTGCTAGGTAATAGGGACCTATTGAACAATTTTGAATGGGGGTAGTGACATAATTGCCTTCCTTTTGAATACCAATGACAAATTCTCTGCTATGTCCTCCATGGTCAAAATAGCAGACCCGTATGCTTCCCTGAAATACGGCCTGTTTGAAAGACTGGATATTCTTTTGAGGGAAGAAGCAAATTTCAAATAGCTCTTTAAAAAAAATAAAGCTTTGACATTCTCTCTAAAGTACTTTAGGCACTTAAATTATTGTGATTCCTTAGATCCCATGTATGTGACACCATTCTAGAAACTTGTAGACAGGGCACAAGGGCACATTTTTATAAATTTTTTTAGCATTGTTGCAATTATTAACACCTAGGGATGACTTAACAGGATTGAGTAAATATATCTTCTTCAATATTTAGAAAACTATGGTTCCAAGAATATTTAAATAGGCATTACTTTAAATGAACAAACAAACAGAAACAAAAAAGAACTTTGTGGTTAAATAGATTGAAAGCTGCAGTAGAGCAGGGTATCCTCTGCTACAGGAATGTTCAGATCCCCTAATTTGCTAATATGCATTTCAAGTCTGCAAAGTGTGGAGAGACAGAGCTTTCCAGACTCATTTAACCATTGAAACGCTTTTATGCATTATCTCTGGGGGCCAGTCTTTCTCAGAACACACTCTGGAAAATGTGGTCCGGGACTCTGCTTCTCTCATTGAAGTACCTTTGGATAGAGTTTAATTTTGTAGGGAGTCTTCCTGCATCTTGTTTTTAAGAGGTGGGTCAGCATGGGCTCAGGATCAATTTTCAATTGTAATTGTGTAAAAATAACTTCCTTTATATTCAGAAGTCTCATGGACTTCCACTATACTTGTGCAGAATGTTCCATTAACCCAGCTCTCCATGTAGTTATTCTTCATTGTATTAATCAAACAATGTGCCTTGAATATCCCTTGAGTGTTTCATTAAAAGTAAGCACATTTGGTTACACCCTCTAAAATGTATAAATGAGGATCCCAGCAGACTTTTACTCTTGACATGAATTGTATTAACAACTAGCTTGATGCATTTTTTTTTAAGCGGCCATTGAGTTGGAGGTTGGGTGGCAAATCCATGAAAGAGGAAGGAGGTGAGAAAACAACAATCTTTCCTCATTTGGAGTGGATGGCTTGGTTCTGCTTGCTGCAGGTGGTGAGCAATGGACTGGATATACTGTCCACCCATGGGAAATTTCTGGGAAACAGCTGCAAAACCCCACCTTGTCTACATCTCACTGTCCTAGATCTCTGGTTTAGCAAATATTAGAACTGGTTGCCACTGATGGGTGTTGCATCTACTGTCCATAAATTTTTCGCTGACTCTCTTATTGTTGGAGGATCCCAGAAGGTATTTTTGTCATGATCGGGGCATTCAGGAGGTCTAGAATTACAGTCCCTCTTGGTTATCAAGTGAGGTGAAACTCTTCTGCATTCCTACATTCTACCCCTCAGTAATGTGTGGGGGGATTGCCCACTTGGATGTGTCACACCCCCTTTTGGCTGTGGGAAGGAGAATTAGGCTGGGTATACCTTGTCTCTCCAATTTTGAAATGACCAAGAAGAGGCTTGTGGTACAGTTAAGACTATCTTTGCCATATGATGAGAAAAAGTTGATTTTGTCTTGTTTGTCAAGAGACTTTCTGCAAGATTTTGAACGCTTCATAGCAGTTAGCTCAGAAAACTGCAATACCTCTAAAGAATGTTCTTCCTATTTTATACATAGGAACATAGACATATTGGGAGAATCAGTGACCTTTAACATCATCAATCACCTTAAAAAACTGAGAGTAGAAACAGAATTTCTCTTCTTTATCCAACCAGACTGATGTTTCTACACACATGCACTACATATCCTAGCATAGTTATTAGCCACTAAATGGATGAGAGTTTTCTCTCTATTTCTTGTTCTAAAAGGAATTCTAGATGCTCATTTTCTGCCAGTATAAAATATGAGTTGCTTTCAGCTGGCAAAAAAGAAAAAAAGAAATTGGGCCCTGGCTAACGTAAAATTACAGCAAAAATAATGTGTCAGACTTTTTAAAAATTAGAGGAAAAATTGGTACTTTTATACATTGGTATGTTATACTAAATGTTGGGCATTTAATGCAGAAATATCACAGAAGCTTCCCTTTGAACATTGATAGGGACCTTGAAACCTGCTGCTTTGTAGGCAGATAGTGAAAGTGGAAAATGAAGTTCATGGACGTCTTCCTACCTTATATAACATCTCTACCCTAGAGACAGTAATCTCTGAAGCTGTGACTTAACTTTTTCATGTGCATGGAGGTAACTCCTAAAAAAAAAAGATTTTACTTAAACCTGACCTCTTTCTAGTCATGTTGTCTAGTAACATTTGCTTAGTTTTTATGGTACACTTGCCAGTAGGAGGTAAGGAAAACAAGAATTGAAAAATCAATCTTGATTATGGAGGGCCACTCATCTAGTGCTTATTTTGTAGGTCAGCTCTGTGTAGCACCCTCATAATGAGTGCGGAGTGCTCAGTGCTTAGTTTGTGATAAATACACATTGGTTGAATAAATTGTTGCAATTTGACGATTGGTTAATAGCTAGTAATTTGTGACAACTTAGAATTTGCTAGCATTGACATAGGGTTTCGTTCCTCATTAGGGATGTTAGCACTCCCAAAATTTGTTGAGTTTGTCAAAGCGTCAGTCACCAAATCTGTGATGCATTTATTAGGTAGAATTGAGTAGTCATAGGTAGAAGAAAGCAGGATACAAAGTCATGGCTTGAGATTCCTCCAACTCCTGCAAACTTAAGGGAAGTGATTCCACACTTTATAGAGAGATTATAATTCAAAACTCAAATGCTCATAACTTTGTTCTTAAGAGCATGAAATTTGAAGTTAGACCTAAGTCTGAATTCTGACTCCCACATGCAATGTGACCTCTGGTGACTGATTTAATTCTTCGAAGCCTAAATTTCCTCATTTCTAAAATGGAGTTAACCATGCCTGTCTCATAGAAATGGTGTGAGAATGAAATTAGATAATATATTTGAAGATCTATGTGCTGGGTTGGGCATCTATAATACAATATGCTCCATAAATGTGAATAATAATAATAGCAATTAAGTGATAATAATATGCATGTGACCACCGGCTTTATTAGTTTTGGTTCCATAGCTTGAACTTTAAGCCCACATCACTTATCACTTTCTGTAAATTTCTATTTCAGGATACAGTATAATATGATTTCTTAAAACAAGAGAACAATAGCTCAAGACACTTTCTTTCTCTATTTTCTTCTGTTTTTTGTTTGTTTGTTTTATAACACAGACATACAAACATGGGCAGGGTTTGGAGCAGAAGGAGTCTCAGGAAAAGGCTTCAAATCTGGGAGAAGTATGAGGTCAAAATTCTCAGTTTCCTGTGTACCATGGTTTGGTACTCAGTCAAATGCTGTCCCATTCTAATTTTTTTTTTTTTTTAATTTCTGATTTCTGTTTTCTGCCTAAAGACCAGAAGAAAGTGAGCTCAGCAGACCAGAGTCTGAATGTGGGCCTTCTAGTTAGCCCCAATTCAGTTGGAGGTATGACGTGGGACAGCTTTAGGAGGCCTGGAGGTTATGGGCTCAGACATAAGGGTGGGAGAGCCTGGGCAAGGTTCCATTCTTTACTACCTATAAACTAGGCTTTTACCTTGTAAAGGAATTTGGTGGAAGGCATAAGGTGATAATGTATACCTGGCACGTTATAACCATCTGTTAAAAATTAGTTACTGCAGTCTGGACAACGTGGTGAAACCCTGTCTCTACAAAAAATACAAAAATTAGCCAGACATGATGGTGCACACCTGTAATCACAGCTGCTTGGGAGGCTGAGACAGAAGGATCGCTTGAGCCCAGGAGATGGAGGTTGCAGTGAGCCGAGATCATGCCACTGCACTCCAGCCTGGGTGACAGAGTGACACCCTATCTCAAAAAAAAAAAAAAAAAAAGAGTTAGTTGCTGGCTGGGCATGGTGACTCATGTAATCCCAGAACTTTGGGAGGCCAAAGCAGGTGAATCACTTAAAGCCAGGTATTCGAGACTAGGCTGGGCAACAAAGCAAGACCCCATCTCTACAAAAAAAACAAAAAAGTTAGCTGGGCACAATGGCATGCACCTATAGTCCCAGCTCTTCAGGAGACTGAGGCAGGAGGATCCCTTGATCAACCAGGAGTTTGAGGTTGCTATGAGCTATGATCACACCACTGCACTCCAGCCTGGGCAACAGAGTGAGACCACATCTCTACAAAAAATAAAGTTAGTTGCTCTTAATACTATCATTATCTCTTTAAGCTCTCATGGACTCACATTTCTGTGTGATTAGGATGTTAGGGGATTTCTAAGTTTTCTCCAACTCTAGCATGCTGTATCTATTACTTTTCAAATGATATTATTTAAAACTCAAGTTATGTCTGCAAAGGAATACTGTATATTTAGTGTTACCTTTCTTAATGTAGGTTTCTAATGCATTTTTACATAAATTTTTGTTTGATTCCCCCAGAATTTTTCAGATTTATCCCCATTTTCCAGATGAAGTGGCTTGGCCTTGGAGAGGGTCAGTTACTTGACTGTCACGATAGAAAGAGGAAGCAGAAGAATGAAGACAAAGCCATTTAAAATTTTCTTGTTCTTTACCTTTTGCATAAAAGGTATTCAGTTCACAAATGATGTAAAATTTAATTAAGGCAAGTGACTGTCCTGAGAAAGTCATTAAAACCCTCATGTCATTTCTCTAATCAAAAGGCTGCCACGCTTCTATTATTTCTTTATTACAACCCTTTATTTTTATTTCTTCAAGTTAAACTGGAGCCTGAGCCATCATAAGCCTCTTGCTAGTGATTTTTTAAATCAGTGATTTACACTTTGAAAAACCAATTTTTTTTATTTTTCCAATTTATATTGGTTAGATCCATAGGGTCACTTTGATTAGAAAAGAGAGCCATTAGAAATTAAATTGGCAATTCTAAAGGGTTAGTTATCTTCTCCTTGTTCTTAGAAATGGCAAAGAATACAAGAGGTGCTGAAGGCTAAGATAATGAGACTACTTCTCTTGTGGGACTTTCCAAAACTCCTATGTCATAGTCATCAACTTATATATAAGTAAAAATGCTTATTTGTGTTTTAGCATTTGCTCTTTGCATCAAACCTCCACTGACTTTGGGAATAATAAGATCTGCTACCCCAAGAAAGTCTGCCAATTCCATTAGTAACACATTCAACTGGATCAAAAAACTGAAGAGTTAGTGAATATTTTATATCGTGGGTTTTTAAAAGATATTTTTGTGTGAATAAAAAAGGACTTTCTCAAAGCTGCTCATTTCAATTTTCTTTTAAATTTGCTCACCAACACCGCTTAATCACCTCTGTAACCTACTGGAAGTGTTCTCTAGATGGGCTTTAAAAATTAAGCCAAGTTGATTTCTTTTTTGTTATAAATTGGCTTAGCATCTTGTTTTTATCTGGCTTGAAATATTGAAGCAGTAAAATAAAACCACACTCTTTAATTGAAAGGTGCTTCTGCAGTATTCAAACCACAGTTGTCAGTCACACGTGTTGTTCAAATTCTTCAGAGCTCCGAAATTACTTAAAGGTATCCTCAGTATTCTGAGAGAGTTATTTTTGCCCCACTACAAAATAAAAAAGAGCCAATCAGGGCTTTCTCAACTCTTTGGCAGTATTTTTCCTCTAAAGAATTTCTTGACACTCTCTTTAGTTCTTGACTTCCAGGGTTGTTCCTGACAAATCTCCAGAAATGTATCTCAGTGCCTATAGTAGTGTCAAAAGCATGAAGCCACATGTCTAGATGTTGTGACCTTACATTTCATTGCCAGCAGTTCACTATATAAAGTGCTTAAACTGCCACCTACCTAAGGGCTTCCAGAATTTACATTATGCACTTTTGAAAGGGCATACTTTGAATTGAGACTATGTAAGTACTTCTAATCTCTAGTTGACCTGATCTTGAAAACTTCTGAAAAATATTACATCATGAGTGATCATAGGAATGAGAATGATATTTCAGCATAATTTCAAAATCACGTAGTATCCTATGTTCAAAGTTTTCTGTGCTAAAGATCTAAAAAGCACATTTTGAAAATATCTAGTTATCTTTGGCTCAACATTTCAATGGGAATTAGTTGCCTAAGAAATGATACCAGACAATAGATAATTTATTCCCTCTTTAGAAATGTTGTAGTTGTTTGTTGATTTTTACTCACTGGATTGGGTTTGTGGTTTAAAGAGAAGTTAATCCTGACTTTCTTAAAACCTATAGAGTTTCAGGATTTCTTAAAGACAATGGCTTTTGATACTCCAATCCAATCCATTTTCCCATGCGTAAGTGTTCTTATAACCTTCCTTTGCTCAAGTTCTAGGACAATGTCGATGGTGTCTACACAGTTAAAATTAATTTGAAAGTTGACCAATTATTCAATTATTTTGACTAATGAAAATCAAAAATAGTATTCCATTTTGCATAGCAGTAAGAAATTAGCCTAAATGTAACTAATCAATTCACTTTGCCTGTGCAAATATGTTTTATTGTATCATTTGCTGTAAGGATTGCTAATATTATTCATAATGTCCTTTTTATTTTAAACTTTTATAAGTGATATGGTTTTTTGTTTACAATTGGGGTCATATATATTACTACATATTTACGTTGTAAATATGTTTTTATGTAAATATACAAAAGAAAAATAGAAAAAATAGAGATTTCTTATCAGCATTATATACTAACGTAGTATCTGCATTGCTGGTTTGCTTTCTGTCCTGAAAATAAGTGGATATGTACACAGATGTCTTTAATTTCCTAGTTTTCTATTTAGTTGATATATTGTATGGAGACACAAATGAGGTATTTTCTCTCTTTTGATATCTTAAGTTTTAAAATATGTTATTTTATTTTGGTTGAGATAATGTGTAAGTTATCACTGGACCTTAAGTTCTATTTAGTTTTTGCTTTTACAGACTAAATGCTGTCTTCGCATATCATTACTTAACCCACCATAAAATCCTTCTGATCAAGTTTTTCATATATGGGACAAAAAAATCGTTTTGTTTCAAATCTTGACCAGTTCTAGCCTAAGAACTGTTTGACTTAAGCAAGAATTTCAACACAGATCTTGCAGCTTAACACCCATTGGTGAAGAAATATTTTCTCTTTATATTAGTTCATTTTTCATGGCTTCTTTATAGTGTCATATGCTATTAGGAAGGAGAAAAGCTAATGTGATATGTGAACTAATTTCTTGTTTAAAAATTTTAAAGAGTGCCATCTGGAATTCAATCACCATCTTTCCAGATACTAGCTTTATCGTAATCTGAGACTCAGTTCTATTTGATTATTACCATTGATAGACAGAAAAAAGTGCTAGATCAAGGAAAAGTACCTATGATATGTATACCCAAATATGGCAGCAATAGCAAGATTATCATCATTATTATAGCTAATGCTTGACAGCTACTCTATGCCCAACATTGTGCTGTACGTTTAGTATAATTTAATCCTCATAAGCTTGTGTGGGTTTTTCAGTTGGGAAAACTGAGGCTTAGAGAGACTAAGAAACTTCCCTTTACCTGGAATATCTAGAAAGTGGTGGGGCTAAGATTGTAAATCAGGTCTATCTAATCCCTAAATCCAGACACTTAACCAGGGTACCACACCCTGTCTGCAAGAAAAGTTGTCAAATGATGTCGGATACCTAGCAGTCCTGCACAGTAGTGCACGCCAGTAATCCCATCTATTTGGGAGGCTGAGGCAGGAAGATCACCTGAGGCCAGAAGTTTGCGTCCACCCTGAGCAACATAGTGAGACCTTATCTCTAAAAGAAAAAACAAAATGCTCTTAGATACCTGTTGTCAGACCTAAAATATGGGCTAGAGATGTTCCCTCATTCTGAAAGCTTCAGGTGGGTTTTGGTATTTTCTATCATATGCCTGGACATTTCAGTAAAGTTGTTTTGATGCTTTCTAGGTCATAATGGTAACGGAGATCAGCTCTTTTCTAAAAATCCACCCTGTAAGTATTGATTTGGTGACAGGCTTGTAATGCCATATATGGTTTTAGAAAATTACTGATAGTTTGGAATTGCCATACTGAAGAGACGTCTTACCCCATCCTTGAAGATGAACATTTCTCTGACATCATTTCAAGTGTCAAGTGAACAAAGTTTTCTAAGCTACTGATCTTGATGAACAGGATGATGATTAAGGCACAGAAATCACTGGTTTCCAATTTTTAAAAATACATTCCAAAAACATATGGCACATAACAGAATTCAACAGAAGAAGGTAAATTTGGTTAAATTCTTCAGGGGTCCTTATATGTAAATTTGATGCCATACAGTTGCCCTCACTAGGATAAAATTAGAATTTGTGAAGGATCTGATTGGAATTTCTCCTGGGAAGTTGTAGAGGATGAGCATGGATATTTGTTTTGATTTAAATATTGGCCTGTTCAATCTCCATGATCGTAGGACAAGATCACTGACAAAGCAAGAAGACAGTAAAGTTGTACGTTTCCGTCTTCTTTGTGAAAGATCTCTCCTTCTGTCTCTTTGACTACATCCTTGGAGTATACCATCCCTTCTGTGGCCTTATGTTTTTGCAACTAAAACTTTATTGATTTCTACTGCTTATTACAAGTTTTGACATAGAAGGAGGGACATTCACAAATGATTTTCTTGGCCTACTTTAGCAATCCTTCTTTTTCTCTAAGAAAACAAGTCAGAATCTGTCACACTGTAATGATACTTAGGCCCCTGCTGTTCCTAGGCTGGGCATTGAAATTATGCCAAGGGCATCAGTAAGAGGGAGGACTAGCTTGTCAAGTTAGTGCCACATGCAAAGAGTATTGGCCTGGAGATCAGAGAGCTGTGAGTCATGGGTCACACTGCCTTACCTGGGCACCTGAATCTGTGGAAAGTTCTTGAGTCTTTTATTATAACTTGTTGCTCCTCAGGCAGCGTGAAAACCTTTAGTAGGCTTCTGAGCTGATGACTGACACTAGTGTGTCAGGAGCTCCAAGTTCTGGTCTAGCTATAATTTCCCCTAAGACATTTACTTGAAGAAATAAAACATTTTATTTTGAAATTTTTAAATTATATTAATTTTTAAAATATCCTGCTTGCTTTTTTCAAACAGTTTTAAGATTTTTTGAAAAGTTATTTTAAGATGTTTTATGGCTGCCATTTTATTTATAGGAAGATATCCAGATTTTGAAAGTTAAGAGGAAATGCTATACTTCTGAAAAGTTTCAGAAAAACTCGTTTGGTGACTGTAAATCTTAGTTTCTACAACCATCTCCCCAAAAGTCCAGAATTCCTGCCTCCTTTTATAATTTATTTCAAAGAAATAATTTTGTCATTTAGGATTTTTTAAAGTGTTAAAGGCAAGTATTGAAAGATTTTATGCTAGCTCAAGTCCCTAATGAATGACTTAACAAGGTAGACATGGCAACCAGCTGCTTCTGAAGATATTCTTAATGTGTAAATTTTTAGTGCGGCTACCTCTGCAACTACAAACCCTCATCTTAGTAGTTTGGTGATTTTACCCTAAAGACCTATATGTTAAAGATATTTTATAAATACGAGTGCAGTCATTGTTTTGTATAGTATTTTATGGATTATAGAAACTAGTCTGTTTCCTGGGTGAAATTTAATTAGCTATCTCTGCCCTTAAACACTTCTGCCGGCCTCGATGACCTTCTCTTAGGGCACCTGGTATATTGCAGCACTTTAACATGATGCCTTTCAAGAAGGCATCCCAATCCCTTTAATCCCCATCTTCCGTCTGTTTGACCCCTTCTTCATTGCTACAGTTAGAAGAATATTTGTGTGCACCCAGTGAGAAGGTTTATTTTGACTTTATAGATGGGATATCTAGAGCTGGAGTCCTATATTCAGGTAAGGTAATACCACAGGATGAAAAATGCAGCCTTGGGTAGCCGCACCCCCTAAGAGGATCAGATACAAATCTGTACAGGACCTAACCATGCCTATTTAAAATTACTAACTGCATCATGTATTCTCTGTAGAGAGTTCTTAACTTTTTCATTAATTTCCTTCCTTGATTGATAAGGCTGCCAAGTGTGTGATACCCTCAAAGTAGATGATAATTAAATTCATACCACTTCATTATTAAACACCTGTTTTCCTTCCCAGATTCCCTTGGCAGATAAAACATGATTCCAGCCCACAAGTTCTTATTTTTAGGGCCATTCTCTACAATTGTTAGAATTGTACCGAATCCCTGCACTCTGTAGCTGATGCCAAATGCCAAGCATCAGATTCACAGTAACAGAAATGGTGATGAGCTTAGAATCATTACGAGATCATAAACATGTGTTTTATTCACCTTGTTTAGCTGGGTCCCACCCAGTCTTATTTGAAAAGTTCAGAAACCAATTTCTTCTCTCATGTAGTTTTTTTTTCTTTTTGAGTCTGTGTCATAATTTTTTATTTTCAATTACCTTCCAAACACCCCATGAAACGTATAGAGCACACGTTCAGGGGTTACAGATACTAAACTGGCAAATATGGTGGTACACGATAACTTCCTGGAACTAAAGTGTCAATGTAGAATATGTGCTTAATTGAACACTCCATGATACGGTTTGTAGAACACTGAAATACCTACCCTAAGAAAAGTGTGTAGAACCAGAGACCTTAAAGTTTGTAGATTACACCAAACAAAACTATATACTTTCTTAAGAATATGTATTTTTGTCAGTTCCTGTTAATCCAAGGTAGCTAAAAGGTGGTATGTTGAAGCCCAAAATGAATTTTGAAAAATGTAACTCTTAGAGAGTTTGCTCATGCCTGTAATCCCAGTGCTTTGGGAGGCTGAGATGGGAGAATCACTTGAGGCCAGGAGTTCAAGACTAGTCTGGGCAACATGGCAAGACCCCCAGCTCTACAAAATATTTAAAAAATTAGTCAGGCATGGTGGCATGCACCTGTAGCCCTAGTTACTTGAGAGGCTGAGACAGGAAGATCACTTGAGGACCGTATCATAGCTCATGGAGGCTGCAGTGAGCTATGATCATGCCACTGCCCTCCAGCCTGCGTGACAGCGTGAGACCCTGTTTCTAAAAAAAGAATTTTTTTTTTTGAGACAGACTCTCGCTGGAGTGCAGTGGCATGATCTCAGCAAACTGCAACCTCCACCTCCCAGGCGCAAGCGATTCTCTTGCCTCAGCCTCCTGAGTAGCTGGGACCACAGGTGTGTGCCACCACACCCAGCTAATTTATGTTTGTATTTTTAGTAGAGATGGAGTTTCATTGTGTCGACCAGGCTGGTCTCTAACTCCTGGCCTCAACTGATTCACCCACCTCAGCCTTCCGAAGTGCTGGGATCACAAGCATAAGCCATCACACCTTGCCTAAAAGTACATTTTTTAATTAAAAAAAAAAAAGAAGGCAGTACACTTAGGAAAATTTTATTTATCTGCAAGCCTCAGTATCCTAAAGACATGTAATAACTTGGATCCCATTTCTGAGGCTATTTAATTAAGCTTTTTTGAATAAACAAGTGCACGTAATGCTTAGCTGTACAGAAATTATCAGTGTCCTTAGCTTCTATTGCTTAGTACTAGGCCAAATAATTTGAAAGAGCCTGTAATTCTTTATCTCCCATATGTAACATGTCAGCCATGACTATTTTACTTTACTCTTAAATATATAATTTATAAATAGAAGCAATGTTGATAGACTCGTTTGACTCCCTTCTAGAAATAAATGACTCATTCTGGATTGCATGTGAGAGCTTCAAGCTGCTCTAAGTAACAATCCACGACAATGAGAAAATTGTTATATTATTCATCTGGGCAGCAGGAAATTAAAAAAATAAAAAAGCAGTCTGCTCCCCTAGTAACTGGGACCTTTTGTGTGTTACAGATCACTGAGGGCAAACTTTGCATCAGTTCTGGGCACTGGGCAAATAAACTTATCTCCTCGTTTTTGTTTTTGTACCTTGTCATAAACTATGTAGATTGTTGGTCATTTAAATACAAGTGAATATATGCATTAATCAAAAAGTTATCTTAATTTTTTAATGATTCTTACAGAACAGTCTTTTCTTTTAGATCATTTTTTTCTATTTGTAATTTTGTATTTATTCAAAATATGTATGTTTGCTTTAAAAATGGGGTTTTCCTTTTGAAAGAAATCCCCTGGAAAAGGGTCACCTCTGTTTTCTTTGGAAATGCAGGAAATCAACATGTCCTCTGGCAGTTATTTTTCCTCATAATATGCCCAGTAAAAGTGGTGGAATCTTGACCCAGGTGATCTGTGGAGCCTTTGCTGATGAATTTGGTGCCACTGCTGTCCTCATTGTTTTGAAATTAAAGAGACAAGTGGTAATAGAAAGAGGAAAACACATTTTTAATGCAGAAATCATTTAGACCTGCAAAGTTTGTTGCCCACTGAGGAAAGAGCTCTGTTAGTGGTGACTGCACAGATCACATGATACAACCTTTTGACAACTGAGTGTCTGCCGGAGACGTCTGTGAGAGATGACCTTTTGACCTAGGAAGGAATGCTGTGAAGGTGGGAATGTACTCTCAGCCCTGGCCCAGGAGAGAACGTTGAAAACAGCCCCAGCTTCTCTGCTCACAGGATCTAGCTTGGTTTTCGCTTTGACTGTAGTATCAGACGATAAAAACTTGAGAGCGTTTCCTAAAATTCTTCCAGACCTTTACTATTACTCCCACCCTGTGTAATAGAGTGAAAAATAATATGAGTTATCCTATAAATGTGTGTTGCAGGTGACTTGAGAAATCAGTTGTTCTCCCTACCAGCTCGTGGGCTGGAACCCACATCTTGACCTGTTTTCAGGCAGGGAATTAAGCCCATGCACGATCCTTTGGGGGCCTTAGGTGGGTGTGGGGGGAGTAGGGAGAAAAGAATGAGTCCATTGCTGTAGAAGCATTCCCAGTAGCGATGATCTTCGTAGGAACAAAAATCCATTGTACAGGGCTGTAACCTGAGAAACTTTCTGTTATCGTGCTTGTTTTACTCACCAACATTGATCCCCGGTACATGTGACCCTTTGAAAAGAAGCACCATGTTGGTGATTCCTCTTATTACTAAATACCATTGTGTTTATAATGGCCATTTATATATGGTTACACTCCACGCCCGTGTGGTTAATAGGCGTTCTCTAACTCTCTGATGCCACCTGACCAGCACAGGATACAAGCCTCGGCTTCTTGATTACTCTCTTTACCCTGTCGTCTGTCATTCTGTGATGTTCTCTGTGAAAACAAAGTAGAGAGCTTAACATTGCTGAAAATAGGGTAGCACAAACTCTACCGGGGGGAAAAAAGACAAAAAAGCCTAGTAAAGCCTTGAAAAAAATAGGTTACTTTATTTATTTATTTATTTATTTTTTCAGTTCCACAATATGTCTGCATGCTTTGGCACTGATTTCTCAGCTAGTTGGGTCCCAGGAGGCCCCGTTGAGCCCTTTACTGCTCAGGGAGTTGCCGCTTTAGAAAATGGGGGAAAAATGTAGTTTGTATGAATTGTTCTTTACCTTGGTTTGGGTTCAGAATGGCAGCTGCACTCCGACTTTGTGTGTGACAGCACAAAGGCCAGCAAAACTGAAAAGCAAGTCAGCAAGTAGAGAGACAAAAGCAACGATCAGCTAATACAGCTCCACATGGCCTGACTAATTTATGAGAAAAAAACTGTTCTGTTCATTGGATCAGCACTCTGAGGAGGCAGGTGGAATTGTAGGAAGTTTTCATTGACTCTCCCGAGCAACTAAGGACGCCACGAGAGATTCTTCTCAGTTTGAACTTTATCAGGGTCTACGCTTAATCAATAGAGTATTGGAAAAAGAATTAATTACTAAAGCAGAATAAAACAGCTGCATTTTAAACTAAGGATCCATCAATTCGGTAATCTTCCAGTTACAGGCTAGGTGCCGTGAGGATTTGACTCCATGTAATGAGGAACCCGGGGAGTTTCCTCATGAACAGGCTGGGAATTCACATTAGCCTGTTTCAGCTATTTGTCATTAGTACAACTCATTTCTCCTCTTCTGCATTACAATTTGTATTTTATGTACTGTGGAACCCACGAAATTCCCACATTCATGGGAGGGAGGGCGTTAAGGCGGAAATCATTGTCACCCTGAGAAAGAGTCTTAACCTAGCTCGGCCTCTTTATTCTGGAAGCTGCCGCGGGAGCGGTTCGGAGCTGGACCCTGCTCCATTGTGCCCAGGGTGGGGGTCAGGGCCCCCGCCTGTTGAAGACACACTGGTTTGAACCCAGCCTGGAAATGTTTCATCTATAATTTCCATAATGGTGGATTTCAAGGAGGGCTGAGGAGGGTTATGGGAGATGAATTAGGTTTTTAGTGAGCTCATTAGGAAGCCAAACAGAGTTGAGACACAAGGCAGTGAGCGGGGCTGTAATCAGTTCTGCTCGCTTTGTTCCCTGCCTCCGGGACATGTTTCGAAAACTTTCTGGCGGGGGCTGCCGAGCCGGTGCTCAGGCGAAGCTGCCGTCCTGGTGGCTGACTTGTTGATTTGTAAACCTCTTAATTCATTTTTTTTGTTCAATTTAATCTTTTCTTTCTGAAGGAAAATTAGTTGAATGTTAGCCCTCTTTGCACTATTCACCTCTTAAATTATGCTCATTTTGAAGAGCTTGTTATGCCTGAATAAACATGAAATGACTTGGCATTTTCCCATCAGAGGCACACCCATTTTAACACCATGTATTTACCATTCCTGGAAATGTCTCATTAACTTCTGAAAATCTGCGAGCATGATATTTTGGGCTACTGTAACACACCTCTTGGCAGTCACAGAAGGCAGTTTGGTTAATGCCTCATAATATCCATTTTTATTCTCAACATGAAGAAAGACTCTCTATAGAAAATTGATGCAGTTTGCTCTGCTAATTTTCATGCTCATTCCAATTAATTTAACATGACCCAGATTTTCTTCCTCGGGCTCATCCTGACTAATTAGTAAAGCAACACCTAGAACAAGTTATGTTTAATAACATTGAGGAACACTAGTTGTGAGTGATTTTGATGCTAATAAAGATATTCACTGATGGGACAGATATTTTATGTCAATTATGGTATGTAATTTAGAAGTCCCAATGTGCTGCTTGGAGTATGGAAAGGCTAGCAAATCACTACGGGAGATAATAGTGTTTTTAAGACTTCCGCAGCACCTAAATAACCACTGGGACCAATTACTTTATTTTTTGTGGTAGAACTAGCAGGATTGTTAACTGATTCCATGGTAATGAAAGGGGTGGAGTTGTTGCATTACAAACCTGACCCATATTCACCAGGGCCGAGCTTTCCGTACTTAGTGAACCTTAGCGAGAAAAGAAAAGCAATCAGGGGCATCAGAAAGCAGCATTTGTTCAAGGAGAAGGAGTGGTTTCTCCACCTCTGTGGTTGGCGTTCTTTTATCACATTTTTGTCAGTGAGATGAATCAATTTTACTGCTTACAGCAAGGTTGAAGGTGGTGGTGGCTGTGGCAGTGGTGGAAGGTTTCCGAAGTCGAGTAATGTTGTTTAATGTTGAGAGCTCTCCACATTCTCATGAGGAAAACAGTTGAAAGTGAGGCTCTAGGAAGTGGGGGGAAAAACACACACACACAGGGAAGAATTATATTTATTTTATTTCTAACAAGTATTTCATCAGTGCCTATGATGTGCCAGGCACTGTTCTATGTGCTAGGAGTAAGGAGGGATAGGAAAACCCCAGTGCCTGTCCCCAGGATGCTTACGTTCATAGTCGAATGTATATTTCCTATTGTCTTAAGTTGATCAACCACAAAATCTTGGCATGAATTACTCAATAGGGTATAGAAATGTTATGAGGTTTTATAGGAGAATGGGAAATTCTGGACAGATGGACTCTGAGCTCTCAGAGATAGCCATCATAGGATGCAGTCAATTGGTGTCATCCCTGTTTCTGCACTGTTACCTATAAGACCTTGGGCAAATTGCTCCACCTCTCTAAGCCTTAGTTTCTTCATGTGGAAAATGTCAACTCTCATAGGATGATGAGAATTAAACAAAGGAATTCATATAAAGTGTTTAGCAGAGTGTCTGGAAGAGAGTAAGTGCTCAATAAATATTATTTTGTATTAATGCTGTCGTTATTCTAGAAAACACTTAGAGTGAAAATTTCTCTAGCGGCATATAATAGAATGTACGCTAATCATTTCTCAATGCTAATTACTGCTGTTGAAATTTGAAATTAGAATTGACAGGAATACTTCCTTTTTCTAAATATCACAAACAGGCTTCTTTCTACATCCCTCTTTAAAAACACACAAAGTTATGCTGGGCACGGTGGCTCAGCCTATAATCTTAGCACTTTGGGAGGTTGAGACAGGAGAATCGCTTGAGCTCACAAGTTGGAGACAAGCCTGGGCAATATAGGGAGACGCCATCGCTACAGAAACATTTTAAAAATCAGCTGGGTGTGGTGGCACATGCCTGTAGTCCCAGCTATTCAGGGGGCTGAGGTGGGTGGATCGCTTAAGCCTGGGAAGTTGAGGCTGTGGTAAGCCGTGATCATTCCACGGCAGTCCAGCCTGGGCAACAGAGATCCTGTCTCAAAAAACAAAACAAAACAAAACAAAACACAATTAAAAACATGCAAAGTCTCCCCACCTCCTGATTTTTCATTGGCAAGTTTTCTGTGTGTAAAATCACTGGCCTCTCATAGGTCAGGGCTTCCATTTTTAGAATTTATTTCTACTTTATCTTTTTCATCTGGTCAATACAGAAAGAGAATGTAATTGAGGGAGATTGTGAGAGTGAGGCTAGACATAAAAAACAAGCAAATTGAAAAATAGAAAAAGCAAAAGAAAAGCCTTATTACAATTGCTAGTAAAGCTGGAAATAATGCTTTATGGAATTGCCATTTTGGTAGATCAAAAAGTCAAATATTAGTGATTTCAGCTGGTTCAGCCTAATATTATCATACGCCATAAGTAATGGAAAGTGCTACAGGCAAGGCAAGAAGTTAGGAAAACTTTGACCTCACTCGCTTTATCTGTTAAATGCGGATAACAGTCTATGCCCCTACACTTGGTTGTGGTAATCAATAATTGAAAAGAATTATTTGACAGCTGAAAAATTATTATATAGATATGAGGCATTTTTATCCAAGATCACATGTTTCAAAGTTTAGAACATAAGTCTCACAATAACTAATCCAATAGTTATCTCCCTATCATGTCTTGTGGTTGATGTATAGAGGATATCAACTTCATTTCCCATCATATATATAGAAAAACTAGATATTTTAGTGGAAATTCTATAGATTTTAAAATATATTTTCAAAATGAAAACATTCTCTTGGTTATATAGTTGTTTTCACATTTTTTATCATTTAAATAATACAGCACTTTTGGGAGAATTTTTTCTCCCAAATAATACAGCAGTTTTGGGAAATTTGCTTGAGAATCTTTGAACCTTCACACACAGTATGACTCAGAATATAAATAGTTGAGGAAGTCATTACCAACTTCAGTAGATGTGCATAAGGTAAATCGGACAGTTATGTTTTAAGTGTGCCAAGACCCTCTGTTAGGAATAGTTTTACAGCTATGAAGTGAAGTTGGCCCCTCTCCAGTGATTACTGACTGGTGGTAGAAATTGTGTTCTACTGGGTCAGCGGTGAATTCCTCACTCAAATGGTGTCGAGTCAGCCGGTTTTTAATTTGTTATCTTCTCAAGAGTGCATTCGCCAACTTTATCACTGAGAAGAATGACTCCCTAGCCTAGTGTGATCAAGATCCGGAAATTTGCTGTATCAGCATATTAAGGTTGGACTGCTATTTGATTGGTAGCTCTTAGGTCTGATCTTACAGCAAAGATGTTACTTCTCTCATAGGCTGGTTTACCACAGGTATATGAATAAACCTACTGAGAAAGCAAACCCCTTCCTTTCTTTCCTGGGAAAAGGTTGAACAACTTTTCCTCTCAAACAAAAACCTTTACAGTTCCTGTTTTATTAGCTAACAGGATCTGAATAAAGCCGTGTTGGTGCCCTTCGAGTTGTCTTTCTTCATGGCAGAATGGGGATATGTCTTGGCAAACTAATAATTACATGGCTTTCAGCTCCTCACCTTTCTAGGAGAAAAAGATGGATGACAATCAGGTATGAAAATGTTTCCCACTTAAGTAGTAGCACACGTGACCCTTTGCTTTTGTGCCGTTTTGAGATATGAGTTTCGGAAGAATAAGGAAGAAGATATTTTTATAAAGCAAATGTGTTTTTCAACCAGCGGTGACTCTATTTTCATTTTTCTTATGTGAATGGGTCTTTCGAATAAGTGAAAGAAGGAAGGAAAAAGAGAATGGAATGGAACTAACCTTTATCGATTATCTAATATGTGCCAAATATCACACATCTCAAAAGTCAGATGGATCACTTGGCCATAATTGGCCGATAGTAAGTGACTGCTTATCCAGGTTCAAAGCCATAAGGCATTGTTTGCCCCACCTTTCACCCACCCTTTAAAAATATGAATTCCATTTCTGTGTAAGAATAGAGTCTGTGTGGTGAGTAGAGAGCATGGACTTGAGTTCAGGATTTAGAGTTCAAGACCCAGCTGCATTACCAACTAGCCACGTGACTTTAGGCGAGTTTCTTAACCTGTCTGGCTTCAGTTTCTGCTTATATTAAATAGGAATTACACTACCAAACTCTGAACTGTCCTGTGGTTGAGATACAGCCTGCTGAAACTGGCATGTAGTAGACAGTCCACAAATGTTACTTCCATTTCATCCTTATATGGTGGATTCAGGGATTTATCTGAAGGCATGGAGCAGGCTGGCAAGGGCTAATATTATTTCTGTATTTTCCATTAATTCTTAATCTTGAGAGTGCTCAGTCTTTCATGAATGATGTGGTTTTCCTCTGAAATTGTCTAAGATCTCCAGTGTGGTGTGAGATATTTTACTTAGAAGGAATGGGTTAAGACTGAATTTCCTGAAAGTTTTAAAAAGCAATTTATTAAGAATTACTTTTATTATCTTTCAAAGTTATTATCGGTATTTTTTTTTTGCAACTTGGATAGTTCTTCGTTAACAATATATCTTATAATGACATTTGAACAATGGAGATATTTTTTGTAAAATCTGCCAAGTGCATTCTGACCACCCACCTTACATCTTTATGAAGTTAAAGAAAATTATATAAATCAACACATTCATAAATATTATGTTGAGCTTCTCCTCACAGCTTCTTTCAAATGCTGCCCCAAATCATCCAGAACTTTGCTGCAGTTACTGGGAGAATTCCCACTACAGCATCTCTGTATTGAATGCTGTACTTTCCACCAAAATGTGTTTTATGCCAAATAACAGGTTTTTGATGATTTAACTGTACTTTGCTTATTATTTTTATGAACTTTACTGAGGTATAATTTACATACAAAAATTGCACCCATTTAAAGTGTACAATTTAATAAGTTTTGGCAGTTGTATACACTCACGAGACCAGCACCATAATCAAGATACTACACGATTCCATCATTACGCCAAAATTTCCTTACACTCCTTTTAATCACTCCCTCCCTCTATATATGTCCTCAAGTAACCACTGATCTGCTTTTGGTCATTATGTATAAGTTTGCATTTTCTAGAATTTAATATATTTGAAATCATACAGTATGTGGCCTTTTGCGTGTGGCTTTCTCCATTTAGCATGATTTCAAAATGTACCATGCTGGGGGTATCAGTAGTTTATTCCTTTCTGTTGCTGAGTAGTATTTCAGTGTGTGGATATACCACAGTTTGTTTATCCACTCAAACTGGTTTGTTTTAAGAAAAGAAATAACTAACATTTATTGATGCACCTTTGCTATTTCAGGTACTACATGAGGCTAGATGTTGTGTATGAAGTCCTTAAGTTTGTTAATAAGTATAAAGCATTGGGTACAAAGTGGGGACACAATATAAGTAATAGCTCTTTCTCTCATGATTTCATTTAATTTTTATGGTTAACCTGTCAGGTATATGTAATTTTTCCCGTTTCACAGATGAGGAAACTGAGGTTCAGAGGGTTAATCTTTTGACTGAGGTCATACTCAACCAATAAGGAATAGATCTGGGGCTGGTCCAAGTGCAGTGGTGTTTACAACTAATTGATTAAAACCAGTCACAGGTTTCTTCATTTCTTCTTCACTCACACTCTTTCACTTTGACTAGTCTTAACAAATATAAATAAGAAATAGATCTGAAAATTCAACACAAGATCTGTTTTATTCCAAAACTCATGCTTCTTCCATCACATCACCATTTCCCCCCATGAGTACGTGCTTCTGTGTTTATGTGAGGAGGGAGTGGAGGGGCAGGGTGGAGGGACAAGGACTGCATCAGAAGCCAGTCTCCAGTGTACAAACAAAGTAGTACAACTGCCCAGAGAAATAGAAAAATGTCAGATATTTAGAAAAGTATGTCGGATACTCTTCCTAATTTAGGGCCCCTGTTCTCTATTGTCTGTTTCAATAAAGTTGCTTCTTCCATGGAGTGTATCTTACAAGTTAATGCCTTTGAAATTTATGACACGTCAACTCTATGGCCAATTTACACCTCTTAGAGACAAACATTCTAGATAGTTTCTGTTTCCAAGTTTTAGATATAAACCCACAAGGCATAAAAGCATATTTCAAGAAATAAGAGAGCCCTCCATCCATTCATTTAATAAAAGCCTAGGCACAAACTATACCCATAACATATATGAAGTTCTAAGAATATGAGAAAAAGAGATATGGTTTTTGACTTGAAGGAGCTTTCAATAATTGGGTAGAAATGTAGGCATGGGATGTGGGATGTGTGTGTGTGTATCTGTTTGTGGAAGTATTCTGGAGTTCTGAGTGTTAATGTAAGCCTTGGAAGAGCAAATATTTGGGCTAGGGTTTTGCTGTGATGCAATAGAATTGAGAGTGGAGAAGGATTAATTTTAGTATGAAAGTCAATATATGTTCTATAATGCATATCTTTGTAATATATTCTATAATGCATATCTTTGTAATATAAGCAGCATAATATCTATTGCAAATTTTTCAAGTACATATATTTGTCCATACACAAGGTGCTAAGACAAGATTAGTAAGTGGCCTTGAAATCACATTGTTTGAAGCAATTCAGAAAAAATTATGGATACCTTCAAGTTCAACTACTAGGCTTTTACATTTCTTCCAGCATGCTTATTTGTAGTGGGAGGCCAAAATCTGGTCTTAAAAAAAAAAAAAAGGCCAGCTGCGGTGGCTCACGCCTGTAATCCCAGCACACTGGGAGCCGAGGTGCATGAATTGCCTGAGCTCAGGAGTTCGAGACCAGCATGACCATCGTGATGAAGCCCCATCTGTACTAAAAATACAAAAAATTAGCCAGGCATGGTGGCGCACACCAGTAGTCCCAGCTACTCGGGAGGCTGAGGCACAAGAATTGCTTGAACCCAAGAGGCGGAGGTTGCAATGAGCCGAGATTGAGCCACTACACTCCGGCCTGGGAGACAGAGTGAGACTCTGTCTCCAAAAAAAACAAAAACAAAAACAAAAACAAAAAAAACAAAACCACAACTTTATTGAGATATAATTCACATATTATGCAATTCATCCCTTAAAAGCTTATAATTCAGTGGTTTTAATATATTCACAAAGTTGTTCAATCATCAACACAGCCGATTTTAGGACATTTTCATCACCCCAAAAGAAACCTCACACCCATTAGCAGTCATTTTCCATTTTCCATGTACTTTATAGGGCCTCAGTGTCTGCTGTTCTTTCCTGTATAGGCTATACGAAGAATGATCAACTTGTGCTATCCTAGATTATTCTTATTAAGCAGCCACACAGTATTTGTTTCTCTAGGGCTATTATGTGTATGTTGTAGATATTCATTTGCATTCTATTACAAAAACATATCTGCTTGGTCTCAAATAATGGCACTACATTTATTTAAAGCAATCATCATAATGGAATATCTGAATGCATCACTTTACTTTTAAAGTGCTAGCAATTTAATTTATAAACTTCTTAAACAAAAATTCAAAGTTTGATTAGGAAACTCTATTGTATGAAAATGTTCTTTGAAAAAATGTTCAAAATATAGTTTTCTAATAGCTAACAAATATGTTCCAAATTTGGTGTGTTAATGGTTTAAAAAGTATTCACCTAAAACCAGTCATCAACTCCATAATACTATTGTTCATTTTTTCTATAGGTAACTATCACTAGCTTCCTAAAAACTTCATAAAGGGCATGTTGATACATATCTCTAACTAGTTATCTTAGTTAACATTATTATTATAGAGACGGCTATCTTTTAAGATAAAGAGTTATTGTGGGTTTTTTTCACACTAACTTTCAAAGTTTCGAAGTTACACTTTTATTAAAATATTCTTTTGTTTTCATTTTACAATAGTTGGCAAAGTGGAAGAAATATTCAAAAAACCTTCGTTTTTGTTGTTCTGCTCTTTGAAATTATATCTGCTGATATAAATTCACAGAGCAATATCATCTTAGGAATTAAAACTGATCAACCATTTTATGTTATAAAAATGTATTGTCTTATTTTTGTTTTAGATAGCAAATTTGATAATGAAGTAAGGACTCTTAAAAATGGAATGAAATAATTTCTGTTACAGATAGAACTTTGCTTTTTTGTTATTTCTTCCAACAAATTTTATTATTGATAAATACTTAGCTGACATTTAATGTTTCATTTAATATTAAAGTATGATAAAAGAGACAATAAGTTAGAAAATCCTATAGTTATTATTGATCTATACTAAAACATATAGTATAGGTTTGATGTAGTTAATACATTTTTGGAAGCAGACTAATTATATTCTAGTTTTAGTTTAAAATGTTAAAAATGTGTTTTATATAAACGGCCTTTTGTAGGAAATTCTTTTTGCAAATATAAAGGCCATATCTTTCCTTGAAAGACCTGTTGATTCAGAGATGTTAGCCAGCTATCTTTACTAAAACACTTCACAACGCTAAAAATAGTCCACTTCAGTTAAATATGGATATTTTAAAAAAGAAAATCCCAGTTAGACTGCAACAGAAGGACATTTTGTGTGACAATATTTTGCATGATTAAAAATTTAAACAGAATAACAGCTATTTATATTTACAGTTACATGAGAGTAATTACTAAAGCAGACAAAATACTTAGAGCATAATTTAATAATGTTTTCCTCTAGCAAAGGTGCCAAAATTGTTATTTGCATAATTTTCACAATTTGTACTGAAACATAGCTAAGTGAAATTGGGAAGACACATCCCTCCGACCACCTTTTTTCTTCTGTAGGAGATGTGAGAATGAGACTCATATATCATAACAACTCATTTTTGTATAATTTTCCATAAAAACCATGACCGTTGTGTCAAACTATTAGGTGAAAGAGATGGGATCCATTCATACTTTCTCTTTTAGGGTCTTTATTTCAATGGCCAGCCTCAGCCCAACTTCAAGGCTCCTAATTATAACATTTACCAGTTCAAAGATTAACCTCCTGAGAGGGGCATTCTGGGCTCTTGGTAACTTGATCAGGTTGGTCTTCTCTTGGTCTCTCTCCCTTTCTGGTTCTTTGTATCACAGGAGGGAAATGATGGTATCTGGCACATTCCTAGGATGACTTGAAGATAGCAGCCTTCTGTGTTTAGGGCTGAAGGATTGTGAACTCTGTTAGCTGAAATGCCACTCTAGGGAGGTGAACAGAACATTAAAAAAAGCTTTAGCTCTAGGTAGTGTAGTGCAAGTTGAGTCAAATTTGAGAGCTGGGACTTGAGTGGACATTTGTCCCTGCCTTCTACCTTAATAAAATATGAGTGTTAACTGTGGAAAAGGGCATTTGAGAGATCACTAAAAATGAATCATTAGAGTGCCCAGAAGAGCTTTATTATGATGTACTGTGAATAACTTCAGAACATACTCTGTACTTTTATATGTGCTTATCAGGTAACTGAGTAACAAGTACATTCTTTTATCCTGCACCACAGAGATTAAGCAATCTGCTGAATTATAATGGCAGAGGAATGTACTTTTCTACTAGGGTCAGTCAGTATCCTTTAGAGAATTCAATGGGAGACTTAGGAGAACAGAGATCCTTTCTTAAATATTTTAAAATTGGTAAGCAATATATATATATATTTCAAATGACAATGAATTAAATATATATATATATATATATTTTTTAAACGAGAATAACCACATTTAGTGAAGAATAGGCTAAAAGTGTTGGAAGCTTTCATTCTCTTCTGCTATAAAGGATTAGACTGTTCCAGTCAATAAACAAAGCCATTTTATGGTTCCTAACGGGTAAATTGAGGGGACTGATTTGGTCAAGGACCAGTATGAGGATGTTTCTGTTCAACAGTTAACAGGATTCAACATGATATGGAAAATACAGGCGTGCAAAACTATACTACGACACTCACATTGCCAGCTAAAGCCTAAAACACAGCCACATTTACATATGTGTCCATCTGTCTGTTTTTACACTTTATTTTTCCAACCAGTGGGTGAAGTGGTTTTCATCCAAGCTGCAGTCTGAATTTTTTTTTTCACCCACCACTTTCCATTATATCATATAGATGCATATTTTAAAGTGCATGTTATTTGTCTCTGGACGCACATTTGCACAGCCTTGGCTGGGTTTTCCTTTCTCTTCTGGAAGGTTAGCTCATCTCTGCAGGCCTGTCTGCTTTGCAGCTGCCTGTACCAGCCAGGTTGTCTCGGGATCACTGAGTTAGTGAGCAGTTTGTTGCCTTCTCCAGGTTGTAGAAATCTCCCATCACAGGCCAGCGTGGAGCTGCAGCAGCCACAGTCTGGGCTGGCCAAGCCAGTGAGAATGGAAGTGCTTTCGGTCTCTTCAGTGGAGAGCCTGCGTAAATCCTGTGTAAATAGAGGGAGGATAACAAAGAATGAGCCCCTGCAGCTCCGAGCATTTGGAGCCATTTGAGGCTGAATTTGCTAAATGCTGCTTATACCGCCTGAAAAGTTGAAGAGAAAGGAGCATAAAATCCCCTCTTTTTTTCCCTTTCTGCTCATACCCCGGGGGGAGGGTGTTCAGGACCAGGGAAGCCTGAGGTAAGCCGATGAAGACTTGTTTTTTCAGTGCCCTTTTGAGTGTGAAAAAGGTGGCCTGGGTCACTGTCCTCTCTTTAATGTCGGAAAACCCTCACAGTTAGTAAATGTTGCATGTAAACGAAAGCATTTCATCTCTTCTGCTTCCCTCCATGCTAGCGGGCCATGAACTAATCACTTGAAAAATCACAGAAAAATTTCACTTTAACATGTCCGGACAGTTAAGCACAGCAGGAGAGTAAAAGAGATCAGTAATTAGCAGGTCTCACTGCTGGCCCCTCATCCTCCCCGTGTTTCTGGGTCTACAGCCCCCTCCCCTCAACTGATCTGATGTGAAAAAAAGGTAAATTGCATGTAGGAAAAAATTTACTTTGCTGATGGTTTTTGGAAAGCAAGTTTTGCAAGGCTGTATTCTAAAGCAGAATTAAGCAAAAGCTTCTTCTTCTTCTTCTTCTTTTTTTTAATCTCATTTGAAATCCTGATGCAGGTTTCTCAGTGGGGTGCCCTAAATTAAACTCCTGGAAGGTAGTCCCTGACAACCGCTGAAAGAAAATACCTTTTGGCTCTTAGTGTGTTGTAATCCTGTTTTCAAAGTACTATATTTAAGAGGAAAAGGGCATAAAGAAGTGATGACGGAAAATTAGTCCATAAAATACCGTGTGTTGCAGTTCCATTACTACATTATACTTCATTTTTAACTGTAATGTTTCTGAATAACCCAAACAAGCTGGGCAGTGGGCAGTTCCCTCTCTCCTAGCACTCTCTCTTCCCTGTTGGAATAGGGCAGAGTTGAGGTGGAGGGCACCATTTCTATAAGCAGTGTATGACATGTGTCTCACATCATCTCTGCATATATGCACACAGTGAAACACTGGGTGGGTGATAACCTAGTGCCGATAGGGCAGGGAGAGTGGAGGGAGGGAACCTAAGGCTTGGTGACTACTAGAAGCCAGGGAATCTCTTTCCTGGGCGCTTTCTTCAAAGCAGATTTGTTCTCATCAGGTTCTAATTAATATATCTAGAGGCTCTTGATATCAAACTGTACATTTCACTAACATTTGAGTGTTTACTCTTTCTCAGGGCTTGGGAATCAGAAACGCAAAAGCTCACAGACAGACAAACTAGCAAAAGCTCACAGACAAACTAGTAAACAGATAAATTGCAAGAAGAAAAGTAAATAACAGAGGTAAGAACAAACTGTTGAAGAAGTAGAGAGCATAGCACACTAGCTCTGTTAATGGGAGCCGGGGAAAGCTTTATGAAGGAGATTCCTTTTTCACTAAGTTTTAAAGGTTCAATAGGAGTTTGCTAGTAAAGAAGAATGGGAAAGGAGGAAAGAAAAATGAAGAGAAAGGGCATTCAAGGCCAACAGGAAGGATTAAAGGTATGGAATCTTGAAAGATCCCTTGGCTCAGAAAAGTCTTTAAAATTCAGCAGATGTTTCTGCTTCAAAATCATATTTAATTTGAGCTTTAGATCCACAGGAAATAATCATAAGCCTGTAGATAAAGGGTAGGCTCATATTGGATACACTCATCTGTGCAAAAATTATGAGATGCTTGTTTCTCGGTTCATATTTAATTTTAAGTGTACTGTCATCCCGTGTCTCTCTAGGACATAAATGTGAACATACAGGGCCTCTCTTTTGGCATTTATTTCTTTAGCAGAGAGGGCAAATCCAGAATTTAGCTTCACCCTTCACATCTTCTTCTCCCAGCAGCTTGAGGAAAGGAATAGAGGAGGTGAGCATGGGCTTTGGAGGACACTTTCTGTGTGGCCTTTGACAAGTCATCTAATTTCTTTGAGTCTCAGTTTTCTTATCTGTAGAATGGAGATGGTTTTATTCATTTGTTGTGAAGATTAAATAAGGATTGGAACATCGCAAGTGCCCAATGGAAGTTACTTGTGGTAATGATCATAATGAAAGTGACAACAGTGTGGATAAAGAAGAGACGGGCCAGGCACAGTGGCTCACGCCTGTAATCACAGCACTTTGGGAGGCCGAGGTGGGCAGATCATGAGGTCAAGACATCCAGACCATCCTGGCCAACATGGTGAAACCCCGTCTCTACTAAAAATACAAAAATTAACTGGGCGTGGTGGCACGCGCCTGTAATCCTAGCTACTCGGGAGGCTGAAGCAGGAGAATCGCTTGAACCAGGGAGGTGGAGGTTGCGGTGAGCCAAGGTTGCGCCACTGCACTCCAGCCCGGCAACAGAGCTAGTAGGACTCCATCTCAAAAAAAAAAAAAAAAAAAAAAGGAGGGGACGGTGTTCTAGAGATAGAGAACTGGTTACTGAAAACACCTACGAACTATAGAAATTTGCATATGTAAATGTATATATGTATCCGACTATAGGCAAAAACATTAAGTTCATCTACAAATATATTTCAATAATTGTGCACAAATTGAAGTATTTTAAATAGTGACAATTTAATTTACATAAATTTAGGTTTAAAATAGCATATAACACATATAAGTATCTTTATATTCATAAGTATACCTACTTCCTGGAAATGGGTTGTCTGGAAGATATCAATATTGATATCTGTCTACCTATGTTTGTGTATATATAAAATTAGTGAACTTACATTGTGCAAAATGAAAATGTTAATGAATATGGTAAATTTTTATTGCTACAAAAAGAGACAGAAAAAAAGTCTTGTTCCTCCAGATGAGCTATCATTCTTTATTTCCTTGACATATATTTTGTATGAACATATTTAACTATTAAACCTGGTCTAGAACTAGGGAGAAATGAGAATTAAATAATGTACCACAAGTTCCCTAAAAGAAGTACCAGTACTGTTAACCAAATACATATTAATTTGTCTTATTTCTCTGAAGAGACATGGCTGAGAGGTCAGTTTTAGGTGTTTGTTTGACAGTGTGCCAAATGTCGCAGAAGCATTATTCTATTATTTAAAAAGTGACTTTAAAGGATGTGAATATATCGTTGTAATCACAGTTCTATGAAGTTTTTAATAGTACTGCACAGTGATGACATCAAAGCCCATGAGATCCTACTTCATGGACAGTAGGCTCAAATATTGGTAGCATCTCTGGACTCTGAGGGTCAGTCCGGTGCTCTCCATGTCAGAGTCTTCACTTGGACTGTGTTAAACCAGTTATGAAAATTCTGAGTCTCAAATATAATTAAAGCTCTTGCAGGAACTGGCTGACTTCTGGAGAAGAGTTAGCACATTTCTATTTGAAGCCAACTTGGACCAGGTCTAGCTCAGTCCCAACCCCAGGGTCCCAGAACTAATCTGTTCTCTGTGCTTAGACCTTTTCCTATAGAATCAAGCATTGTTTGGATCTGCCATTGATAACAGTGTTCAGACAAGGTGATGCTTTGAAAAGTAAAAGATAATTTACAGTGTTAATGTGAGAATACCAGTGGTGGTAGCACTGACTTGAAGTTGCCATGCCTGGACTCCAATTTATCCTTGACCATGTGTAGCTGTGGCATCTTGGGCAAGGATTTAATCTCCTGGCTTCAGTTTCCTCAATGGTAAATGTCAGTTTTGGCAGGGATGGGGTAAGTAGAAGAAGTTGGACTAGGACTGTCTTGGTTGTTGCAATGTTTTTCTGATAAGACAAGGAGAAAGAAGGCCACATCCCTGTGGTATCAGACTCATCATAGCACATCATCACTGCTTTTATCATTTTTTCATTCCAAATCATGTGCTTGATATTCAAAATAAAGATTTTTGGCTAAATGGAATAAAGCAATATGCCAAAAGATGAATCTTTTTGCCTGGATGGTTGACTTTTTCCTTTCTTTTTGAGATAGGGTCTTACTCCGCTGCCCAGGCGAGAGTGCAGTGGTGCAATCACTGCCCACTGCAGCCTCGAACTCTTGGGATCAAGCCATCCTCCCACCTCAATCTGCGGTGCTCACCACCATGCCTGGCTAATTTTTTGTAGAGAGAGGGTCTCACTATGTTGCCCAGGTTGGTCTCAAACTCCCAAGCTCTAGCAATCCTCCCAAACAGGCCTCTCAAAGTGCTGGGATTACAGGCATGAGCCACCATGCCAAGCCTGCCTAGGTAGTTTTTATGACCATGAATTTTATGAATGAGAATTTTCTTTTCTTTTTTTTAAGCTTTTTTTAAATCTTTTTGTAATCCCAGGTGCACATATATTTTGTATGAACATATTTAACTATTAAGCCTGGTCTAGAACTTAGAATTTAGAATCAATTCTAGAACTAGAATTTAGAATCAATCATCTGAGGATCCTCTCATAGTGTGCCGACGTCCTTCCTTGATTCAGTGGATACACAACTATGGATATGGATATTTGCCTACACCCAGATGCCGATGGTATCCCAGGATTTAGCTTCCTGCAGTTAGACACTCTCATTATTGCTCTTTTAAGTAGGTGTATGCTGGAGCTACCTACCAGAGCAATGTTGTGTTCTGAGCATAATCTGCTCAGCTAAGGAAAGCATGCGTGACTTCCTTGAGAGCATAGGTGTAAATCCAGCTAGAGATGCTCTCAAAATGCTTCAGAGTCTTAAGACAGAAGGAGGACCCAGGGATTAGATTCAGGCCTTCAGACAGCAACAAAGGAGGACAGCAAACCAAGGGGATGTTCTCTGTGCTTTATGGCAGTGGTTCTCGAGCTAGAGTGGGCATCAGACCCACCTGCAGGGATGATTAACAGGGCCCCACACCTAGAGTTTCAGATTCAGTAGGTCTCAGCTAAGACTGAGAATTTGCATTTCTCACAATTTTTTAGCTAGTGCCAATGCACAGAGCCAATGTTCTATAGCTTCTTTCTTTCTGTTTAACCCTTACTACCAGAAGACTAGGATGGGGATTTAGAACACCATGGCTTTCCCACAGTGAATAAGGCCCAGGCCAGATTGCAGTTACTCACTGTGGCTGCTAACCTCATTCATGGGAGTAAAGTAGGATTTTAATTACCTACCTGTTCCTGAGGCTGCATCTCATTTCAATTTAGATAATCTAGTCAGTGGCTTCCCAAAGCCAGTTAAAGCATCAGTGATACTCTGATTGCATAAGCAAACCCAAGGAATTGTTGAAATTACAAATTCCTTTTTCCCGCCCTAGGACATTTTGAATCAGTAGGTCTGGGATGAGGCCTGGGGACCTGTGTTTTTAACAATCTCCTCTGATCATTTAATCCACTTCCGATTTATCTGTCCACAGGCCTTGAGTCTTCCTTTCCATGGTCACACACAATATGTTTCACTAATGCACATTTATTTTGAGTATGTTTACCCAAAACTTAGACTATGCCCTTGGTCAAGGGATTAGCAACCTTTCAAAAGAAGCATGCCCAGTATTTCTTTATATAGCCTTTCATCATCAGAGGTGGCAATGCTGATGGAATGGCCTTTGGTTTAGCTCTGCAAAAAAGCCCTGTGGGTACTCAGCTCTTCAAAGAAGCTCTGTTCCTGGCATGTTTAGAAGTTACTGTGTGCACATACGTAACCCACTCAGCTGTTCCAGAGGAACAAGACCTTCACCCTTTAGGTATATAGTGTGTGCAGTTGCCCCACCGTGGGGGTTGGCAAAAAGTGGGGAGGGCCCTTGCATAAGCTCATTGATAAGTTCAGTCATTTACTCACCCAACCAACAATCACTGGTTATGTGTTCTGAGTCAGGCATGGAGGTATCTTCTCATAATCAAAAGATAAGCAAGAAACAGTTAACTGCCCGCAAGGATTCCACAATTTTGAATCCTAACTTCAGATGCTATCTCCTTACCTCATTTGGCACGTGCATTTGTGCTGGTATACATACCTTTTTCAGCACATAAACTCATTTGGCACATGTGCCAAGGATTGCCAACTATCTTATACACACAACCACACACACACACACACACATACACAGCCTTAAAACAAAAAAAAAAAAACACCAATATCCATGTTGAGTTACTAACTCTAGCATCAGCTGCAAAATTTTATTTTAGGTTGCAGTTCACGCAGTTGTCTTTCAAAAATTTTCGTTATGCTGTTGTTAGTTCTCTGTGCTGGATTTGGTCCACAGTCCATTGGAGGAAAAAACAATTGTATTTATTGTTGTGTTTGGGAGAGGAAAATTCCTCTTTTTATAGAGGTATAAACATATATTAGTTTAAAATTTTGTGTCTAGTATGTAGTCATTAATACAAAACTAGACACATTATTGTTTATAATTATTTGTTACACTGGATCTAAATTCAAATATTTTACATTTATATACAACGGGTTGCTTTATATTAAAATTTATGTGATGCTCCTGTCTTCTCCAGTTTAAGTCAGTCATCAAAGGATGCTCAATCTAGCTATATTTTTTCTTGCACTAAATATAGTGAATCATAAAGTTCGAAGGTGTTACCAGCCCTCTTTGCTTTTAAGAAAGAAAAGATGCACTGTGGAAATGCTGTCTCTCATTTTTAAGGTCATTGATTGGGTTAAAAAGGCAAATGACTTTTTTCATTGAACTTCCTTCAATTAAGCCATTAACCTTTTAAAATAAGTGCATTCAAAAATCTATCAAAAAAAGCTAAATGAGATTTTAACAAAATCCTGACAATTTCAGCTTAAACATATACACAGAAACCATATGTGCTTAGAAAGAAATATATACACACAGGCATTGTTTACAGAGTGTGTTTTTATATTTGGAAGACACTGAAGGAAGAGTTATTCCATACATACATTATCTGAAATGTACATTCAGATAGCCTACATAGATTTCATATTACACACAAAGATATCTTTATCCATGGTAGGTAGACAGACAGACTGACTGACTTCAAACTTGCACTTGCAGTGTGGATTTTTTTTCCTCATCTCCGGGTACTGCTTTTCAAAATTGCCTCAGGCTACAGAACAGCACCTCAGATCCCCAAGGCCCACTGCCTGGCTCCTAATAGCCACTCTCCATCTGTGTCACATGAACAGCTGATGAGATCGCTCCAGTGTCTGTATTTTGGAGAGCACATCCACCCAGGTTAAAATGCTAGGGTTGCCAAGGAGCAGTCAGAAGCCATTAGTGTGGGTGAGAATTTGCCTTGCAGCAGTTCCTTGGCATGGTGGAAAGCGTGTGCACGTGTCCCTGCACGAGCTTGGGTGTGCGTGTATGTGTGTGTGTCTCCTTGTCCAGGCGACACTCCGGTGTACATGGGTGTGCAGGGAGGGTGACAGATGAAAACTAGACTGTATATTATCCAGTATTGAAAGAGTCAAATGCCTTTTGTTTCACTGTATACTGATTCGGTCTTTGACTATATGGGGTCCCTTTTTTCTTATCATAACAGAAGGCAAAGAAAAAGAGAACAGCAACTTCGGGGTCATGCTCTAGTGTTTGGGCAGATGGAAGGGAGCTGCTTTGCCTTGGGGCAGGGTGGTTGTAATGAAGTGGCCTGTCAGTCTGTAAATAGTGAGGGTCATCTCTTCCATGTGATGGAGGGTATCGCATTGCAGTGAAAATGGAAATGTCAATAAAATTAATCTGCCAGCTCTTTGCTGTGGCTTTTCTGCTTCTCTAGTCAAAGAAAGTTGAGGGTTTTTTGGCAAGAAAGGAAAAGAACAGGTACAGGGAAGCCCACAGAGCAGACCCAGAAGTTAGAAGGCAAGTGGCCCAGTGGGCAGGATGGCTGTGCTGTAGCATAGTCCGAGAGGAGGGAGCAGGTCTGGGAATGAGCTGATGGATCTCTAGTATTCCTCAGAAAGCTACAGAGCATCCAGCTCAGGCTACATTGAGCACAGAGTTTATTGTTTTAGGCTTTCTTGGACAAGGTTTTTACTTAGCATGGGATTTATGGCATTTACTGCTAATGAATGTCTATTCTTAAATTACAAAAACCCCCATCTCAGTGCAATTCCCAGATGTCCTTCCAGGACCCTGGCTTCTTAAACACCAGCAGGGAGCATAAACTCTCCACTTCTCTGTTTTCCTCTTTCGTGTGGCTCCAGGCTAATGATGTGCAAGGAAAACACAGCCATCTATAAAGCCCCAGTGCTGTCCCCGTATTCTTCATTTATTTTGCATTTGATTATGCCACAAGTCGGATCTTGTTTCTTTCCTTTTTTTAAAGTTATTAGTTCAAATATTAATGTAGGGATATGGCATATATTGCTGCTCTTGATTGATGCCTTCCCAAAAACAGGAAGACGTGCTCGTATGAATTTTAAGAAAGTAGGGGTCCTGCAATGCCTTGCCAGAAGAGTTTTTCAGATACATAATTTAGATGCCCTCCAGGCAGGCTTTCAAGGCATTTTTGCCAGAGGGCAAGAAAAAATAACTATGACTGTTAAAAGTAAATGATTTTTGCTAATGCACAATTAATGCCAGAGAAAAGCACAGAAGAGAAAGATGTTGATAGAAACTTCTGATTAAGTGAGCACCCTACCTTGATGTGTATCTTTTTTTTTTTCATGATAATGATCAGTGGTGCAGAGAGCTAAAAGTTTTCATGTCATGCAAATGCCGAGTGCAGGGTCATATGAGAAGTGTGCGAATGTGCGTGCTTAGGAGGTGACAGCTCTAGGAGGGGCTGAGCAGGCAGTGCGTTATGTGCAACGAACAGTGACACAGTTACTGTCACCTATGCAGGCAGCCTAGAATATATAGACTACAGAACATTTAACTTGATTACCCTACAGTATGTGTTCACTCTGGGCATGGGGATGCGTTTCCACTGAATAGGTTTTCTGATGGCGGTTTTCCCACATTGGATTCCATAATTGACAAAGAGCTACTGCACTGTGTCAAGTGCACAGTTATAATTGAATTAATGATATGGGCAAGTGTGAGACACACAAAATTAACATTTGAAGAGGCCTGGTTTAATTTTGTCTTTTACATATTTGTGTCTCCAATTATACTTTAATGAAAGAGAATATACTCGCTTAATGGATTTCTTTCAACAAGCTTAGCTGAGCTCATCATTAGCTGCACTTGTTGTTGGCACCTTGCGATGTTTTCTCTAATGTATTTTTATTTCTTTCTACTAGGGGATGGTTTAGACAACAGTGTAGCTTCACCTGGTACAGGTGACGATGATGATCCGGATAAGGACAAAAAACGCCAGAAGAAAAGAGGCATTTTCCCCAAAGTAGCAACAAATATCATGAGAGCATGGCTCTTCCAGCATCTCACAGTAAGTCAAGATGAAAGAGAAAAAAAAAATAGTTTTTGTTGTTTTGCTAGCAAGTTATACGGTCTCATACTGATTTTTTTTTAAACTAAGGTGCCTATTTTCTTATTCTTGAAATCTGATGACTAACAGACTAGTTAAAGTTTTTTTTTTCATCAACTATTACCATCCAAAGAGCACCCTCTAGAAAGTAGCAGGTTTTTGTTTTAAGAAGCTGGGAATGGACTTTATTTAAAATGATCTAAGACCCTAAACAGCATATATAAGTAAATTTGTTATTTATGCTAAAAGTATGAGAGCAACTTCGGATACTGCAACAGCAACCAAGGGAAATGGCTGTAAGGAGCTCACAAATCCATAAACGTTGCTGATTACACTGTTAACGAAAGCTGTCTCCTCTAGGAGGCCAAAAAAAAAAAAAAAAAAGCACCTTGCCACATGCATGTCCAAGCTCACAATATCAGGTGCAGCTTTAATTGCTGAAGCAGTTTACAAATATGTCATGTATTTATATGACAAATTCAGAAGGGTTATAGGTGCTGTAATGCCTTTGTTTGCAAGGTGGACATTAAAGATTCTTTTTTTAGCTGCTCAAGTCCATTATCTTAAAAGCTAACCATGTTCACTTCTGGAAACGGTTTTACTATGTGAGACATTTTAAAAGTAACAATTTATCTTTATCTTCCTGTTTGCAATCCTTGTATGTGTGGATACATACTGTTGACTCTAAGACTCTTATGACAAAAAAATTACAATATATTTTTACAGATAAACTAGGCATGCTTATATTTTACTGTTCATTTGGAAATTCTGGGAAACCAGTAAAAATTTCAGAGGTTGCTTCTTGCTATAATATTGTTTTCAGGCCATTCTATTTAGGCTAATACTTAAAAATAGAGTAGCACATTGAAAGCTGAAGGTCTTCTTTGATTATCCAACTTGTGTGTTGCCATGCTGAATGACATTAGTTACAGTGTCATGGGTCCAGGACAAGGTTCCACTTTTATTTATGGTGGTGGCTGCTGATGGGCTCTTCTTGCAGAGCTACAAAGGGCAAGGGGTGGAGCAGTGGTGGGGAGGGAAAAGTGATAGATTCACATTCCTAAATCGGCCATTTTGATGTAAGGACATTAGTAGCAAACTAAGGTGTATCGATCTGGCCTGTGGTGTCAGGATTAGCTGGGAGAACCAATGAGGCAGCTGTGGTAGTGGTTATTCTTGCCTTGCAGCTATGGCCATTTCAAAGGTCAGGGCCCTGCACTGACTCGGCTCAGAGGAATTAGACAGAACATGCGGTCTCTGGACTGATTACTTAACCAAAGACAAAATAATGAGTCCTAAGCAAATACTGACTAATTGAAAGGGCTGTAAATCCATTACATATTGGTCAGGGATAATCAGGAGTATTTAATCACTTTTATCTATTCAGGAGCACTGAAGCTGCAACAGCAAAGCCCTGAACCTTGCCATGTGGTTATTATTCTCATCATTATCAAAATTACTTCACAGCTGTTCTTTGCTACATCACCTCAGCTGGAGATTTACTAACCTGTAAAATGTTTTTAATTTGGAAGTCGAGTGACTGTGAGGGGAGGGGTTTCTCATTTTTAAATGAAGGTTTGTTTGGTTAGAGTAGCAACTAAGAACGGCAGTGTAGCTGCGGATGACAGGCCAGCTGCCTTCTCCTGACCAGCTCACCTGTTTGGTTCCCTCCCTCTGTCCTCCTCCATGCTTGGTCTTTCTTGGTCGAAAATAAACACTTCAACAGCTGCTTTCCAAGCAAACAGCTACGTGTGTTTTCAACCTCTCTGTCATCAAAACCAATGTCAGAGAACAGTAGAACCTTAGAGAATGCAGCTGCTCTGTTTATAGATGAGGAAACAGAGACCCAAAAAGGGAAGTTACTAGCTGAAGGTCAAGCTGAGACAAGGGCCCGAGACTTCCAAGTCCCCAACTCTGTGATTTTTCCACATTACAATGACTTTGCCAAAATGACGATCACCTTTAACAGTTGCATAGAAATCTCACAGTCTCCACCATCAATACGCTCAGAGTCACAAGGGAGAAATACGGAGAAGCCAAGTGCTGTTTTCTTTTCTTGTTTTGAAAGCTCCGTGTTACCCAATATAGAAAGCCTTACCACCTGTATTTTGTGAGTTGAATCTCACATGGGAGTGTCAGGAGCCCTTAATACCTTATCTCCCACCTCCCTGCCCAGGGCGGCACCCAGCATGCACCATGGCCACCGATTAGAGTTGTGGGTGGCTGGTGATTTCTGGGCACTTGTTGTACCTCTGCTGTGCTACGAACTAACAGTAAGAGCTTGTAGTCACCTCAAGAATGCTTTCATCTAGTTGAATGTATGCAAGGCTTTGTGCAGAATTCTCTGTCCGACTCAAATTTTTAATGACTGCCTGTCCTCCAGGTTGGGAGAGAGGACTCAAATAGCCTAAGCTGGGGGAGTTGGGAAGTCTGCATTCATGCTCTGTGATCCTCTGTACTGGCTGAACCTCAGTTAAGTCCATTAAGTTCCCTGGACTTTCTGTTTCCCCATTTTTCAAATGAGAGGGACACGTTGCAGGATGGATAAGCTCCTTTCCCATGCTCCTAGGTTTTGGTTCTGCTCAAGGACATTTAGTCAGAGCAATGCCCGGTCCCAGCCTCATGGGTCATTCTTTCCTCTCTTTCCCCCTTTCTCTTTGCTTTTGCTTTTCACTAACTGCTTTATTTCTCTCCTGACCTTCTTCACAACATGCCCCTTTCATTACTTTCTCCCACTAGCTTTGTCTCCCATCTTTCTCTCTGTGCCGCTCCTCTGCCTTTTCTGCACCTCCCTTGTAGCTTTAGGAAATTCTCCTCTGCTTGCTCTTTGAAAATGTTTTCCTTCTTCATCCACACTTCACCCCACTGCAGAGAAGAGGTTCAGTAACTTTGATGAGGATGGTCCTGTAAAACTTTTACTTTCCAATCTTTAATGAGCTGAAAGATTTACTCAGCTGTAATTCTGAGCTCAGAAACCAAGAATAGAGACCCCTAACTAGCGACATGTTAATTTAGATTTCTTTTCTTACATGCACTAACAGGCATGAGGAAGTCCTTGGAACTAGAGATGCCCCACTATATTTTTCTGTCATTTAATTAATTTCGACTTTCAAAGTGAAATGTTGGCTCTAGCTCACTGAAAGTAGATGCAGTCTAAATTATTATTTCATGTAAATTTCTTTACAAGTGCATGATTCAATATGCATTTCTCCATTATTAGTCTCTTTAACATTATTTCAAACTGGTTTGTTCCCTTTTGTGCAGTGTGACCTGTTCTTGTATTACAATAATCCCCGATGTACCCTTTTTTCTTTCTTTTTTAAAAAAGAAGCTAATTGAATTATCTCATTATTTTAATTTGTTAAGCAAATGTATTTTGCATCTCAGGATGTGTTCTTAAAGAAGGGGGCTGCCAAGGCTTTGCCCCCTGAATGGGCCATTGGCCCATTTTGACATTCATGCATTCATTAACTAGCAGAACATAAAAGAACTCTGGTTGTATTTTTTTTTTCCAAACACCCAACCAGCGTGGAGCAACTTTTCCCAATAAGCCACAGGGGTCTTTCTACATATGTTCTCAACTGCAAGCTATTGTCACCTATTCTGAATACCTCAAAAGGCCCAGAGGTGGAAAAAAACCTACCTCAACAAAGGCCAACTGTAGCAATTGTTAAGTCTTAGTCTCAATATGACAAAAATCATTCACCCTCAGTTTTCTTGGAAGAACAAGTTCCACTCCAACTGTAACAGTTAAAACAATCTCTCAAATTCCTTTGCACCACCAACTTCAGGGGGAAAGGTAACAAACTTGCACTAATTGATTACGCTGAGGAAAATATTTAAACAAAGTCCAAAGTGGCATTTAAAAAATCAAGTGATTTGATAAACCGTTTCCATAGTCAGAATTAAGCATTCTGAATTTGCTTAATCTGGGGCTAAATATTAATAATTAGCCTCAATTTTTTTGTTTCGAACTACCCTATTTTCAAAATGCCCCTTACAAATATCCCCTCTAAAAAAATTCACAATAATTTTAACAGAATAAATCTATCTATATATTTTTAGAAATTCAACTAGCAAAAACTTTCTGTATACCATTACCCTCTTCCGTTGGTTGATGGCACTGCCTAACTTCTCAAGCTAAGAAATCCAGTGATGATTGAAGAAAGAATCTCTTGGAAATGTGTGTGCCTTTGCTGGAAAGTACCCAATGGCAAAACAAACAAACAAACAGACAAAAACTTAGGGAAATCCTAGAGAAGTACATTCCTTTTGCTAGCACATGGAGACTATGATATCATAAAAGTAAGCCTGCCATTACAACTGTTTTTATTTGACTTCAAAGATAAAGAAAGAAACAGCAAGCAATAATACCCAGGCTGACGTGAAAAAACTCCTCCACGCCAAGAAGCCCTTAATGTGCTCAATTAGGCCCTCGGGCACCTCCACTTGCCACCTTCAAGAGCTCCTCCAGTTGTGCTGCAAATAATATATTTGATCATGGACTAGAAACAGGAAGTGCTCATACACAAAGACACTACTTGCTCATACCAGTTTCTGGCTGAAGGTCTTCTTATTTGAAAACATAGGGATAAAGCTCACACTTAGCAGATGTGGGACTTCTTTCAAAGATGTGTGTTACAGAATCAGAAGCAAATTTTACTTTTAAAAGTGATATAAGCCAAGTGGGGAGGATCGCTTGGGGCTAGGAGTTTGACACCAGCCTGGGCAACATAATGAGATCCCATCTCTACAAAAGAATAAAAATTTAGCCGGGTGTGGTGCACACATGCCTGTGGTCCCTGCTACTCAGTAGGCCAAGGTGGGAAGATCATTTGAGCCCAGGAGTTTGAGGCTGCAGTGAGCTAGGATGGAACCACTGTACTCCAGCCTAAGCAACGGAATGAAACCCAGACACACACACACACACACACACACACACACACACACACACACACAAAGTGATGTAATATTATGTATGCAGCTGCCTTGAAACTACAGATTCTAAAACCTCTGCCTTTTGTTCATGACAAAATGCTTTGTCCCCTCTTCATATCTCTGGGGGTTGGGGAGAGGGGTGAAGCCCACCTCTCAGGTGTTTACTCATTTTACTACTTGCCTATTAGAATCTGACTTATGGGATTTTGTCAAGGCCTGGGTTTGGTAATAAAAATGTGCTATAAAGGATATCATCCTACAGAGACAGTGCACCCAAGTTATAAGTATATTCAGTTCCATGTGATGTTAGAGAAACCTGTCTCTCCACCGAGTTCATCAAGACCATATGACCGTAAACTTAGTCATCTTAAATTTGTTATTGTAATGTACACACACACACACACACACACACACATATGCAAGGGAGGAGAGAGGGAGGGAAGGAGAAAGAGAAACAGAAACAGAGAGACTTAGACTATTTTGCCCTTTGACTAGTTATCTTTATCTTGTGCAGATCCAGATGGCTTCTTTCTTAAATGAGGCAGTCCAATGTCGAGGTTAAGAGCACAGGGCCTGGAATCTGCAACACAGTAGATTTTTGATCTTGAGCCATTACCCTCTCTGCGCCTCATTTTTCATATCTGCAGAAGAAGAATAATTCTAGTTCCACCTGGTAAGGTTATTTTAAGGATTAAGTGAAATAATGTAAAGTACTCAGCCCTGTGCCTGATTCTTATAATAAGTACATATATAAAGTAACTATAATTTTTATTTTAATCCAGTTAAATGGCTAGCAGAAGGCTTTGACCAATGGACCTGGGCATCCAAAGTTACCACATTTGTTCCTGGGATTGTAGAGATGTAGAGACCAGGTTTTGCCAAACAAATCCCAAATATGGCCGGTGCAGTGGCTTATGCCTTTAACCCCAACACTTTGGGAGGCTGAGGTGGGAGGAATGCCTGAAGCTCAGGAGTTTGAGACCAGCCTGGGCAACACAGCAAGACCCCATCTCTATAATTTTTTTTTAATTGGCTGGGCATGGTGGTGCATGCCTGTGGTCCTGGCTGCTTGGCAGTATGAGGTGGAGCCCAGGAGTCAAAGGCTGCATGGAGCCATGATCACGGCACTGTACTCCAGGCTGGGTGACAAAGTGAGACCCTGTCTCAAAGAAAAAATAATAATAATAATAATAATATCCAGGCTGGGGGCGATGACTCACGCCTGTAATCCTAGCACTTTGGGAGGCCAAGGGGGGTGGATTGCTTGAGGCCAGGAGTTCAAGACCAGCCTGGGCAACATGGTGAAACCTCGTCTCTACTAAAAATACAAAAATTAGCCAGGTGTGTGGGCACACATCTATAGTCCCAGCTACTGGGGAGGCTGAGGCACAAGAATTGCTTGAGCCCGGGAGGTAGAGGTTGCAGTGAGTGGAGACTGTGCCACTGCACTCCAGCCTAAAAAAAAGAAAAAAAAATGGAAATACCCCTCAGTAGGAGAGAACATGGTCTACATTCTGCCTTCCGAAATCCATATTAACATTTGGTGGCTGCTTGTTGAAGCTAGGTGATAGCATTAGAGAGTCCTGGTGTCATGAAAGCCAGAGCATCCTAGTGAACTTTCAGGGATGGGGTGGAAGGTGGAGAAGAAATGGGCTATGGAGTAGTTCAGAATGTCTCCAATGGGGCTACTTTTGAGAGAGAATGCTCTCTTTCACCATTTGTCTTCCAGGATATGAACAGAATATAGAGTTGCTATCTTCCTTAGAGTGTGAAAGTCTAGGCTGTCTGCAAGACAGCATGTTATGGTTTTTATTATTTTTTATTGATTGATTGATTGTAGAGACGGCATCTCGCTGTGTTGCCCAGGCTGGTCTCAAACTCGTGGCCTCAACTGATCTTCCCACCTCAGCCTCCCAGAGTGCTGGGATTATGGGTGTGAACCACAGCACTTGGCCATGGTAATGGTTTTTAAAAAAGGGATCACCAGCTGTGAACTTGGAAGCCTTAGGTGTGAACTCTGTGATATTATTCAACCTCTCTGAACCTATTTCTTACCATCAAAATGAAAGTTATCTGCCCTATTTAGCTGATTGGGTTGCTGTGTGGCTCAAATGATGCAGTCAATTTGTAAACTGTAACGTGCTGCACAGATGTTAGGTATTCTGGTCTTCTGATTGTGTGCTTGGCTTTCTAGCTGCTTGAAGCCGCTCAGAGCTTATGTATCACCAAGGGTTAGAGATGTAGTGCTACCCACCTCTTTCATCCTGCACCCCCAATTTCTCCACTTGTCCATTTCCACAAATGTATCCCTGGAGACACTGTGATAATTTCTATCATTAGACATCTTTTAAGGATCTTGAATGGTTAATTGAACCAGTATTTCATGGACATTAGTTATTTCTGCTTGGAAATTAGGGCCTTCATGATTCTGAGACTGGTCTACATAATACAAATAGCTATGAGCCAAATTAATACCAAATAGGAAATGTTGACCTTAGTTATACAGTAAGAGATGGTCTTTCTCATATTCAGAGCTGCAAATGTTCACATGCATGCAAGTGAGTCTCCTAAGAAATACTTATGTGGAAATGCACATGCAGAACACACAGCTGAAAGTACCAGCAGAGAGAGCTTCCCACAAACATGCAGCATAGTGGGGCCGCCCCTAGCCTTAGCCTTTGCATTGTTTTCCTGCTTGCCAGGAGAAAACATCTGTGAATTATTTGAATGGAATCTTATACTAGAGATCGTCTGAACTGGTGTCATCTCTGTTTAATTTCAGGAAATGATGTCACAATGCATTAAATTACAATGCTGGGTGATTTATTTTCCCGTGGACATGCTGTCCTAAGCATTCCTCTTCTTTTGCAATGTTTCCAATTAACTGTAAGCTTGAGTGTTCTTCCTATTTCATAATGATTTTGAGGGGTGGGGATGGGAGATAGGGGTGGGCAGAAGGGTAATTTCAGAGGTTGCTGAGGTTCAGAGCTAATGGCACATCCGTCATGTCCTTATTGGGATGGGAGGGTGCTGAGTGCTGGGGCTGTGATCAGCAGTGGCAACCTGCAACAGTATTGGTTAGTTTTAAAGAATGTCTAAAAATGAAAGCCTGAGTGTTCTGATGCTAGCTGTCCAAAGAGCCACCAGATAATTTTAATAGTGACCTGCATACTGTAGCTTCTGCCTTTATCAAAGTTTCTCTTCACTCCCTTCTTCAGTAAAGAATAGAGGACATAAGTCAATTCTGTGTGCCATCTGTTGTCGTTTTTACAATTTCTCAAATTAAAGAGACAGGCCAAAAATTTAATGTCGTGTTGGATCCTAGAAGCTCCTCTAGAAGAGAGAAAATTGCAACTGAATTTACTTTGTCTCTCTTGAGGGGGAAAAATTGCATATTGCTATGTCATAACCTTTTACTTGTAGTCCCAATTTGGTGTTTTGAATTGGATTATGAGGGCTTCTGCATGGAAAGACTGATGTGTTTGGGATTCAGCAGCCTTTGTTCACATGGTTCTGAGTGACATTGTGGTAAAGTTGCCAGTACAGTGGTGGTGCAATGGCTTTTCATGGGGGTAATGAAATGCATAGTCTCCTCAATGCAAAAACATTTTAAGACGTTTCAAGATATTTCAAATTACATCAGACAATCCTGTTTAAAAAGAGGTTCACCTCAGATAGACTGAGAAACTTACCTCCCAGATTATGAGCTACTAACTGGCAGATACATTTTAAAAATAGGTAATTGATAGGCAGAACACAGAGTTTTTAGGGCAGCCAAACTGCTCTGGATGATACTACAATGGTGGATACGTGTCATTATACATTTGTCCAAACCCATAGAATGTACAACACCAAGAGTGATCCCTAATGGAAAGTATGGACTCTGGGTGATTATGATGTGTCAATGTAGGTTCATCAGTTGTGACAAATGTGCTACTCCGGTAGGGGGTGTTGATAATGGGGAGGCTATACATGTGTGGGGCCAGGGATTTATGGGAAATCTCTGTACCTTCCTCTCAGTTTTGCTTTGAGGAACCTAAAACTGATCTAAAAAAATAAAGTCTACTTAAAAAAAAAAGGAATTGAATGAAAAGATTGAAGAATGAAAGGCTTATTAAATTACCATCAAAAAGAAACCAAAATAATTATTAGCTCAAAGTTTAGCACCCAATTTCATAAAATATCACTCGAAGTATAATTGTTTAAAAATATGTTAAAGAATTCAAGGAGATGGGGAATTGAGGACCCTTGAATAAAGGAACATAGAAGGCATGTGCATATTGAATATTCAGCTATTTAAAAACTCCAAGAATAGAGTGCCATTAAATGCTATTTAGTGAAATCCCTGAATATTCATTCAGATCATAGGGAAAATTTCCATTTCTTCGTTCCACATGACCACAGTTTGCAAGTGTATTCCATGGAGAAGTGGAGTGATTGGGAATTACAGGGTAAGTTGACTGGGTTATGAGAATACTGACTGTCCCTCAGCTTTGCTGCAGGATAGGGTCATAAAGTGACCCTAACATTCAAGACTAATTTCGATTTTAGAAAGTGTTACTGCACAGATTTCAGAGGACTCCTGGAAATGTCCTGCCTTCTCCATGCTGTAGTCTGTTTTTGCAATTTGGAACAGATTATGAAGTGTAAAGATGATATCCAGCCCCATTTCTCCTGTTAAGAAATAGTGACTTAGGTAGGAAGCATTAGGGTGGTTGAATGGAGTTTGCCTTATTACATTTAGGTGCTGTGTGCCACTTTCTAAATTGATTGGCAGCAGTTGTTTACAGTATGCAGAATAATCACTGGCACCCTTTAAAGGTGTATTATCCTCTTAAAACATAATAGTAATGCCATTTTCATGCTTTTACATTTGCTATTCATATTCTGAACTGCCAAGTCCCAAATCTGCCAGAACAAATTTAAGTTGTTTTTATCTAATAGTGGATAAGTTGTCAAGTCACAATATAATGGCAGATAATTTTTCTTAAACTATAGTTTTACTTCTTGGTTATAATAGATAACATGAATATTTGTTGAATCTGACTTGATTGTCCACACACACAAAAATTACAACTCAAGAGATATTGTCATGGGATTCTGCGATGACAAGAAATGAAGAGAATATTATTATCTAGTTATTCTGAGCATTATAGAAAATTAACATGGGCCACTAATTAGTTTCCTTCCAGCCACCACTCTCCCCCCGCCAAATCTGCTGATATCTGGTTTGCCTGACATAGCCAGATAATGAAGATCTCCTCTTGTTAATCCCAGCATCAAATCTTGTTGCTGCTGTTAATTTAAATACCTCTGTTATCACATTATAATATAACTGTCTAGATTTTATTTGACTTCTTGCATCATTCTCCTGCAATCACAAATATTCCAGAATTAATTTTGTCTTGGAAATATTTGGCAATTCTATAATAATTTGGAAAAGTATATTCCCATGACTCAGGCCACACTAGAATTGGAAAATGGCTTTTTTCTTACCCAGAATACATGGTGTGATCCCATCGTACGCTGACAAAAAACAACCCAAGTGTACCGGGGTGGTGCTACACTAGTCTTTTAAAAAGAAAAAGGCTTTTATCAATAGAAAAGATGAATGCTAGATTATTCCCTGTAGATTTGGTGACACATTGGGACTCTCTTTAAAAGCAACCTTATTTTTTTTCCCCATGGTGAAAAGTTATAGGTTCTATTTCAGTGTTTCAAGATACCTGCAGGCAGCTCATGAGTTGCTATACTTGTTTTAAACCCTTCCTCACAGTGATTTTTTTTTTAAAGTAGTAAGAGAACATGGGAACATGGGGTCATTATTATTCAATTATAGGCTCAGTTTTTCTGTTAGTTTCTGTGAAGCCATAAATTTAGAACTGTGTAGCAAAATCTCATGGATTACCTGATGGCACTTTGATAAAAACCCCTCTTAGAGCTTAGACCTGAAGGTTTTATGTTTTCTAGTAAAACACTTAAATGTAATTAAATATGATCGTGTGAAAAGGCATTAGTTTTTAATATGACCTTTGTTGTCAGTCTGGAAATCCTCTAAAATTTTTGATTTTTTTTTTTTTTTTGCAGAGCAAGTTTGACAGAAAAATGATTTCATGCTCTTTGGTCCTTATGTACTTGTACCCGTTTGTCCATGGCTATTCCAAATACCCCCATGCTTATTTAAAATGTATATATAATCAGTTACATAAAAAGAGGTATGCTTAAATTCTCATGACTCTATGGTTGGACCTCTGTGGTTGGAGCAGACAATAGAAATGTCTGTAATTCATTTAAAAAAAAAAGTGACTTTCCTACCTTTAGATAGTGAGGACAATCTGTTAACTCTTTGTGTTGATAAAAGCAAACATTTCAGGGCACGGTGAAAGAAATCTCTACCATGTATAAGGTTATATATATACCAGAAGCAGTGGAGTTAGGACCAAATTAAGATTTGACCAGTGTCCTAGTCTTAGCACAGCCTTTTGCTCCCTGGATTATTTTGAGCAAGTTATTTAATTTATCTGAGTGCTCGTTTTCTTACCTCATTGTTTTGAGGGTTAGCTAAGATTAGAAATAGCCTTCTGAGAAGGACAAAATACTGTGCAAGTGTAAACTGGTGTCTATTAATGTTTTCATATAATCCATTGAAATAGTTTGCTCTGTCATAGCTCCATGAAACCTGAACTTGGATGTGAGTGACACACTCTTCAAAGACAAGTATTGCACTTGTTTCTTTTGCCCTAAGTCTGGAATGGGGATCAAATCCTACACATAGCACATGTGCAAGAGAAAGGCAAAAGACCTGACAGACCATTCATATGTGGCAGCATGAGTCAAAGTAACTTTTGGAATTTGTACACTCAAACTTAAGAGAAAGAACTGGAAGACTGCAAACTAACTTCACAATAAACGTATTGTCACTTGTGTTATTACAGCTTTGGAGCAAGCTGGTTGGGGCTTTGGGCATCTTTGTTCTTTGTTCCTAAACTCTTCATCCTGAGAATTAACTGTCCATCAGCATGCCATTTTTCATCCTGGTCAAGCTGGTGGAGAAGAATTGTTTTACATCTCTAAATGGCGATCTCATAGGCCCATTCCAAGGAAGGCAAAGTCTGGTACTAGACAGAATTGTCTCATTGCAGCAAGTGATAAGTGGAATTTTATTTTTCCCCTGAAGACAGTTTCAATCTGGATGCTTAATCAGGCTTTCTTTGATTCTACATACAGAGATTTCAGATGTTACAGCTCAGTTAGACGAAAGCACAGAATATGAATGGGAGAAGAGTGAGGAAAGCTTCTAAAGGTATATAGAGGCCTTAGGTTTAGACGCACCAGCCAGATATCCAGGTGGATGAACTTCTGTGGAAGCTGAAAATGGTGGCACTATAGTTTGAGAGTTGGAGCTAATCTTTGTAGAGGTAATACTTGAAACCATGGCACTGAATAAAGGTTAAAATAAGAGACAGTGCAGAGAGAGAACGGGGTTTGAGTCTTTTTGAAGACTATATGTGAAGAGGTGGAGAAAGAAAGTAGTGAGCAGAGATAAAGACATCAGACCAGTAGGAGCATAATCAGATCATGTGAAGAGGAAAGGAGTTTCAAAGTAGAGGAAGTGGATTCTGTAGAAAGATCAAGGACAGGACAGGCGCAGTGGCTCACACCTGTAATCCCAGCACTTTGGGAGGCCGAGGCGGGTGGATCACCTGACATCAGGAGTTCAAGACCAACCTGGCCAACATAGTGAAACTCCATCTCTACTAAAAATACAAAAATTAGCTGGGTGCCTATAATCCCAGCTAATCGGGAGGCTGAGGCCGGAGAATTGCTTGAACCCTGGGGGCGGAGGTTGCAGTGAGCTGAGTGCCACTGCACTCCAGCCTGGGCAACAAAACAAAACTCCATCAAAAAAAAAAAAAAAAAAAAAAGAGAGAGAAAAGGAGGCCAGTGAAGATGGGGACCAAAGCACACCTGGGAAGGTACTAAGAAACAAACATTTTGTAAAGATAGCAAGAAAGCTGAGGGAGGTCAGGAAAAAGCTTCTCTTCACTTATGACTAGGAACTGTGGCGAGGGTGATGGAGAGTGAATTAGGAAGGCACGGAAATGCAGACTTGGAGCAAAAAGGGCCGGGCTGAATGGACTCTCTCCACATCATCTCATCCTTTCTCAGGCAGTCTCAGCACCAAAGAGCAAGAGGGACTAAAGCAGACAACAGGAAAAACCTAAGGGTGAGATCAACAAGGGGAGGAGAGGGAAGATGTTAGAGCAGTTTTTGAAATGACAGACCAGTAAGTAAGAATTCCAATGAGATAATCTTTCCTGGGACAGAAAAATAATCCTACAGTTCATGTGAATAATAAAACAACTAAGAAAAGTCAAGATATTTTTGGAAAAGAAAAATGAGGGAGCTTGTGCACTGAGAATTACTAAAATGTATCATAAAGCTACATGACGTGGCACTGGCTGACACAATAGGCACAATGATCATTTGAACAAAATAGGAATTCACAAATCAACCCAAATATAGAAAGAAATTTACTAATTTTAAAGGCATCACTTCAAGTCAGTTGAGAAAAAAATCATCAGTAGTCTTCATCAAAATATACATTTAAGAGTTTTTTGAAGTAGACATGACTATTTCTCTTTCCTTCGTTTAATGAAATGTTTTGAGAGTAAAAGCAAAGGAATTATAAAGAAAAACTGTGATAGATTAAATTACATACATTTGAAAATTAAGAGCTTTTGAATGCCAAGAAAACAGCATATACAAAATAAAGAAAAACACTAAACTAGCAAAAATATGTAACATTATATAACAGGCAAAGGATTAGTGTCCCTAATAAATAAAGCATTGTACAAATCAGTAAGAAAAAAATTGAAGCAGGCTGGGCACAGTGGACCACGCCTGTAATCCCAGCACTTTGGGAGGCCGAGGAGGGTGTATCACGAGGTCAAGAGTTCAAGACCAGCCTGGCCAAGATGGTGAAACCCCGTCTCTACTAAAAATACAAAAATTAGCCGGGTGTTCTGGCAGGCGCCTGTAGTCCCAGCTACTCGGGAGGCTGAGGCAGGAGAATTGCTTGAATTGCTTGAATTGCTCCCTCCTGGGAGACGAGGTTGCAGTGAGCTGAGCTTGCGCCACTGCACTCCAACCTGGGCGACAGAGCAAGACTCTGTCTCAAAAAAAAGAAAAAACAATGAAGTGAATAAAAAGTCAAAAGATGAATAGGTCCATTCACAAAAGCTGAAATACAAATGACTGGTAAGCATTTAAAAAATGTTCAGCATTGGCCTGGTGTGGTGGCTCATGCCTGTAATCCCAGCACTTTGGGAGACAGAGGTGGGAGGATCTCTTGAGTTCAGGATTTCAAGACCAGCCTGGGGAACATAGTGACACTCCATCTCTACAAAAAAATAAAAATAAGTTAAATAAATTAGCTGGGTGTGCTGGTGTGCACCTTTAGTTCCAGCCACTTGTGAGGCCAAGGTTGGGACCAAATAAATTTAAAAATCAACAACAAGAGATTTTTATTTGGTGGAAACTGAGAATAAAAAATTATAATATCTGGCACTGTCCAGGGTAGAAGGAAATATCTAACTTAATAATGACTATAAAAGTTGACATGGTCTTTCTGGAATATAAACTAGTAATATGTGTTAAAAAAAGAAAACAACTAAAAATTTTCTCTTCTTTGATCTAGTAATTCCATTTCTAGGAGTTTGTCATGAAGAAATAATTCTAAAAGTACACAAAAATTATGCAAAATTATGTATAAAGATATTTATTATAATAAAAAATTGAAAGTCACCTATATTCTCAAATGTAGGAGATATGGAATGTTATGGAGCGTTATGGACTACTGTGTAACCATTAAAAATTATATTCCAAAAGTATTTTGAGATAAGGGGAAATCTCTATGTGTTGCTAGGCAAAGTAAACCGGGTAAGGCAGTATTTATGATATAATTTTAATTTTATTAGAGAAAATATATATGGACATATGCACAGAACATATGAATGATTATCCTTGGGTAGGGAGATCTAGGTGACATTTTTACTTTTTATATTAGAAAGTTTCTATGTAATGTGTATTGCATTGATAATACAGAATAATAAATTTTATTTTAATAAAGAACCATGTTGGCTAAGGGGGAGAAATAAAGTGTGGTAACACACTGGGAACACTGGAAACCCACCAAGGGGTTGCAAGTCCAGGTGCAGAATAAGAGAGAGAAACAGAGAAGCAGAGAAAGAACATTTTTAGGTTTGTAATCTTGGAGGTGCAACATCTCTGTTTGATGAATTTTCTGCTGATAAAGTAGAGATGGATAACATTGGAAATGAGACAGGCAAGATATTAGACAGGCCTTTGTCATACATATTGGAGTTTTCAAAAGTAGGGGCAAGCCATGGGATGGAGAACTTTCTAGCATGTACATAAGTCGTAGGGGAAAGAGGGAGTGGCTTAAAAGTCAACATTCTTCTCTCAACAACTGTGAAGAGGAAAGAAAGCAAATGCTGTGAGCTTCATGAGAAAAGTGGCTGGAAAGTCTTAGGTAGGGGCTGGGAGCAGGCAATAAGGGAAGAAAGGGAAGAGAGAACAGTCTAGTTTCTTGTCCTTAATTCCAGAGGTACTGGTAAGGAGGAAAAATGAATAATTTTAGTAGAAGAGTATATTAGTTAGCTAGGGCTGCCATAACAAAATACCATAGCCTGGGTGGCTTAAACAACAGACATTTATTTTCTCACAGTTCTGGAGGCTGGAAAGTCCAAGAGCCAGGTGCAGCAGGGTTATTGTTGGGTGAGGGCTCTCTCCTGGTTTGCAGACAGCCACCTTCTCCCTGTCCCTGCATAACATTTCCTCTGACTTCATTTAACCTTAATTACCTCCTAAAAGCCCTATCTCCAAATAGGTATCATATGGAGGCTGGGGTTTCAACACACAAAATTTGGGAGGACTTAATTCAGTTCAGAGCAGAGTTTTTAGCTTAACAATATTTTAGGACAAACATAAGTTTAAAAAAAAATCAAGGATATGGAATTATGTGTATGGAAAAGTTCAAAGGTTTATGGGTTTTTTTTTCCCCCATAACACAGCCAGTGAGGATGAGGGCAACGAGGCAAGTTAATTTAGGTTGTGGTGAGATTAAAAAAAAAAAAAAAGACCAGAATGCCAAGAGTAATGCCATTAGGATTACAGGTCTTTGCTAGACCCAGGCACTAATAAAGCTCTCTAAAATACTATCTTATCTTGGAGTAGAGAACCTGAGATAAAGATCCCTCAAATGTTTCCTCAAAGCACCTGGATGGAGGCAGGAAAGAGGAGCAAAGAAGGCGTGGGGAGGACTATTCGGTTGGCTAAAATAAGCCACAAATTGAGTTCTTATTTTGATTATGTGTAAGGTTTGTTTGATCTAGCTGCTTTTCCTTAGAGTTCAGTTTTACATATGCTTCGGCGCCCAACCAGCTTGTGTATTTTCAGGATTTTTTTCCTCTCTTTCTTTTCCTTCTTTGGTTGGGTTTTAGATCAGGGAGGGTAAGGACTGAGGGAAGCGAGGTCAGCAGACGAGACTCATTTCCCGGTTTGTCAGACTGTGCTCTTGACCCCTCCTCAGGACCTGTGATTAATACACGCTTTGTAGAGGAGACTTGGCAAACCCCGCTCTCCACAGGACCCGATTCATAATTCACAGCGAGCAGGAGGAGCAGGGTCTTTGTGGTGGCTTGTTGGCTCTTTGCTGCACAAAAAGCAATGCCTTCTGACCTTCGCTGTTATCTAATCAGGAAGTAGACAGTCCTGGCGTGTAGCTGAGTCCTCGTAGGGCTCTCTACAACTGTAAATTATGTTCGAGCTCCCCGGATCTGGGGCATGCCACACTTTACATTACTATTGTGTATCTTAAAATAAACAGCATCGCAAGCTGTTTATTTTGGTGTTACTATGTATGCAATTTTAAAACAGTGGTTACTTAAACAAATGTCTCTGTTCCCACAGCACTTGAAAGCCAGTGCTTGCTCCTGTGGTTTTGGATTTTGTCACTTCTGTTTGGATTATATTTGAAATCCACACTGTGAGCAGTTGGAATGAACCTGGCAGCACCTAAGACCAGGGCCTGCTGTTGGGCCCTGCGTTTCACCATGTGCAGCTCTCTTCCTCCCCACACTATGCTCTCCCTACCCTCTACGGGCCATATGCATGTGCACAAACCAGATATTTTGCTTTCTCTTTGGGGCTCTAAATTTATCCCCATGAGTGATCTAGAGAGTCATTTACTTTAAGTTCCTGAATGCTTTGCAATTTAATTGAAGAAGTGGTGTCGTCATGATTCTATAGCAAAATACTACTCCCAAATACTCATTTAAATTGTCATCTGTGCACTACAGATACAATGCATATTCCATTGACATAGCTTGGTGAAGATGAATGAGAAAGCACAGGGGTGGTAGACAAAAAGAATGTAAAAATATCAAAGTTTTGACAGTGACTTGCCCCATGACCTTCAGTTCTTATGCCTCTTCTACACAAGGGGTGAAACAGAAAGGTAGAAATTCTTAGTAGCTCATGCAATACTTGTGCTCAGATCGACTTTGGTTTGATTCACAGGAGGCTACTTACTAGTGCTGTTTATTTGGATGAGTTATTTAACATCTTTAACTCTTCATCTGTAAAATGGGTCAGATTGTCAGGGTGGGGTGGAACTGAAAAAAATAGAATATGTAAAACAGTCTATCTCTCTTGAACAAGGTTGGTACTCAATAATTACTTTTTCTCTTCTCATTCCAACCCTCACCCCATGACATAAATTATAGCTGCGGGTGGTCTGGGACTAGTCCTCTTGGCTTGAAGCTGGAGTTAATGTAGTGTGGGACCATCAATGACCGACCTGGCCTGCTGGGTGATGTTTGGGACTGTCATTACCCAGAGTATGTTTAACCATTAGCGATGGGGCCACAGCACTCCAGACTTCTCCATTCCCTGGCCTGTTTTTAAGGAGAGAAGCAGAGGCTAATTGGAAGTTTTGTATTATGTGTGCCTTACCCCCTGCCATTAGTGGAGTTATCAAATTATAATCATCTTTCCATCTTGATGTCATGAGTTTCTTCTGTTGTACTGGTACATTATAAGGGAATTTTTTCTTTTATTTGCTTGTTTATGAATGAATGGGTAGAAATCTACTTGGATTCTTAGGTATTTCAAGAAGTCTAAATTCTAGTGGTAAAATTCATTGCCTTTAATACTCGGACTCCAAATCAGCTTACACAATAATAATTTTTGTTCTCATAACTCAGTTATATAAATGAAATAATTTGTTTTGCATGTATAGATACTATTTACATTTTCCACAAAAACCAACACTACTTTAAAAATTGTATATTATAAGCCTGATAGATTGAAGTTGCATAATATAATAAATCTAAAACATTGATGAGATGATGTGGGTCTTACTGGCTAGATTGCCACGTTTCTCCTTCTTCTGAAGCACATGCGCAAGGTCCTATGCTGTAAAGAAGTGAAGACATTCCTTGGATCATTTAGATGCCGGCAAGGTCCAGTAATTGTTTCTTATTGCTCTCTATGATTCCATGAAGATTAACATGTAAAATATTTTGAGCATATGGATTTTTTATTCCACATATAAAGAAAATATTCAGTGATCATAGAGTGACTGAAAGCTTGGATGGAGCTTCAATATCTCTTATTAGCTGAGCTGTCTTGCACAAGTTATTTAACTTGTTAACAGTCTCCATTTCTTATCTTTGTAAAATAGGGATAATGATAATACTTCCTCCTAGGGTTGTTAGGATGGACAAAGGAGATAATGATGGGCCAGGCACTTACCACATTGCCTGCATTAAATACTGGGGGAGGTTGGCTCTTAATCACTATGTTGGCCCTTTAAGGGGACAAATACTTTTAAATTTCCCTAATAATTTGGAAGGTAAAATAAATTCAAAATTTTTGGTGTCATTGTTTCACCTCTGTCCTAAACACCATAGAATCCCATTTTGCTTGACGGAACACAAAAGAGGGGTGTGAGATAGAAATAAATGAAGGAATAAAAAGAGGACTTGTACTGTTGCTAGGTGATCTCCATTTTCACTCAGAGTGAGAGTGCATCCTGTCCTCCTTCCCTGCTGTGGTTGGTCTATCTCTTAGTTAGCGGTATTTTTCTTTTTTTAGTCTGCTTATTACCTTTCTCATAATGAGATATAATCAGGCACTTTTTTGTGTGTGAGGCCGGTTCTTGCTCTGTTGCCTAGGCTGGAGTGCAGTGGCACCATCATAGCTCGCTGCACTTCTGGGCTCAAGCGATCTTTGCACCTCAGCCTTCCAAGTAGCTGGGACTACAGGCATGACCCACCATACCCAGTTCACTTCTAAATGTTTTACTCTTAGTAGAGACAGGGTCTTGCTGTGTTGGCCAGGCTGGTCTCGAATCCCTGGGCTCAAGCGGATCCTCTGACTTCAGCCTCCCAAAGTGCAGGGATTACAGGGATGAGCCACCAACCCCGCCCACACTCTGTGTAGACGATTATTCTTTCTCCACAATTATAGCCATTTCGTCTCCTTTACCATGTTCTCTTTGACTTTCTGGTTTGACTGCATTTTCATTCTTCCTCATTTTTTTAACCTCCTATGTGTCACTCGTGTTTGATGTTCAAACAATTTTATTATTTTCTATCGGTTTGCGTCATCAGAAACAGGTCAAAATCCTTATTACAAAGAGATTGGAGGGGAATGTACTTTTTTGCCCTAATAAAACTAGATGGCATAGTGACAAGTGTGTGTTTGTTAAAAAGCAGTTAGCACAAATTAGAAATACTTCACAGCAGATGTGTTTTGTGAAAGGATATGCTAAAAAATTAAACAGAGAATACTTTCCGGTTATAATTTTAGAAAAATATTGTGCAATGAAGCAAATTTACAATTCACTTAAATCAACCTTTTTATAGAGTGTGTGCCTTCACGATAAAATTTTGACAATTCTGCAATTTGTTTCAGTGTTTCATTGAGGGGGTGGAAATCCATCTGCTAGTTATTTTGGGGGACACCATTGCATCAATAAAATGATTCCTAAGCTGTACACAGACTTCATTTTAAATTAATGTGTAGCTGTTTTATAATGTGTAGCTGTTTTAAGTATAAGTGACTTAGTTAAAGGCAAAAGTTCCTATTATATGCATAATAGTAGGAATTTCTTTTTTCTTTCTGTCAAACACAATCCCAGGGTACTCTACTCTCTAAGAACATCTTGGGCCCTGGGTTCTGGCAGACGTTTCTTATTCTTACTTCACTGATCCCTTTTCGAGCTGCTGGAGGGACTTTTTTTTAAGTTGCTACCGTTGATACAGTTGCTATTAATCACCGTCTGCCATGTTGTGACGCAGGTTTAATAACATCTCATTGAGTGGCTCTCGCAAACTGGAGGCTTACCAACAGCACTAGCCTTTGATATTCGACTCACACCAGGAAAAAGAAAATGTAGAGTTAAAAAAAAAAAACACTGCAAATAGAAAAAAGAACAAAAACTGGAGAAAACAGAGTGAAATCAAAAACAGATAGCTTTCTGTGTGCAGCTTAGTTTGCCATGGGAGCAGTGAAGCTATAAATCTCAGCAGTGTTGTTTGAAAACTGAACATGAGGCTGCTAAATTTATCATTCATTCTTTGTTGTTTCAGGGAGGGGAAGAGCTAGCTGACTTGGCTAACTTTGGATTCTGCCCCCTCCCATCAGTAACGTTTCATTTTTCTCCAAATAAAATCAAAATTTGTTTTTTCCTGGATCAAAGAATACTGGGTGATTTTTACCAATGGTTGGGGAAAGAAGGGGGAAAGGAGGACTGGCTTTGAGTCATCCATGTGCTGTGGGAGTGTGTGATTTCTTCCACTTCATAAATGTGGGGACAGGATGGTTTTCTTTCGTTATAGAAAGAAAGGATATACACATCTCCTACTATATACTTTAAAAATCCATATGTAGAATGTAAAAGCATGGAGAAAGTTCACCACCACGAGGATATCTAGAGCCTCGTGAAGCTGCAAAATTCCCTCCTTTTGTTTGCACTGGTGCTCTATGTTGCACTGCACAGGGGGAAAAAAAAGGTAGAAAGCAAGCCTGCTACAGATGTGACTAGCTATGAATATTCATGAGTGCCATTGCTCCTCCTTTCCTAGAGCATCCAGGCCTTTCTGATCTTCCTCTTGCACAGCTCCCAGATGCTCCCCCTGCCACCCACCCCACACTTCCCCCACCTCAAATCTGCCCTCCCTGACCAACCCTGGAACAAGACTGCAGTTTATTTCGATAACATCCTGGCATGATACAGTGATCGGTGGCCTTAGAAGTGTGTTTGTGTGTGTGTGTGCATGTGTGTGTGTGTGGATATACTCCTGCACCAAAACAAAGGGGGAAAAGAAAAAAAATGTAATTATCTACAGTTTTATGAATTCAACTCCCCTTAATGTTCATTATTTAAACCAGCAGCAATTACAAGTTCAAAGGGGTTTAGAGGGCCAGCAACCCGCATAATCACTGCCAAATTAAGCGGGACTCATTCGTCACAGGAGAGTACACCCTGAGCAGTGAATCATGCATGCCGTGACAGGCTCTGATTTACATAAAGCAGAAATCTGTGCCCTCTGGGGCTGCACGTTACTTCTTCTCAGTAGCCCTGTGATACGTGAATTTTCTTTTGGTATTAGGAAGCTGATACTGCCTCCGACATGGCATAGCGTTCCGCTAAATATTGACAATAGCTTTTCACTTTAGTGTATACTTGAGCTCAAGTCACATGTTGGGCCACAATGTCAGTGCAATTCTGATTCTGGGAAAGAAAAGAATTTGTTTCCCCTAAAGTTTCTGAATTAAGTACTTTTATGATTAAAAAGAATGAGAGTTTGGTGGTACAGTTGTGTTTCCTTTTATCCCAATCTGTTCAGGTCCATAGTTAAAAATCTATGGTGCTGATAAGGAGCAAAAAAAAAAAAAAACCCTTAGACCTATGACCTAAGTGCCTGAAGGGAGTGATCCGTTGAGGAATGCCCCCTAAGGCCCTTTCCTGTTTGGCATTTAGAGAACTTTTGAGTGTTACCTAGTGACAGTTGGAGACGATAATTGAAGTAACCTGTGCTCTGAAGCTGGACTTTGTGTTACCAAACTTGAGAGGACTTCTGATTGGATGGTCCAGGAAACCTGCCTGAGTGCCGTCATCAGCCATTGAAATCTCTTGGGTCTAAACAATAAAAAATTCCAGAATTAAGTTCAAATCAAAATGCATTTGGTTTAGGATGATTGTGTCAGACACCAAAACAACATATGTAGATTTTTATCCCCCATTCTTAGATGTTCTCTCTTGTCTCTTTAGGCAAACCTTGGCACTATTTTATCAGTTGTTTTCTCTCTTTTGGGAAGAGCTCATTTTTCCATTTGTGGCTCAATCATCTTGGTGTTATGATGTCATTTCCCCACACAGTCATTCTCTTTTCTCAGATATAGTACTGCATCCACACTTAGGATTGGAAGCATTTGGGCTTTGAGAATTAGTTTGGCAATTTGGGAGATAATCGACCCTTGTTTTTGTGCTGACTTTGAAGTGCAGATAAAGGTCTTGTGGTTTTGTGTCTTGTAACTGGGTCTACGCTTCACATATATCTAAGCAGTGGGTTTAAGAAGTTCTTTGCAATAGATCACAGTAGTTTGTGAAGCAATGTGACAAAATGGACCCAAAGCACCCTTAAACAGGCTTCCTGGTGTTCTGCTATTGTTAACATTCTACCACCACCACTCAAAGCCTCCAAAATTTCATCTTGCCATTAAGTCTCTAGATACTTTGTTTCCCTGGGTTCTTGCCCATATCTTCCTCCCTGAGATTCTTCACCAAGTGGAGATTTTGTATGCTCAAGTGTGAAGTTACAGAAATGTTGTCTCTACTGTCACAAGTATACTGTAAGGTGGCCTGCTTATACTGGAAAGAGGAGTAAGCCAGGAATATCAGTCCCAGGTTAGTCCAGTTAAGAAACCAGGTTAAATGGACAAGTTGTTTCACCTCTCTGAGCTTCAGTTTCTTCAGTTGTAAAATGGGTATAGTCATTTCTATTTTGCTTAACCCAGAAGTTGTTATAAGGAGTGGTAGTTGTTAATTTTATTTCATTGCCAAAGCTCTGAATTCATTGAGCTGTTTGAGTTCCTCCTAGAATATATATATGTATTATATATATATGTAATATATTAGCAATATTATATATATATATAATTTTTTTTTTTGAGTTGGAGTTTTGCTCTTGTTGCCCAGGCTGGAGTACAAAGGCGTGACCTCGGCTGACTGCAATCTCTGCCTCCTGGGTTCAAGTGATTCTCCTGCCTCAGTCTCTGGAGTAGCTGGGATTACAGGCGCCCACCACCATGCCCAGCTAATTTTTTGTATGTTTAGTAGAGACGGGGTTTCACCATGTTGGTCAGGCTAGTCTTGAACTTCTGACTTCAGGTGATCCATCCACCTCGGCCTCCTAAAGTGCTGGGATTACAGGTGTGAGCCACGGTGCCTGGCCTTAAAATCATCTTTTTTCCTCTCCTCTCTTCTGCTCTTCTGTGTTCCTCAGAAGTAAGATCCTTTCTCTCTCGTTTCTTCAGGCCTTATTCTCACATCCAGGCTGAGCTTTGCTGTAAGGTGCCATCTGGCACTCTCAGTGGAAGGATTCTCCTGGACTCCATGAAATCTTCCAAGCCAGTTTCCTTTCTCTCATCACTACCTCTAGAGTCCTAGGGAAGAAGAATCAACATTTTGACTTGCGTTCTTGTGTGGTCCCCTCCTCCAGAACTCATCCTTCTTTTTTTCTGTTTAAATAATTTCATGCCTTTTAAAACCCAAATACTGTCAAGCTTTTAGGGTCACTGAGATTGAAATATGCATTTGCAGGAGGTAAACATTGGTAGACAAATTTATATACTGTAATATATACCTAAAGTGCCAAAAAAAGCCACATTGAAAAAATATTATTCTAACCTTTCATATGTACACCTGAAAAATATAGTCAATGACTTGCAAATCCAAATTAGATTTATAGTAAATTATTTAAAGATATTCTAATAAAGAATTTAATGTAATTGAATTTGTACACATTAGGGCAATCTTAACTAGCATGCTGGCAAAAATGGCCATATAGTAGTACCCTAGGTAGCATATTGATATTACAAATATATGTAAAATAGGCCGTATATAGATGCACACACATGCATGTATACACACAAACAAGCAAAGTGTGGTAAGGTAGAACCTATGCAAAATAGGGGAAGAATTGTAACATTTTCTCAGTGAAATTCATGGGACCTTTTTGTGGGCACACGTCACCTGTGGACTACTTTGTAACAGGCCTATGAATAGGATGCATGATTAGATTCTGAGGTTCAGTTAGTGATAAAAACGGAAGCATGCTTTCTTTGCAAACAAATAGTGCATCTCTTCATTCACTTCTTTCTTAGCAATCTATGGTTTCTAACATGGCCATACCACTGGGAAAGGACTGAGGAACAAGGAGATGTTTTAATGATCAAATTTCACCTGCTTTGGTCCAGCCTCTATAAAATCTTGCTGCTATATTGAACCAAAGTACCCATCAATGTTCCTTTTATTGGACATGCTTCATATATTGTGATGAGATTATATGCATCCGTAGAGGTTGTTAGGAAAAACTTAACATGCCACTGATGTGCAATGAAGGAAAGTTAATTGTGTTGATGCCACAAAACTGCATCAATGAGTAGATCCCTCTGTCAGGAGTGTTAATCTGTCTTGAATAAAAACTGCTACACAGGTTTGTAACCAATAGCCTAAGGTAAAACCTGGTATTAATAAACATATGGCAATGAATCAAGCCACAACTATCTTTATTCACATAGGGATCTATGGACTGTAAAACCACCACCGGGCGCAGTGCCTCACACCTGTAATCCCAGCACTTTAGGAGACTGAGGTGGGCAGATCACGAGGTCAGGAGTTCCAGACTAGCCTGACCAACATGATGAAACCCCATCTCTACTAAAAATACAAAAATTAGCCAGGTGTGGTGGTACACGCCTGTAATCCCAGCTACTCAGGAGGCTGAGACAAAAGAATTGCTTGAACCTGGGAGGCAGAGGTTGCAGTGAGCCGAGATCAGGCCACTGCACTCCAGCCTGGGTGACAGAATGAGACTCCATCTCAAAAAAAAAAAAAAAAAAAAAAAAAAAAAACCACTGATAGATGCTGGTCTGTAAACATAATCTTTTTTCATATTGCTCACAGAATTTAAGTCAAATGCAGCTACTGACAACGCACATGTCTCTTTTTCAGTTTCTATCATATTATCAGTAATACACACTTTCATTAATCAAGAAAGCTAATTCTTTTGGACTCTGCATCTATATACATTTGTATCTTAATAAAGAACTTCATTTTTCTATTTTGAAATGTCTGCGTATAATTAACTATCCTGGAAAATTTCAACTATCTTGGACTTATATCCAAGCAACTCTTATATAATTCAACTGCATCTGAAATTGGTCATCATTGAAGGTGACAAATTGGGAAATGAATAAGATTTGCATGACTGAATTTTGTGTGGAGACAAGAGATAACTACTTTGAAAAGTTACGTATCTAAATTTAGTAAGTGAGCTTTTACTCTGTGTGATATAATATCCCTAACCCAAAATATACTTACATACAGAGCTATTTACATGTGTTCATCTGGAGGACGGTCTATAGACTACATGACATTTCAGGTACATTCCAGTTCAATAAATCTTTCCCTGTCATGTCTTCGTAAGGAGCAATAGACTATTGTTTTGTTTCATTTGGAGAACAGTGGCTAAACCTGAAGCTAAATACAGAGAGATGGGCAAAAGGAGATATGATAAGAATGACGGTGTTTGTGAACTTGGACCTGATTTGTCTTATGCTCCCTAAATCATTTTGGGTGCAATTAATATTGTGAATTAGACATTTTTCTTGGGTGAGGGAAGTAGAGATGTGAATGTGAGTTTGGAAGGAGCAAGAGATAAAGCTAGATCAGCAATAAATCCACCCTCAACCCCCATTCAATTAAGTTTTAAAATTCATTTTAAACAGCTGATCTGAATAACGCTAAGGAGCTTTGGAGATTCATCTAAAACAGTGCTTTTGGCCGGGTGCCGTGGCTCAAACCTGCAATCCCAGCACTGGCGGAGGCCGATGGGGGTGGATTGCTTGAGCCCAGGAGTTCGAGGGCCAGCCTGAGCAATATGGTGAAACCCTCTGTCTACCAAAAAAAATTAGGAAGGCATGGTGGCATGCGTCTGTAGTCCCAGTTACTCCAGAGGCTTAGGGGTGAGGATCTCTTGAGCCCAGGAGGCACAGGTTGCAGTGAGCCAAGATCATGTCACTGCACTCCAGCCTGGGGTACAGAGGGAGACCCTGTCTGAAAACAAAGAAATAGGCCGGGCGTGGTGGCTCATGCCTGTAATCTCAGCACTTTGGGAGGCCAAGATGGGCGGATCATGAGGTCAGGAGATCCAGACCATCCTGGCTAACATGGTGAAACCCCGTCTCTACTAAAAATACAAAAAATTAGCCAGGTGTGGTGGTGGGTGCCTGTAGTCCCAGCTACTCGGGAGGCTGAGGCAGGAGAATGGCGTGAACCCAGGATGCAGAGCTTGCAGTGAGCCGAGATCGCGCCACTGCACTCCAGCCTGGGCAACAGAACAAGATTCTGTCTCAAAACAAAACAAAACAAAACAAAAAAAACCCACAGTGCTTTCCAGGATTATTTTTCAGGCTGTGAAAAGCATGGGTTAGAACACATCAAATGGGGTGTGTCTCCCTTACCTCCATTAACTGTAAGGACATTAATTCAATGTTCTTATTCATTTATTCACTTATTCTGCTTTTATTGAACAACCACTAAATACATTAGGTGCTAGTTTAACTGATTTAGTTTTTTAATTCATATCCATATTTACTCTGTGTATCTATGTAGACACATGTTAGAATTGTCAACATTCATTTATATTTTTTGTACCCAAATCAATTTTTTTCAGACCCTCCTTTTCAATCTCCAGATCCTTGTCAATAGCAGACTGAAGAAGTGAAGAAATCTTTAAATTTTCCAAGGATAATTTTGTGAAGTATCAGAGAGACTAGGAAGCAAGTTTCTAGAATACTTTTTCCAAATTGAATGACTTCATAATATTTGAAGCGTAATTCTTCATTGCCATAAACTCACTCCAAAGGATATATTTTAAAACACTTTCATTGTCTTAATAGACACAATCTTTTGTGTAAATGTTTCTCCAGCCAGTATTTTCCCATTTACACAACACTTAGGTATCCTAGCAGTGCTAAAATAAACATTGGCTTCAGCTTAACAGGACAAATGTTTGCACTCTGGAATTGTTTGTCAATGAAATAAATATTTCCAACCCAAAACAAAACAAACCTGAACCCCAAATGTATTAATGTGAAGATGAGACCAAATTTATATTGGGTTTATGCTCAAGTTGACATCTTATTTTTTTTTATTTTTTATTTTTTTTTGAGACGGAGTCTCGCTCTGTCGCCCAGGCTGGAGTGCAGTGGCGCGATCTCGGCTCACTGCAAGCTCCGCCTCCCAGGTTCATGCCATTCTCTTGCCTCAGCCTCCCGAGTAGCTGGGACTATAGGCGCCCGCCACCACGCCTGGTTAATTTTTTGTATTTTTAGTAGAGACAGGGTTTCACCGTGTTAGCCAGGATGGTCTCTATCTCCTGACCTTGTGATCTGCCCGCCTCGGCCTCCCAAAGTGCTGGGATTACAGGCGTAAGCCACCACGCCTGACCCTTATTTTAATTCTTATGGTCACAGAGACCATACTTTTATGGGTTATCTTAAGGAATTCAATCAATGGAAAAAAGTGATAATTTAAGAGGGGGGAGATATGTTTACTGGTTTAGGGTTCCATTCTGCTTTATTCTCAGCCTGAAAATTCTCCTTTATACCTAAATATGTGCAGCACAAAATGTCGTTTCTTATGTTTGTTCCTATAATGCGTTCTGGCACTTATGTGATGCTTCACTTAAAAATACTTAGCTCTTTCTTTTTCCCCCCAAATCAATAACTTTAATGCCTGCTCCAAATAAGCTAAAATAGTTTTGATAATTTTCTAGCAAATGGCAAACTTTTACCTTTTAGCAGTTAAAAACTTTCTGAAATATTTAAAAATCACTTTGACAGTATATTAAAGTGAGTGAAAGTCTTTATCTAAAGATCCCACTCAACTTTTCGTGTACTTAAAATATTATAGGAAAATTGAGGAGGTGACTTATTATAGAAATAAGAAGACTTAAATGAATAAATTTTCTGAAAGGAAAGTGACTCTTGTGAAAGATCTCAAATGGCAGACTTCATTTTGTGTTTTATCTTTGCTGGCTTTTACTCACCTACACTCATTTACAAATCCATGAAAATGGTTCAAAGGTCATTGGTGAAACTTGAGAACAAATGCAAAACTTCCAACTATGGGAAATAGGTAGAAATACATTTTAAAAACATTGGGTTTATTAAATTGGGTTGATTTTATTACTAATTTATAAATCAGTCAAAAATGTAACGCCAAGTTCATTGTCCTAGAGCGAATATAACTATAGTTAGCAAGCCAGCTAGATAATCTGTAGGCAGTTGGTGATTAAACTAAAAATAATCTAGTGGAAAAAAATTGAAATATTCTTTAAACATTCTTTCATTGACCGGCTATATTCAGGATAATGGTAGCATTAAAATGAATACTTTTCTACTGTTTAATTCTCTGCGTTCGATTTAACATTTTTAAAAAGGTATCCTTATTGATAGCAGACGTTTCAGCCTACCCTTGTATTTCTTACATGAAGAGGAGAATGTTAGGTTTTAAAATCATTAAGTTTTGCTATATATTGAAAAGTTGTTTTCTAGAGGTCTGCAGACCTCTTGCAGACAACATTATTCTAGGTGTTAGCATACTGATGAAACATCAAGGATATTTATCAAAAATACCAACTGCCTCTTTATTAACATAGCAAAGGCTTATGGACATTAATCTTAGATGGCGTTTTTAAAATTGAAGTTTTAAAGAATCAGAATGAGGAACAGAGAATTTTCTAAATCAGTGGTCCCCAAGTGTGTATTCACAAAAAGGTGATGGGAAGCTGTGTTAGTTAGAATGTTTTTGCCTTAAAATAACAGAAAAATATTTCACAAACTGGCTTAAAGGATAGTGAGGAAGTTCCAAGGTGTGTGGTATGGTGGACTCCAAGAGTCAGTGGTTCAGTCATGTCCCCAGAGACCCAGGGTGTCTCTGCTGCTCTTTGTTCACATGCCGGCACCACCCTCAGGGAGGGTTTCTGCATAGTTGTAACATGACTGCCAGGGCTACAGGCCACTTTATTCAGGTCCAAGTGGCTTCTTGTGAATTCTCTTTTTCTTTCTTTCTTATTTATTTATTTATTTATTGAGATGGGACCTTGCTATGTTGCGCAGACTGGTCTTGAACCCCTGGCTTCCATTGATCCTCCCACCTCCGCCTCCTGGATAGCTGAGATTACAGCTGTGCTCTAATATACCTGGCTGGATCTCTTTTGAGAGCTAGGCTTCCCAGAAGCCTCTAGCAAAAGTCTTTTCATGTGGGCCAGAAGTTGGTCACACTGGCAAGGAAATCGGATTGCCCTCAGACAAATTGGACCCATCCTTAAAGTTGGAAGGATGCTCAAAAGAGGTTTAATTCCTTACTGTCAGCCTTATACACTGTTATTATTCTCATTTCACATGTTAAGCAAGTACATAATGCCCAGAGAGATTAAATATATTCGTCTAGACTTACTCAGCTAGTAAAAGGTGGCAGACGATCCTACAACCTCGGCTATCAGTGTAAGACACACAGATTTAGTCTTTTCATATATATTTAACAATTTCCAACCCCTTCCTTCTAAAAAAGATACATTCAAAACTGGGTCTGGCCTGGAAAGAGTACATGAAGCAGTACATGTTTTCATGAAGCTACAACAGAATGGCTTTAAAAACTTAGCCAACAGGAGTTTGTTTTTACTTTTATTCAGGCATTTAACATGGTTATTGGCTTATCCATGAAGAAGCAAGTTAAGTTTTTGTCAGGTGAACAACGAACAGTTCTGCATCTCTAGTGAGCTACGTCAGTTGTAAGAGGGAAGATTTTTGAGGAAAAAATTTCATTGGCACTAGCCCTAGTGATTAAGAGACGCATATAGCTATCAAATATTTGTGAGTAGAGAACAGGGACAAGATAGGTAATGAAGGAAGGAGTGATTTAAAGTAGACTTGCATAGATTGAAGGTGAACAATATAGTTTATAGACCATGGATCAAGCTGTGATGGAGAAGATATAAGGTCACACCCCTGAAAGTGTTAGAAAAGCTGACATCTTAATTTCTCCAGATAATAGAAATTGTAACCATTTGCATAAAGTGAAATTAATTTATATGGTTACGATACCCAAACATTCTGTATCCTTCAGAGGGAAAGAGATACTGCCAGGCCATGGCTTAATTTGGGAATTATTTATAGCTAATTATCTTTACTTCTGTCAACAGTTTAATGATTTTTTATGGTATGAAAAACAGTAGCAATGCTGAATCACTATCAAAAGTCAGCATTCAAAAAATTAAATAAATGGAAAAATCAGTGGTCCAAATAGTGCAAAAAAAATGTGTATTATGCACAGGCAAGATTTATTTGTTTCAGAGTTTATGTAAACAAATACTTAGAACAAGGGAAGAAGATTATAAGTAATTGTATAACAATAAAAATGATTCAGTACTCCACCTCCCAAAGGATCTTTAAGTGCTTTACAGAACCCCCCATTTCATTGAGAGATGTGTAATAGATTCATTCACTTACATACGTAGAAATAACTTGTCATGCCGTTAAATTCCTCTTCTATAGGAATCAAATTAGTGTTGGGAACTCATTGTCAAAAGTTACATCATGGGCCCAGTGGCGTACACCTGTAATCCCAGGACTTTGGGAAGCCAAGGAGGGCGGATGACTTGAGCTCAGAAGTTTGAGACCAGCCTGGGCAACATGACAACGCCTCCTCTCTACAAAAAAAATACAAAAATTAGGTGGACATGGTGGTGCACATCTGTAGTCCAAGCAACTTGGGAGGCTGAGAGGCGGAGGATCTCTTGAGCCCGGAGGCTGCAGTGAGCAGAGATCACGCTACTGCACTCAGCCTGGTTGACAGAGGGAGACCTTATCTCAAAAAAAAAAGTTCCATCATGATGGGTAGGACTGGCCTACAGAATGCAGTAAACTAGTTAGTAAATAATGTCTGGATGGTGGTGCGTCAGCAGGAATGGTACTGTGACATGCTGGTCCCTGGAGGGAGGTGTTGCTGCCACCACACCTGAAAGCTTTGAGCTCCTCAGAGGATTCACTGGAGACCTAGATTGTTCCATTCGTGCTTTCAGTTAAGTCAACTGAGCAACTGACTCCCTGCTGAAGTCCCACTGTTCACTTTTCTCATATTCGTTTTTTATCATCTTACTCTTTCTCCTAAAAATGTCCTTTGACTTTTCTAATCAGCTTTATATTTCATTACGAACTTACAGAAAAACTCACTTTCACCAGGAGTGGCTGGATAACATCATGGTGAGGGCATGCGTTAATGAACATGACTTCTTTCACAGTGTGCTCATGTAGCCATGATGTTGAAAAGGCAAGTTAAATAAGCTTTTGATAGTAGATGTTTCAACATGGTTTTTATGAATTGGAATTTTTTAGAACATCAGGTAAAATCAACCAGAGGCTCCAACATGACTTTCTCTGCCCCATAATCTTTTTTCTTGTGTTTTTAAAATTGGTATATCATAATTGTACATATTTGGGGGAAGTACATGTGGTATTTTGGTACATGCATACAATGTGTTAGGATCAAATCAGGATAATTGGGATATCCATCACCTCAAACATTTATCTTTTCTTTGTGTTGGGAACATGCCTCATAATCTTGATTGTAACACTAGATTATAATCTTGATGGAACATTATCTGCCATGTAGTGTTTTGTTGGCTGATGTGGCTCAAAGCCTACCAAGGCATGATCTTAGTGTTATGCAAGGGATCCTGCTGGGCTTTGTCTGACCAAGTCTGGGTCTTGTTCTGGAATCTCCATGGGTACTATCAGTCTGCGGTATCAAGAGTGCTAATGACAGGCCTTGAGGCAGAGATGTGGACGTGTACAAAGAGCAAGCAGCTCAATCTGAAGCACATGGGGCACATGGGGCATGCTGACACGTGTAACAGAATCATCTATTGAGGCCATTTCCAGTTCTATTATTCTGTGAGTCTATGACGTTTCCTGACATCATAGAAGATTATTTTCCTTTTCCTGGAGAATTGGCTGATAATGCCTACAGCAATGAAGGGCCTCACCTGCTCAGGCTGTTTTGTGCTTGAACATCACAGTTGAAATTTATTGCTAGAATTCTGATTCTAGCACTGTATTCAAGATGGCAGCACTTATTAGCAGAGAATTATCAAGTTCACGTGCTCTCTGAGCAAGAAAAGCCCTTAGTTATCCTAAGATTTTGGTATAGATAATTATTTCTCTTGAGTACAGGAAGAGCACTTCATAACCTGTTTAAAAGTATTTTTTTCCCTGTTTTTAGCTTTGGAATGGTAAGTAGAAACTGCTAGGCATGACCAACAATTAAAGTCATCCAGTAGTTGTGGAGGCCCAAAAGCCAACCTGAGATTTCTCATGTCAGTTAAGGAAATTTTAATTGCTCATTTACATTTCATCTCAGTCATTTTTGGCTGCTGTAACAAAATACCATAAACTATTCAGTTTATAAACAACAGACATTTATTTCTCACAGTCCTGGAGGCTGGGAAGTCCAAGATGATGGTGCTGGCAAATTCAGTGTCTGGTGACGGCTTACTTCCCGGTGTAGAGACAGCCGTCTCAATATGTCCTCATATGGCAGAAGGGGTGAGGGAGCTCTCCAGGGTCTCTTTTATAAAGGCACTAATCCCATTTGTGAGAGCTCCATCCTCATGACCTAATCACCTACTGGAAGGCCCCACTTCCTAATATCCTCACATTGGGGGTTAGAATTTCAACCCCCAAATATGAATTTGGGAAAGACAGAAACATTCAGTCTATAGCACACTGTATCATGGGGAACAATATTTTAGGAAGAAATTTGGAGAAAGAAGAAGATTTCAAAAGTCAGGACCACTTCTTAGTACATAAAATGGCCTGTTGATATTAGTAAGAACTACTAATTTCTCACTAATGGCTACAGCAAGTGTCATATGGAGTCCAACATGTTCGTATCTAAGTGACAGAACTCTTGCCTTTTATTGATTTTTTTTTTACTTTGCCTTCCCTCTCTTCTAAATTTAAAAAAAATCAAAATGTATGAAGTCTAAAATATTGACAATTTTAAAACAGAAAATTTAGCCAGTGGTGTTTTTGTTGTTGTTGTTGTTGTTGTTTACCCTGGAAGACTTATTCATATCATATTTGAGCAAAAGTGAGTGTCTGATGAATGCAAAGCTTTCAGCTTTCTGAGAAGTATTTTCTGGAGTATCACACAGAGTCTATGGCAGAGTCTATGGCCCAGTGAAATCAGAATGTGCAGGTCCATTTAGGCTAGAGGGAGGGTCTCTGCTAAAAGGGCAGAATAATCAGAGGGTGTTTCTGTCTCACTGTGCAGCAGGTTGGTTTGCTCTGGGCTCCCTCTGTGGGTGCCAAACTAAATGCTCAAGGCTGTCCTGCAGCTGTGGTCAGTCATTCAAGGAAAAATCTTTGTGGAGGTAAGTGAGCCCTCCAGGAGACATGGTTTTATAGACTTTCCATATTACTTAGGTATTGGGAGGATGGCTCTGATAAAAACAGTGCACTTAATAAATTTAAAAATAAAACAAATTTTGTTGTAGCACTGTCTTCTTAGAAATCTTCCAATTGAAAGCAAATAAAATAAAAAGAATAAAAACTTTAGTTTTCACTCCAAACAGCCTCCTTTCCTGTGCAACTATATAATGGAAATACTTCATTACATCTATTTCATTGTCTCGTTTAAATGAAAGTAAATGTAAGAAAAAGTGGGCCAAGATGTGAAATATACGAAGCTCCTTCACCCCCTTCATTAATCCCTACCACTAAAATACAGATGAATTATTAAGAAAAAAATGCTACTAGATGAGGAAACTAATCAAAATCACTTAAACCAAAATGTTGCCTGACCGTATATTCATTTATTCACCAATATTTAGTGGTCTTTATTTTCCTTCTGCGGGCAAGTACTTCACTAAGTGAAAGGAGGATGCAAAGATGAGTCAGAACCCAGCCTGCCCTCAAGAAATTTAAACACATGTAGGAGAGATAAAATGTGAATATGTAACATAAATTAAAAGTAAAAAGTGAAAAGTGTCAAAAGAAAACTATGGGTACAGGGCTATGGGAGTTGGAGGAAGGAAAGATTACTTCCAGCTGAAGAAATTAGTAGATGTTTTAAGGAGGCTGCAGAAGCGGGGAGGAGGAGGGAGAACTTTGAAGGCAGGTGATGGGGTGGGGGTGGGGGCTGGAGCCAGCAGGACGGTGCAGGGAATGTATGGGAAGCAGTGATTAGCAGGCATTGCTTCCATCAAGGCTGAGATAAGGCTGCCTGAGCAACAGGAAATGATGTTGGGAGGGCAGGTCTATTCAGACTAGAGACCACATTGGTTAAGGATTTCAGATATAATTGGGTGGAGAATGAGTTTTTGAGCAAGAAACAGACAGAATATTGTTATAATTCAGAACAATTAGTTTGGAAAAGTTTAATCAGATGGGTTGAAATGCCAAAAAAAATGAGATAGAATACTCATTACAAGGCTTTTGTGTAATAAAAATAAGTGTTTCACAAAGTACGGATGATGTACGGTTTGTGGCACGTATGGCAAATCTAAGTGCTATTCAGATTTTAATAATAACATAGGTTTAAGTACATATTTAAAAATATAATTTGTATATCGAACCTCTTATTCTATAAACTATTGCCATGGATGAATCTAAAGAAAACAATGTAGGTCAAGTAAATTTAAAATATTAAATAAATAATATAGTGCATGTGATCTGCCCATATTTCCCAAATCTTGAAGGCCTTAGGGGAATGACTAAAGGTTGCAAAAGCCTGATCTAAGTGTAAGCTAATGAGTTTCTACCTTAGGGCAATGGAAATGGAAGTGAGGAGATAAGTATGAGAAATAGTCTGGAGGAAGAATCTGCATATTCTGGCAATCTAAGTGTGGTGAACAGGGAAAGAGGGGGAAGCAATCCAACATACTGCTAGGGTTTTGGGCCTGACTATATTAGAATGCCAGTAACTATTCAAATAAATAAAACAGGAGTAGGTTTATGAGAAAATGAGAGTCCAGTATATGAGCATGTACCAGGCATTTGAAATGCAGAACTAAAGGGCTGGAGTAGGAAGAGATTTAGAATCAGCCTCTGATTCTCAAGGGTCCAAGGTAGTAGCTGAAGTGGTGAGATTGTTACTGAGGACTCTAGAGAAGAGGGCCAAGGATAGATCCTTGGGAAAGTATACTTAGGAATGGCAGCAGCTAGAGAGGCCCAAGAAGATACTAGAGAACTAAGAAGATAAGTGAGAAAATACTTCTTCTCTTAGTCATGAAAGATTACTTGAAGCCTGAGCCCCCAGTATAGCCCTGTGATTGGCATCAGGTAGTTGCTAAATAAATGTTAATGCAAAAGAAATGCATAATCAACAGATCAAGGTCGACAGAGAAGGGTGAGGGGACCAAAGGGAGAAAATACCAATGAATTTGGTCGTGAGGAAGTCATTGGTGACCTTTCGGTCTGTAGAGTCTCAGTGGAGTGACAAGGGCAGAAGCCAGATTGCAAGAAGGGAAGGACAGAGTGGGGGGTCCGGAAGTGGACTTTTCTTTCAAGACCTGTGAAAATAGAGAGGATCCTAGCTTGGGAGGGGGCAGGGAGCGGAGCTGAGAAAAGTTGCTTGTTTTTTGCTTCTCTTCTTTTAAAGAATACGGTATGCTCATGCACGTTTGTAAACAAGAAGAAAGGATCTGGTAGAAGTGAAGAGATTGAAAATTCAAGGGATGGGAGAATATGGGCAAATTGATGGGAAAAATAAGTGGGGGAAAATCAAAGGCACACATAGGAAGAATAGCCTTGGCAACGTGGAAGAATGGCTCTTTCTCTGACAGTGGGTGGGAGTAAATACAATTAGCGATACGAAGAGGAGAAAAAAAGGGGAAGCTCATTTTGACTTTGGTTATTTCATTTAAGTAGTAAGATCATCTTCAAGTAGTATCAAGACTGGGGTTTGCTCCTTGGGAAACATGAAAAGCTTGGCCATTTTCAGTGTAGGGGTTGTGGTTGCAGAAAGATGAAGAGTAAATCTTCTCACTGCAGTTGAGGCTGGCAAGCTTGGGTAATGGTGGTAAAGAGACCTCCAGTCCTTATTAGGATGTAAAGACCTTATTTTCTATTTAGCTTAGTTCAAATACCATCAAGCAGACAGTGAAGGAAGTAGAGTGGCTCCTAAAAGCAGCAGCCCTAATCTTCTGTTTCTCAAAAAACCTCTTTGTAGTCATTCTTAATTATGACCTTGTGATACATAGGTCCTATTAATTGATTCAACCAATTGAGACACTGAGGCCTAAAGAAATTATTGGCTATAATAATGAGGTGATTGCCTTAGCTATCACGCCAGATTTGCTCTTTTGTTTTCTCCTGATATTTTAAACTCTTCCTTGCTGGAATATTAATAACTCAAAGATAAAAAGGGTACAACTTGTTTCCATGTGGGAGGTAGGAAGAACATTGCTTTTGGAGTCAGTTCTAGGCCTGGTGACTCTTTGACTTGCCAGTTGTGTGCCATGATCACTCCAAGCATCCATTTTCTCATGTGTAAAAAGCATGTTAAAAATTTTAAATGAGGAGTTTAAAAATTACACTCCCAGTAGGCTTACTATGAGGACTAAAATAAATAAAAGTGTGAAATGCAGTGCCAAGCACATAATAGCTGCTCAATAAATGGAAGCTAAATTATTTTCCACAGTTATCTTTCAAATTTCACTTTGATCAGTTTTCACAGACTATCTTCTAAGCAAATTCTGTAGGTGTTTGCCTTCGGAAAAGTGCGTTTGTTGTCAGTGAATGGTTACAGGGAAAAGGAGATACTTGTCATGCAGCTGGAAACATGAAAACTTGGCCCTGTGTTCTTAAAAATGAAAACTCCCTGCAGGATGGGTCAAGTTGCTACCATAGGCTGGAGCCTATGATTCTCAGAGCAGCATCACTCTTAATGGCACTGTTCTGCATGCCCTTACCTTGCTCATTTTGCTGGGCTCAGTACTAATTTTCATCCCCTAGGCAGGCAAACTAAGTGTCATTGTGGCAGTTCCTTCCATACTAAGAGGAAGCATTGATCACTAAGAGTCAGCATGGTTTACTATGAGTAAATTAAACCAGACCTATCTTGACCTCTGACAAGGTTGTCGTGATGACCATGTCAGTTTGGTTCCTTGCTGTATGCCCAGTGTCTGACACTGATCCTAGCATATAGTAGACACTCTATATATTAAATAAATGAGCCAACAATGTCCTTGTGAGCATAATGAAAAATTACTGGCCAGTGAGAGTTTCGTTGGATGGCTTTGTAATGAAAGACAGCACAAAGAGATTGCTAGCACCTGAGCTCAATTGGCTTTGTCTTCAGGCCAGTTATACGCAATTATTTTCAAAATGATGAATTGATTGAGGACACTGATAACTCTACCTGAAGATGAAGAAAGAGCCAACGTGTTAAATGTCAGAAACAGAATCCAAAGAAATCCTAAGAAAGAGCACAGAAGAATGGCAAGAACTAGTCATGTATAGTTAGAATGCTTAAGATTTGAATCTTGGTTTCAGCCAGCACTTGGAGTGTGACCATCAGCAATTTGCTTAATCTTCCAGGCTTAGTTTCATCAACTAAGTTAGGAGGGGAATCTCTACCTCACAGGGCTCTTGCATGAATGAAACGTTTGGCGTAATACGGAAGCCCTCAGAGCAGTACGCTTCAAGCAGTTTATGAAGTCCTTAGCGTCTTTCTTATGGCCGAAAATAGTTTGGAATGGGTTGAAACAATGGGCCAACCTAACCAGATGAAACTGTAAAGAAGATAAATGTAAAGAGTGTTTAAGTACCATAATTTAATTATACAAATATAAGACAGGAGCTATGTAACAGAGGAGAGATTTTAGCTGACAGTAAGCATGGAATGATTTGGAAGAAAAAGAAAAGCCTTAGCCAGGCACTGGGGCTCATGTCTGTAATCTCAGCACTTTGGGAGGCTGAGGTGGAAGGATCACTTGAGTCCATGAGTTTGAGACCAGCCTGAGCAACAGAGCGAGACCCCATCTCTACAAAAAGTAAAAGAATTAGCCTGGTGTGGTGGTGTGCACCTCTTTTCCCAGCTGCTTGGGAGGCTGAGGTGGGAGGATGTGGAGGCTGCAGTGAGCTGTGATTGCACCACTGTACTCCAGCCTAGGTGACAAAGGAAGACCAAAAAAAAAAAAAAAAAAAAAAAAACTTTGTGTTTTTACGACAATATATCCAGAATGGTAAAAGTCGTAGTCTGTGCTGATCAAACTGGCTTTAAACTATGGTACCATTTATGGGATCCACCTTTAAGGAGGACATGAACAACCTATAGCCCGTCGTGAGGAAAATGGCCTGAAGGAAGAGTGCATGCTCGAACTGAAGAAGAGAACATCTAAAGGGACAGTACAGTGTCCTTAAGTGTTTGAAGGATTTCCATGTGGAAGAAAGCAACTGGGCTTGCTCTGTGATATGACAGGGGATAGGGCAAGGATCAGTGAAGGTGCAGGGCCACAGGTTTCAGCCTGACCTCGGTCAGCACTTTGTAAGCACCAGTAAACTGAATGTGGAATGAACTGCCTGTGCAGGTGGTATGCTTCATCTTCCTAAATTTGCTTAAACCATGCACGTTTGTACCTTGGCACCTGTGGTAAAGAGAGAAATCAAGGCCGGGCACGGTGGCTCATGCCTGTAATCCCAGCTCTTTGGGAGGCCAAAGCGGACAGATCACTAGGTCAGGAGATCGAGACCATCCTGGCTAACACGGCGAAACCCCGTCTTTAGTAAAAATACAAAAAAAATTAGCCAGGCGTGGTGGCAGGTGCCTGTAGTCCCAGCTACTCCAAGGCAGGAGAATGGCGTGAACCCAGAAGATGGAGCTTGCAGTGAGCCGAGATCGCGCCAATGCAGTCCAGCCTGGGCAACAGAGCAAGATTCTGTCTCAAAAAAAAAAAAAAAGAGAGAGAGAGAGAAATCAAGAATTGGCTAAGATACTGAATTATGTATTATCCATGGGCCCTTCCAACCCTGTGACACTGGGATTTCCTTTCCCTTTCCTAACTCAAAGTTAGCAAAATGTTCATTCTTTCTCAAAAAAGGTGGAAAGCAGTTCAGTTTGAGGGCAGACAATAAAAATTAACCCAGAAAAATAAAGAGCTTGTCAGCCCAGTGTGTTTGTTTGTTGGTTTTGCTTTAAAAAAGCCATTAGCTGAGTTTCATTCTTAACTTTAATCAGATTCTCTGATTAAGAATTCCTTAAACACTCCACAAAGTAAGCAATCTTTCCTCTCACATCTGGCAATTTTTGTAAAGAGAGCAACATGCTCAAGGCATAGCTCGAAATAGAACCTATATTTCCCGACTTCTAAATCCCTGAGCTATTCCTATACAATGCTTTTTACCCTGAACTTTTCAGAGGCTGTTTGAATTCACCCTTCCAGCCCTTGAGGGCTTCCCTTTCAGTGATTCACAGCTCTGTTTGACATCCAGTTTTGGAAAGGTTAGAGGACTTGACAAGTAAAACCTCTCAGAGTAAATGGTAAGGGGAGGCCTGAATGCAAGTATGTAATATGGAGAGTTACTCCCATTTCTGGTTAAGAAATGGTGATTCTTATTTTTAGCTGGGAAGACAATGGGACAAAATCATGCAGTTTAGGTCTTGGCCTTTAATCATAAGGCTGGTCAGCCCTCAGCTCTTAAGCCAGCATAGAAGTTATGAGACAGTCAGGTCATCCTCAGAGGTTCCATTTCCGTTCCATCTGCTCCATGTCTCTTGTTTACTGATTCCATTTTGGGCCATGATATTTGACCTACTAAGAAAGAAACAGTGCCTTCTTGGAGGAAATCTTGGAAGTTTTGCAGATCCCTTTAAATTCCTTGACTTTACTCTGAAGAAACACGTAATTATGATGAGACTTCATTATTGCTAAACAACAATATACAGCAGCAGAAATTCAAGCAGTGTTTGTATTCAAATCTGCCACTAAGAACAAATTTCCATTATTAATTTTCCCAATCTCGATAAAAAAAATAGGGGAGGAGGAACAGTTTGACTAGTGGCAGCTCTGCAAATTGTCACCAGGAGCCATTGGTTCCCTGAGGCTGATGACTGCCCCAAAGCTGCCCCACATTCTTCCAGTGTGAACACCTAGAGCTGTTGAAAAGAATTGAGACGCTTGTCAACAGAATGGAAAGCTGGCCTTCATCAAAACAATTTTAGTCTGTGAGACTAATGACCTTTCATTGCTGTTTGTTTTAGTTTGGAACTAAATGAGAAAATTGTCTTAGATAACAGTAGCTTGGTTTTCCTTTACCAATTATTTTATTGGGAAAACCTAAGTAGCATAATTATTCACCAATATTTAAAAATATATATATATATATGTGTGTGTATATATATATGTGTGTGTGTGTGTATATATATACACATATGTATATATATATACATATATATATATATATATATATATATATATATATATATATATATATCTCAGACTAGAGGAAATGGTTAACTAGCCCAGAAGTCTGAGAAACCTAACTTCAGAATGGATAATGAAAAATAATAATACAAAGATTCAAGTCGAACAAGAAAAATGCCTATTGTGTGCTCACTTACCGCAATAGTTCCTCATGATAAAGCACAACATTTCTGAGTGCTACTTACCTCTAGGTTTTTTTTCTTTCTTTCTTTCTTTCTTTCTTTTCTTTTCTTTGTTTTTTTTTTTTTTTTTTTTTTTTTAGTAGCTGTAAACTGAGCTAGCTGATGAACTGCCTCTAGGGACAGGATAGGATCACCCTTGTTTCCTGTTCAGCCTTGCTGAAGAAAAAAAAAAACCCTAATGAAAGAAAAGAACGTAATGGCTTTGCCATTAATCCAGGTAAAAGGTTTAGGAGAGTTCAGAGATCAATTAATTTTTAAATCTTAGATCACTAAATTTCTTTTTTGAAGAACAAATAAATTTCTGGCTTGTAAGACTTACAAACCTGCAAATCAAAATGTAAGTAAAAACAAGAGATGTTCAATCAGGAATGTACTGGAGAAAGTAAAAGTTAGGTGGTTTTCATTTATCTAGGCACTTTCATAGTTCATTTGAAGTGGCATGCAATTAGAAAAAAAAAGTGCATGGATATGGCCTTCCTTGGTTAAGTGTCTATGGGTGGGAATGCATGAAAATGTTTAAAGTGTTTAAGTAAAAATATCAAATAGACTTTACATAAAACCGCCAGATAATTTACAGACATTTGCAGTATTGACCATTTCCCTTCAGCCATATATCAGGGAGGAGAACAGAGACGTTTGTTGCATCGTTGGGAAGCAATGAAATTTCTGTAAGTTGTGATCCACTGGCATGTAATAACTCGATCTGCTTCATGCAGACAAAATATATTAAAAGTATGGACGAGTGAAGTTTGTGCCCCAGGGAAAAGGCGAGATAATGCATTGAAATTGTTCAGAGGTAGTTAGATGCCTAATGGTCTCATATGTGAGCTATGTGAGGTCTGAGGTCTGGTTCTCATAAATTCTGGCTAGACTGATCCTGTAATTTCAAGCAAAGGATAAAAGCGTTAGCCAGAATCATCAGTGTTCAACGTCCATGATGGTGGATATTATTCATGTAAAGATTTTTAAAAGAAAAAACGCACTTTAAAAGGGATGCTGTGGAATATAATTCATGGTTCTATGTATTTGCATGTTTGTGCTTGAAAATAAATGCACACCTACATGCACAGTATAAGCCATTTAATGAAATAAATTAACTTGGAATTTATATAAACCTTTCACATCTTTTCCATGATGGGATAGGATTTTTGATATAATATAATAATGTGCTGCATGAAAAACCATGTAGGATCTAATTATTTCAACTTCAAACTGACATATCTGTGTTTAAATTGGAGTAAAAAACATGTTTGTAATAAAAATTTACCATTACGAAAGGAATAATTTAAAACCAATTTGGACGGATTCAGGAGTGATTAGAGGGAAAAGTTCCCAAGACATTTGGTAGTCTTATAAATGATTTCACAAAATATGCTAAGACTATCCGACCAATTATATTGGCTGAATACTGAATCCTCAGATTTGAAAAGAAAATTCCTTAAGAACTAGGCTTTTGAAATTAGGTATATGGTGGGTATGAAAACCCTTGATAACTTCCTCCTTTATGTAATTTATTTCATCATGGGGGTAGAAGTTTTGAAGTTTTCCTTTGCAGTTTCTTTTCTTTTTTTAACCAGCTCACTTATGTTTGAGTCTACAGTATATTTATACAGTCTTTCCTGCCAGAATCGTTGACAGTATTTTTAAATGCTTTCCCTTGCTGCCTAGGTTATACCAAGCACCACTCTCCTCAAGTTCTCAAAACTATACCACCCACACACACATCATGAATAGAGATGTGCATACTTTTTTTTTCTTTTGGAAAACAAAGCGTTCAATCTAAAATTACTTTGGCTTTATTGACCCTGAAAATCATCTCAACTTCACACCTTATGGAGGTAGCTGGTTTGAGCTTCTGTTTGATCCTGGTAACAAGACTATCATTGTAAGATTTTGTTCGTAAAAATGTCTACATTTATATATATGTAATCTCTCTCTATTAGTACCATAATTTAAAGCACTCTGACATTCTGTAAGAACCTCAGTAGAAGGTACCTTTTGGGCTAAAAATCTTTTGCTTCAGTCTTCTGAATTTACCTGAAGACATTTGTAGATTCAGTTATAATGGATTACATGAGTTTGACTTTTAAGATTGCTGAAAATGCTTAACCCCAAACTGTTGTGCCTGATAGTGCAGCACATACACACAGCCTTTATATTTTAATATACAAATATTTTCTGTTAGGGATCTAGGAGGTGATATTCCTTATTTACAAATGAGGTAACCAGTCTCAAAGATTAAGACGAGCTTAAAATTATCCTTAAAAACCATCAGATTGCAAACTTTGCATCATTCCTCTGATAGTTATCTTTTGGTTGAAAAACAAATGCTTCCATTTTATTTTCTTCACCTTGAAGAAATATACTAAGAGATCCATCTACCATTTAGAATATAAAGGACAATTATAAGAAATGATATGATGCCCCAGGAGACTTTGACAAGTGGATTAATACTTTTTTTAAATGAAAGTACAGTAGAAGAATTAGTTAAATACCGGAATTCTAGAAGTTTCTTTTTGCCTCATTTAAATATTTATAAAATAGAAAAAGATTCTAGAATTAAACTCTCATGGGTTTCTTTCCAATCATATGAAAGGAAATCCAGGTAATAATTCACTTACCTCTGGTTTTTAATAATTTTATTGGTGTGCTCATCCTTCCAGAACTCCTCCTACTACCTATTCATTGACATTTTGCTGCCGTTTTTTGAAGATAAAATGACTGTGTAACAATCCTCAGCTACAGATAATTTAAAAGAATTAGTGGTGGAATCAGGGTATTTAACTTTTCATTATTTGTTCTCCATTAGGAAGACTCATAGTTTTAGCAGGAAGGGTAAGTATTAGAAATTTGGGATTCGTTTATGTTTTCTATCCAAAGTTAGGTAATATGATTACCTTTTGATTATTTCAATTCTAAATATCTCAAGGCAAAATTCAAAATCCGTGCGAGAAAACCTGAGTAGATTCCTCTCATCGCCCCCCTTCTCTCCCCCTCTTCCTCATTCTCCAAATCCTTTCCAGATTGTTTGCAAAATGAAATTATCTAATTTCACGAGTATTTGCTCTGAGAAACTACTACACTCTCTGGTAGAAAAAACTCAAAGACCCAGTTTCAAGGCCTAATATCTTAAGATAAGATCTTTTTGTCCATGAAATAACACCCTAGATTCGATGAGAGAACCATGTGGGCCAAGTTTTCCCAAATATATCTATGAACTAGCATGTTGACAACACCATTTACAGTAAATGACAATGAGATCTTTTAGAAAACACTGTATGCTAATAATTTTATTATTTCTTTCAACAATTTATATCACCAAATTAAACTCTAGCAAGAATTTATTCAGGATGTTTTAATATTCATTGAGGCACTATTTCAAAATGTACATCTGCTTGCTTAATTACAATATTTCTGAATTTGTAACACTTGTCACTATTACATTTAGTCTTAAAAAAACTTTAGCAACTGATGCTGAATTATTAATTTCAACATTATGAACTTTTCAACTTCTAAGTATTGAGGAAGAAATACTAAGCTAATTTGACTAATTAATCTAGTTGATTATAGTATATTTATCCAAGCAGAGTTAATCTGGCAGACCAAAAAGTTTAAGGAGCCTCTGGTAAAACTATAAATGAAGCCGACTAGCAATTCAGTGACTAAACAAGTTATTCGATTGAAAATTAACACTTTAGGCCGGGCGCGGTGGCTCACCGCCTGTAATCCCAGCACTTTGGGAGGCCGAGGCGGGCGGATCACGAGGTCAGGAGATCGAGACCATCCTGGCTAAAACGGTGAAACCCCGTCTCTACTAAAAATACAAAAAATTAGCCGGGCGTAGTGGCAGGCGCCTGTAGTCCCAGCTACTTGGGAGGCTGAGGCAGGAGAATGGCGTGAACCCGGGAGGCGGAGCTTGCAGTGAGCCGAGATCCCGCCACTGCACTCCAGCCTGGGCGACAGAGCGAGACTCCGTCTCAAAAAAAAAAAAAAAAAAAAAAGAAAAAAAAAAAGAAAATTAACACTTTAATATGTACTTTTAATCATCTTAGATTAAAGAGTGTAGCCTGATAGCTTTAAGAGTTAATACTTTGTACTTGCCTTATATTTCTAATGCTCACAAAGCATCCTAGACTATAGCATAATTAAAAATTTTACTTCCAACTATTTTTACACTGCAAAAGTATGCCTAGATCAAAGCATTTTGTATTTATTTTCTTCAGGCTCTCTCACTGCATTATACCATCAACCTTATTAAGTTAGTGTACCCTATGAAGATGCATGAGAGAAATAAGCTCTCATTTGTTTAAATATCCCACCTACAATAATGTAGGTGATGACAGAATTAGTGAAAATGGGAACTCCTTTTGCTTTGTGACAGAAACCACATTTAATAGGCCTAATTTTAGATGTAGTCACTGATTCTGTCCCATGATAAAAGAATAAGATGTGGAATGTGCCAAACAGAACTTCTAAAGGTATATGTTAAATCAAAGAGTGTTCCTTTGAGTTTGCACAAAAAAAAAAAAGAGAGAAAAATCTCATTGATTTTACAGAAGAATTAAGGGAAAATATCACTCTATGGATTGCTTGATGTGAGGGAATTCTAGAGCATTTTGCTTTAGTCTGATGCTTAGTAGACAAGTCCCCTGAGTAGGAAGCATGGCTAATTCTGTACTTTAAAGTGCCTAATGTGGTGTTGACATACTCAAATGTTAAATAATATATTTTAACATGAAGGGAAAGCTCAGAGCTTTCATGAGGTAAAGCTGAAAAATAGTTATACATGCCCTTGACTCACAGAAAATAAAGAGGCAAAAGCTCACATTCATTTATTCATTTCAGGAAAAAGCCTAATAGTCTTGTGTTTAGCACATTTTGGATTTACATTTCCTAGATTTTCAGAGGTTCAAATCCTCCCTCAGAAGAAAATTTATCTAATAGCTCTCAATATCAGTCTTTTTTTTTTCCTGAAAAGCCCTATCCCCCTTTCTGGCACTCACACTTGAAATTATTGTACTAAAAATGTTAAGTTTTTGCTTCTTTTTAAAATCTACAATATACTTAAGTACATCAAATCGTGCACTTTAAATTGGTCCATTGTATGTTATGTGAATTACATCTTAAAGCTGTAAAAAAAAAAGAAAGCCCACTAAACTATACCAATAAACTGTATATACTTAGTGCCTTCTTTCATCTTTCTTTTTTGACTAGTTCTTTTGATAGGTAAAAATTCAAACCAAAATAATAATTTCAAATAAAATGTTTCCAGATATGCCAAAAGGAAGTACTTTGAAAATGATTTAAGTGAACAAGAGACTCCATTCACAGCTTAGTCACTCAAAATTATCATTTATTTTAATAGTAACAAATTTATAATTTCCACACTAGCTCTATTGGCTGATTTAATATTAGACAAAGTTTTTTTTTTTTCTGCAGATTCAACAAAGTGTGGATTCACTTACTCATTGAATCAATACATTTAAACTTTAAATCAAACTGTTTTCTTTGGGGAGTGTGTACAAAAATAACTGCTTCCAGGCCGGGCGCGGTGGCTCATGCCTGTAATCCCAGCACTTTGGGAGGCCGAGGTGGGCGGGTCACGAGGTCAGGAGATCAAGACCATCCTGGCTAACATGGTGAAACCCTGTCTCTACTAAAAATACAAAAAATTTAGCTGGGCGTGGTGGCGGGCGCCTGTAGTCCCAGCTACTTGGGAGGCTGAGGCAGGAGAATGGCATGAACCCGGGAGGCGGAGCTTGCAGTTAGCCGAGATTGTGCCACTGCACTCCAGCCTGGGCGACAGAGTGAGACTCTGTCTCAAAAAACAAACAAACAAACAAACAAACAAAACTGCTTCCAAATGAAGATACAATGCCCCCACTTCAAGTGACCTACAGCCTAATGGGGACTACCAACAAGTAAGCTGGCATGTTGCTACACTGTACTTACACTACAGAAACAACTGTCATGTAATGGTCAACAAACATCTGGCAACTGCCAAATAAGTGCTGGTAAACCAACAATTAAGCTATTCCATTATGTGAAATGTGGCACATAGTTCTGTAAACATGAGTTAGCCCGTAGTAATAGAAGTGCAGTATCACTGCTAGAGTTGTAATAGTAGCTATATTTATGTGATTGGACCAATGTTAACATTCATTTTCAAAGAGAAGATCTCAGGGAAGAGTTTTGATGGCTTGGGAGAAGTAAAGGAACCTTGGGCAGAGACCATATCTGGGCCTAAGGCAGTTGTAGTCCGAGCTGACCCTGTGTGACTAGAAGTCCACACGAGTATGCAAGGGAATTGAAGCTGAAAGAAGAAGTCCTGAAGGCAAATATTACTACCCTCCCAAGCCGAACCTACACCAAACCTAAACCTCTTGTATTTTCAAACGCGAATACTGTCATGAGCATATAAATGACAGAGTTAGGTCACTTGCATGATAAGGTGGCAGCTGGGCAGTGGCAGTGCAAGCAGAAATCCCACTGGGCTGAAAATTTACAGGAAAACCATGAGCTTTAGTTTGGTTCTTCCTCCAAATTGTCTAACTGGTCACTTAACCTCTCTAGTTCTGTCCTGACTTGTTAACTCTCAAAGAACATGACTCTTTGTGTTTAGCATGTTTTCTGATGGTTAATGAGTCAGCAAATGAAGGAAATGTCAAGCACTGAAGATAAGAAGAAATATTATTTTAATGGTGGTGTTTTGAAGTCTGACAGTTAAAGGATTAATTAAAGATGTGTTTATAGAAGCTGGCTGTCTTTGTAATCACTGGTGGATCTCAATATCTACAAAACAGGACCCCATCCTTTTTTCTTGCTAGCCTTTTTTCATTTCTTAATGCAAGATTTTCCTCTGTATGTTACTTTCGTGTCTTGTTCCATGCAGAAGGGATAAGATGATCTAGTAATAAGTAAGTTTTGGTTATATTATAAAAGATAATGAATTAACCCTCTTAAAATGCTTCAGAAATTCTTAGATGAATGCAAATTATTGTTTGGGGGAACTGCCAAATCTTGAACATCTCATTGAATTGAAGAGACAGAAAAGAGTTATCTTCCTATGAAAGAATGGTTGATGGTTATTGTTTTAAGATATTTCCATAGCTAATGGGTATTTATTGTAAATTTCTGCTTTAATAAATCTTTTCCTTCTTTCTACAAATCCACTATGTAATGACTTATGCAGTGTGCCTTAAGGTATTCTATCCTGGGCCAAGGCAAACTATTTTCCTCAGGACTGTTATCTATTATAACAAGTAAAGTCATAGCAATTGTCTAGAGAGGACCCTTGTAAGAAATAACAATATTTTTGCTGTCTGAAGGGTTTATCAAGCCAAGTGACAGGAATGTCAGCTAACATTCATTGTCTCTGAACTCGTATTTGGAATACAATTAAGAAATAGATAAACAAGGAAAACATACTGATTTGGGGTTCCCCAAAGGATAAAGTTTCCTCCCCTCAAAAAAGAATCTGATGTGACTCATTTGGATAATAATAAGTATTTGGCCTTTAAAAAAAGCTTTATTATATACAAGGTATATGACATGATGTTTTGATACACATATATATAGTGATTAGTGCAGTCAAGCAAATTGTTATATCCATCATCTCATATAGTTGCCTTTCTTTTCTTATTTTTGCTTTGTTTTTGTGGTAAGAGAACCTCAAATCTACTCCTGGCAAATTTCCAGTATACAATCCAACATGATTAACTATAGTCCTCATTAGATCTCTAGACTTTTTCATCCTGCATAACTGCAACTCTGTGGCATTTTTAAGAGTCTAAAATGTTGTTCCAGTGACATGAATGAGCATTTCTAAAGTAAAATATTATACCTATCAAAAATTGTAAAAGAGCTGAACCAAAATTTTGTATAGATCTGATGTTCAATGCAAACAGTATTCTCAACATTGAAACTGAGTGTTACGTCTTCTTTGATTTAATCCCAGTGGTCAGTTTGGTGACTGAATCAAGTGTTTAAAAAAAAAAAAAACTGGTCATAGCTGAGATTCATTTAGATCAGATGAAGATGATCCCTGTGAACAGAAAAGGAACTAAGGGACTTTCAGCCCCTCAGCTGACATGCCTTTTCTTTGCCATCAAAGTGTTATGATGTTATTAAGTGTCTTATGATAGAGTTGGTCTCATTTTCAGTGACCATTTATTTAGCCAGTTCATTTTATCATAATTTCACCCCAGCCCATGAAAGACACTGCTCTTCTTAAGAACTCCAACCTGATTCTGACTTCCCTTTGAAAAGTTTACAACCAGTGTCATTTCACCCCAAGAAGGGCTTGCTGCAGGTAAAATTTCTAAGTTTTAGAAGTTTACCTTTGAAATCTACAATTTTTTTTTTTTTTTTTTTTTTTGAGACAGGGTCTTGCTCCGTTGCCCACACTGGAGTGCAGAGGCACAATCTTGGCTCACTGCAACCTCTGCATACCAGGTTCAAATGATCCTCTTGCCTTAGCCTCCCAAGTAGCTGCGACTACAGGCATGTACCACCAAGCCTGGCTAATTTTTGTACTTTTTGTAGAGACAGGGTTTTGCCATGTTGCCCAGGCTCATCTCAAACTCCTGGATTTGAGTGATCCACCCGCCTTGGCCTCCCAAAGTTCTGGGATTATAGCTGTGAGCCGTGGCACCTGACCATCTCCCATTTCCTTGTGTGTACTCTCTACCACACACACCCCACCCCACACTGAGTGATCTGGCAGTACTGTAGTCCAGAAAGTTTTATTTTCTTATCTAAATCTTGGGGTACACACTTTACCATCATCAAGCATATCTCCAAGCATACCTTCCACACACCCCTTGGCCTGGCTTCCTGAAATGTTTATGCTCACAGATATTTTGTGAAAGCATCCTGTGTAATAGTTACAGTCCAGTCAGAAAACAGAAATCACACTAGTTATTTTCACAGAGAGCATTCAACATAGGCATTTGGTGAAAGGGACATTAGTAATCTTAAAAAGCAAAACAGAACACAATGGAAACAAGATAACGCTTTTGAAAGCCGTTACCTTCTCTAGGGCTGAGAGGACAAAAGGAAAAGGTGGGGGTCAGCAGATCCTAGAAGGCCAGAGGAGGAGCCTTGTGGAGTTGGGACTCGGTCCTCTGAGAAAGGAAGCCACCCAGCTAGTGCTGGGATTGATACCTCAGGAGCTGGGCCTCAGATCTCTGAGGAGAGAACTGCCAGACTACTTGTGATACCCGTGAGAGTAATGAAGTTGACTCTGGGAGCACTGAAGGAAGCTGGAAGCCGGAACCAACTGTGTAGCTGCCAGAGTAAAGTACCATTGCTGAGGCAATGTGGGTGGAACATTAAGAGCACAGGAAGGAGCAAGTTCTTTTTCCCTCCTCCTGCCTTCCAGTCTTCCTCTAGTGCTCCCTAATTGCAGTGTCTAACAGGAAGCCTGGGGCAAAGGCGAAATGCAGTTTGTAGTATCCCAGTTTCAGCATCTGAAAGCAGAGTACTAAAGAGAAAGTTCGGAGCTGAAAGACTTTGGCTAAATAAAGGCTAACCTGGATGCTACAGCTGAATACAGAAGGCAAGATTATGTTTAACTAGGGAGAGGTATGAAACCTAAGATTACAAAAGTGGTTAATTTTTGCTAATGAAAAGGAGGACTTGATCATCCCCCAAATAAAATTATGTGAAAACCTAGGTCAACAAGAACCATATCAAAATTGATCTGACTAGCAGTTTCCAGTATAATTTATCTCTCAATGCCCATGAAAACACAAGAAATAATAAAAAATTACAGTGGCGCTAGAAACTAATACCAATAGAATCTGGGAGAAATAGGTCCTATTTATAAGGCATGTAGAGCTTCCACTCATAGCATACCATACCTCTTTATTGAATAAAAGAATTAGTATGGTGAGAGGTAAGAATATGCTTCACAACTCTGTCACCATCTGCCTGCTGACCTAGTGAACCAGGAATTGTGCCAACCAGAAATCTGAGCAGAAACCCCTCTCTGGCTCTTGGGAACTGCTTTGAGAGATTATCATTTTCCCGACACTTCAACTGTGACCTTTCTATAACAAACAGATATTGAAATTCTCAGGAAGCAAATGAACAGAAAGTAGGGGGATGTTAACAGTGGTGCAGGGCATTCTAATAAATACAATCCTTATAAGAAAGCCAGTGTGGGAAGTGGGACATAGAAGGGAAAAAATATTGGCAGTGCGGACTGTGAATTTCAGTTTTCTAAGTGCTACATCTAATCAGAATAAAGCAAATAACACACCTGAGGATGCTCCAATTCAAGATCCAGAAAAGATCATCAGAATACTGTATTACAAGAAAACAAGGCCTCTATCAGAAGGCAAAAATATGAAATAGAAAGTAAAATGATGAGGTAAAGGACAGAAGAAGATAAAAAGCAAACAGAAGAAGATGAAAGAAGATTGTAAGGAAGCTAAAGGCACAAGAGCAAGATTAAAATACTCATTGAGAACAGTCAAGAACAGAACTGATCCTGTAGAAAATCAGAACGTGATGGAAGAAGACATTTGAATAAATCTCCCATGATGGTCCAGAGAAGGATAGAAAGATAGAAAGAAAAGGAGAAGGAAAGTGATGATATGAACAACAGAGAATGGAGGACCAACAGATAGGTATTCTTACTTAAGAAAGATCAAGTACAAATAAAATAAAAGTGATAGTCAAGAGTATAAGAGGGAAAAAAATCACAAATTCTCTCAACTGAAGAAAAATAATAGAAAAGTTCAATTAAACTAAGGGTAGGTTTTTTGAAAAGGAACAAAATTGACAAACCTTCAGCTAGACTAAGAAAAGACTCAAGTAAATAAAATTATAAGTGAAAGAGGAGACATTGCAACTGATACCACAGAAATACAAAAGATTATAAGAGACTGCTATGAGCAATTTTGTGCCAATAAATTAAATAACCTAAAAGAAAGAGATGAATTCCTAGAAACATATAACCTACCAAGAGTGAACCATGAAGAGGTAGAAAACCTGAACAGACAAATAACCGGTAAGGAGATTGAATCAGTCATTAAAAACTTCTGAACAAGAAAAGTCTAGGACCTAAGGGCTTCACTGGTGAATTCTAGTAAACACTTAAGGAAGAATTAACACCAGTCCTTCTCAAACTTTTGCAAAAAATGGAAGAGAAGGGAACACTTCCAAACTCATCTTATGAAGTCAACATTACCCTGATACCAAAGCCAGACAAGGAAATTGCAAGAAAAAAATTACAAGCTAATATGCCTGGTGAACACAGATGCAAAAATCCCTCAGTAAAATACAAATAGTCTAAATTGAACAGCACATTGAAAGGATCACATCCTGATCAAGTGGGATTTATCCTTGGCATGCAAGGATGGTTCAACACATGTAAATCAATAAATGTGACATACAACATTAACAGAATGAAGAATAAAAATCATATGATCATCTCAGTAGATAAAGAAGAAGTATTTGAAGGAACATATGTTGACATAATAAAGGCCATATATGACAAGCTTATAGCTAACATAATACTCAACAGTGAAAAGTTAAAAGCTTTTCCTCCAAGATTAGGGCAAGACAAGAAACTCACTCCCACCACTTCTATTCAACCTAGTACTGGAAATCTTAGCCAGAGCAATTAGGCAAGAAAAAGAAATAAAAGAGATTCAAATCAAAAAGAAAGAAGTAAAAATTTCTCTGTAGATGACATAATCTTATATGTACAAAACTTGTGATCTTATATATCGAAAACACCACCAAGAAACTTTTAGAACTAGTAAACAAATTCAGTAAAGTTGCAGAATGCAAAATCAACATACAAAAATCAGTTGTGTTTCTATATATTAACAAGGAACAGAGAAAGAAATTAAGAAAACAATCCCATAGCATCTAAAACAATTAAATACTTAGGAAAAAAATAAACCAAGTAGGCAAAGGATCTGTACACTAAAAAACTGTAGAACATGGATGAAAGAAGTTGACAAAATCACAAATAAATGGGAAGATATACTGTGTTCATGGATTGGAAGTATTAATATTGTTAAAATGTCCATACTACCTAAAGCAATCCATGGATTCATTGCAATCCTTATCAAAATTCCAATGTTATTTTTCTTAGAAATAGAAAAAACAATCCTAAAATTATATGGTACCACAAAAGATTCCAAATAGCCAAAGCAATATGGAGCAAGAAGAACAAAGCTGGAGCCACCATATTGACTGTTTTAAAAATATACTACAAAGCTATAGTAATCAAAACAGTATAATACTGGCACAAAAACAGACATATAGACTAATGAAATAGAATAGAGAACCTAGAAATAAATCTATGCACTTACAGTCAATTAATCCTCAACAAGGGTGCAAGAACACACAATGAGGAAAATATAGTGTCTTCAATAAATGGTGTTGCAAAAACTGAACTCCAGATGCACAAAAGTGAAATTGAACTATGTCTCATAACATATACAAAAAGCAGCTAAAAATGAATTAAATACTTAAACATTAGAGCTGAAACTGTAAAACTACTAGAAGAAAAGATAGGGAAAGATCTTTTTGACATTGGTCTGGACAATGATTTTTTTGGATATGACTCCAAAACATAAGGACCAAAAGCAAAAATAGACAGATGGAATTGCATCAAACTAAACAGGTTCTGTATAGCAAAGGAAACAATCAACAGAGTGAATATACAGCCTATAGGAATTGGAGAAAATATCTGCAAACCACACAGCTGATGAGATAATATCCGAAGTGTTTAAGGAACTCAAACAACTCAATAGCAAGAAAACACATAACCCAATAGAAAAATGGGCAAAAACTGGAATAGACATTTTTCCAAAGAAGACATACAAATGGCCAATTGGTATATGAAAAAATTCTCAGTGTCACTAATCATCAGGCAAATGTAAATCAAAACCACAATGAGATACTACCTCACACCTGTTAGGACAGCTATTATCAAAAGAGAAGAGTTAAGGGATGACAAAGATGTGGAGAAAAGGGAGCCCTGACACAATGTTGGTGGGAATGTAAATTGGTATAGCCATTATGGAAAATAGTATGAAGGTTCCTCAGAAAAATTAAAAATAGAACTATCATGTGATACAGCAATCTCATTTCTGGGAATATATCCAAAGGAAATGAAATCAGTATGTCAAAGAAATATCTGCATTCCCATGTTCATTGCAGCATTATTCACAATGGCCAAGATGTGGAATCAAACTAAGTATCTATTGACAGATGAATAAAGAAAATGATTGTACATACAAACTTACAATGTGTGTATTAATCAGCACTAAAAAAGAAGAAAATCCTGTCATTTGTGACAACATGGATGAAGCTGGAAGACATTATGCTAGGTGAAATAAGCCAAGTACAGAAAAACAAATATTGCATGGTCTCATATGTGGATACTAAAAGAGTTAAACTCCTAGAAGCAGAGGGTAGATTAGTGATTGCCATGGGCTGGGAGAAATGGGTACAATGTTTCAGTTATGCTGAATGAGTAAGTTTGGAGATCTAATGTACAGCATGGTAACTGTAGTTAGTAATCCTGTATTGTACACTTGAAATTCACTAAGAGAGTATGTATCAGTCAGGATTCTCCAGAGAAACAGAACCAATAGGATATAGAGAGATATATATATAGGAGGAAATTTATTGTGTGAATTGGCTTGTGCAGTTATGGAGGCTGAGAAGCCCCATGATATACCATCTGCAAGTTGGAGAAACAGGAAAGTGATGGCATAATTCAGTTCAATTCCAAAGGCCGGAGAACCAGGGGAGCCCATGGTGTAACTCCCAGTTCAACATGTAAGGCCTGAGAACTGGAACTTGGGGGTTTTGGGGGATTGGTGTAAGTCTTGGAGTTTGAAGGCCCAAGAATCAGCAGTTCTGATATACAAGGTCAGGAGAAAATGATGTCCCAGCTCAAGAATGGAGAATTTGCCCATTCTCTGCCTTTTCATTCTGTCAGGGCCCTCAACAGATGGGATGATGACAGCTCACATTGATGAGGGTGGAATTCCTTTACTCAGTTGACTGATTCAAATGCTAATGTCTACCCTTACAACCATACCCAGAAATAATGTATTACCAGCTATCTGGGCATTCCTTAACCCAGTCAATTTGACACCTAGAATTAACCATCACAGAGTAGATCTTAAATGTTCTCACCATGCATGCACACATGCAAGCACGCACACACACACGCCCACTCACATATCAAAGCCTCACACTGTATACCTTAAATAATACCTAGTATCATATCGGATAAGGAACCCCTAGTCTCCCTATAAATAAGGAGCTACAGTTTCTCAGCTTTTCTCAAAATTATCTGGAAATTCTAGTCAATGCAGGAAAGGAAAAAAATAAAAAATAAAATTGGAAGTGTAAGTACCAGAAAGGAGAAAAAATTAAAATAACTAGTAAATGGTATAATTGCCTACCTGAACAAAGAACAAAATGAAATAAAAAGAATCAAACAAAAACTACTCAAAACAATGAGTTTATTAGGTTACAAAATCAATATGCAAGTATCAATAGCTTTTTTAATCAGCAATAAAAGAATGTAATAAAAAGATAAAATCACAATAAAGTGTATAATATCAAATAATTTTAAAAGGGAATGCTCATTTTCTATTTGGAGTAAATTACAAATGAAATTGTGGAACATAAAAGAAAACTTGAAAAAAATGAAGGGCTATATTGTAAAGATTACAATTTTTCTCAATCTACACATCAGAATCTTAAAAGAAGATTTTGAGGAGAAGCCTGACAAAAAGTACTCTAAGTTTTACTTTGAAGAATAAATGTGCTAATGTAGCCTAAGATTTTTAAAAGAGCAGTTAAGATATTTGTCCTACTTTAATTAATACATATTATAAAGCTATGGTAATTAAGATAGCTTTAAACAGGCACTGAAATGAAGGTGCCTGTCAGTGGAACAGAAGAGACAGTATAGGCACATACCAAAATTTACATAAAATTAATTTGAAAATAAAGATGACATTTCAAATGGGAGAAAACAAAATGGATTATGTCATTTGATTCCTAATGAATTAAAAATTTTAGTGTAAGAAATAAAAGAACAAAATTAGTAGGATATAATATATTAGTTATGGAATTTTAAGTTTAAGAAATTGTTATGGGTTGGCTGTGTCCCCACCCAAATCTCATCTTGAATTCCCACATGTTGTGGGAGGGACCCAGTGGGAAGTAATTGAATCATGGGGGCAGGTGTTTCCCATGATAGTAAGTCTCACAAGATCTGATGGTTATTATAAGGGGGAGTTTTCCTGCACAAGCTCTCTTTGCTTGCTGCCATCCATGTAAGAGGTGACTTGCTCCTCCTTGCCTTCCACCATGATTGTGAGGCCTCCCCAGCCATGTGGAACTATAATTCCAATTAAACCTCTTTCTTTTGTAAACTGCCCAGTCTTGGGTATGTCTTTATTAGCAGCGTGAAAACGAACTAATATAGCAGTCTTTCAGAGCATGATGTCAGGGATGAAAAACACAGATATATATAACTATTAAAAAGTTAAATTTTCTGTATGGCAAGAAGTATCATAAACAAAGTTAAAATAAAAATGACAAACTGAGGGGAATTATTCACAATAAACATGTGACTAAGTAGGGGTTAATATTTTTGATATGTAAAGAACTCTTACAAATAAGTTAGAAAAAAGTACCCCAAAAATGAATTGGGAGTTTAATACAATAGAGGCACATCTTTTTGTAAAACTTAGTAAGGCATATCTTTTTCATAAATATTCTGAATTAGAGTATAAAATGACAAATGGAGAATTTTCAAAGTTAAGGAAAAATCTCCTAAATTTCTAATAATATCTATATTGTATGGGGTTTTTATATAATCCTTTAGAGTAATATATATATGTGTTATTATATATATTTATTATATAAACTGACAAATGGAGAATTTTCAAAGTTAAGGAAAAATCTCCTAAATTTCTAATAATATCTATATTGTATGGGGTTTTTATATAATCCTTTAGAGTAATATATATATGTTATATATATATTTATATAATAAATGTAAAATGTAATTCATATATATTATATATATTTTTATATATTATATATAATAATGGAAATGTATGCAAAGTGTAATTTTAATTACATACAGGTTATTATGTTGCTGAGTGTATGCAATCAAATTAAACATGCGTCTGACATGACTCCACTAGGTAATTCATTAGTGAAAAATGCAAGTGATCAGTAACCATGAAAAAAAAGTTTATCCCAACTTGTACTTAAGGAAATAAAAACTAAAATACGATGTCATTTTCACCTATCATATTGGCAAACGCCAAAGCACCAATGTTGGCAAAGATGTGGAGAGGGACACTTTCATATTATGCTGAAGAGTGTTTACATGGAGTATCTCTCATCTGAAATGCTTGGGACCAGAAGTGCCTAGCATTTCAAAATTTTTCAGATTTTGAATATATGCATATATGTAATATATGTATTCTTGGGGATGGTACCCAAATCTAAAAATGAAATTTATTTGTGTTTCATAGACACTTTATTCAAATATCCTGAAGGTAATTTTATACAATGTTTTAAATAATTTTATGTACAAAACAAAATTTTCACTGTGTTTTGACTGAGACCTGTCACATAAGGTCAGCTGTGGAATTTTTCATTTGTAGCATCATGTCAGTGCTCAAAAAGTTTCAAATTGTGGAGCAGTTCAAGTTTCAGATTTTCAGAGGGATTCTCAGTTTGTACAGCCTTTCCAAAGAATTAAACATCTTTAAAAAAATGCATACTTTTGGCCCTTTATTTTTACCTCCAGTAATTTTCTTAAAAGTTAATGATCTAATAAACAAAAATGTAAGTAGATATTGATTATGATGTTTATTTTAGCCATAACATTGAAAGCAGTCAGTCTAGTAACTGGAAACAAATTTGACAAATCATGGTGCATCCATATTGTGGAATATTATGCAGCCATCAAAATGTAATAGAGATGTATTTTTATTGATATGGAAAAATGTTTATTAACTTTTTAAGAAGCAAGTTAGAAAAGAGTATATGCAGTATGAGCCGATTTTTTTGTAAAAGATACAAATTCAAATAAGTATGGAAAGAAAAAGTTTTGGGAGGTAAAGACACAAAATACTAGCCCTTTCTGGATGGTAGATTATTTGAGACTTAATTTGTTTTCTTTTTGCTCTTCCTTCTTTTCCAACTTTTCTACAGTAAACCTTCATTATTTGGGTAATTAGTACATTTTCTTAGCATTTTAAAATAAAACAATCCATGTAAGAAGCAAGGATACAATAAAAAGCACACTTCAGTGCCTGTAGCACAATACCAGTGTGGTACAGCGATAAGAGCACAGATCCTGGAGCCAGGCTGGCCTGCATTCAATTCATCTGGATTCTGCTACTACTGACAGTGTTACCTCAGGCAGGTCATTTAACATCTCAGATTCTGCATCTGTAAATTGCTCTAGGGATTAGCAAAAATGTAAATCACCTAACACACAGTCTCTGGCACATACTGTGCACTTAACAAAAGGTTAATCCTTATTGTTATTGTTGTTGTTGTAAATGCCAAGGAAATTAATTGGCCTGAAGACCAGAAACAAATTTGTATTGTTGAGAAGAAACATGGATTAATTGTTAAGAAATTTTTGTTTATAATGTATCATCTTACCAAATGCAGAGGAGGTACATTTAATCCATGGTTTCACCAGAAAATAACTGCTTATCAAAACTTGTCACAGGTTAAAGTTATGTCCTTGTAGAACATGTGCCTTTCTAGAGGGCTAGCAAGGAAAGTTTTCAATTGGGTAATTTTAGATCCTAAGCAGGGTATTTTGTGTATAGTAGTTGCTCAGCAAGCAGTAAATGGAGTGGAATTCAGGTTGTTTGCCTGGGCTCTCCTCTGGTTACACTTTTGATGCTGAATGCCCTTCACTGTGTGGTGGCCTGTGATCACTACAGCCCTTATTGAGAGAAAACACTCAAGAAGATAAAGATCAACCAGCCTTTTCTAAGTTTTATCTTTAGGAATTAGAGATAGGGAGTTCTGTAAATAAAAGGCTCCTGCTTTCTGTGTCAGCTGTTGTAGTTTAACTAACACATTGGACCTTTTGTGGCTAAGTTAATATTTATTGATATTTATTAATATTATTAGTTGACTGTGTGTTGGGCACTATGCTATTAAATACTTTACTACAGGAATTATCTTCTTTAATATGACAACTCTGTGCTGTAGGCATTATTATTCCTTCTAGTAGGTGATGATCCCTGGACTCACCCAAGATCACATGAATAGTAAATTCAACTGGGAGCTTGAACTTGATTCTCTTTGATGTCAAAAACTATGCTATTCAACACTTTGCTACTTTACTTCCCCATTCCTTCCAATCAACAAGATTTTTTTTAAGTTTGTGTTTCAGTGTGTCTCATTTCTTGCTATGTATTTCATGGATTTGATTTAAATCCTTTTCTTTAATATTGATGCTATGAGAAGCCTGGTTTTAAATAAGTATATAAAACATTCTTGAAAAGTGTGTTTTTCCTCAACTGAATTTTGGTTCTAAAATTTTATTATTGAATTGTTATATATATATACACTTACCACACCTCCCCTGAATTTTTTGTTTTGTTTTGTTTTGTTTTTTGAGATGGAGTTTTGCTCTTGTTGTCCAGGCTGGAGTGCAATCCCACAATCGTGGCTCACTGCAACCTCCACCTCCCAGGTTCAAACGATTCTCCTGCCTCAGCCTCCTGAGTAGCTGGGATTAGAGGCATGCGCCACCATGCCCAGCTAATTTTTTTGTATTTTTAGTAGAGATGGGGTTTCTCCATGTTGGTCAGGCTGGTCTCGAACTCCCGACTTCAGGTGATCCGCCTGCCTTGGCATCCCAAAGTGCTGGGATTACAGGCGTGAGCCCCTGCGCCTGGCCCCTATTTGAGTTTTTAAGTTTTCGAAGGCAGGGATTGTGTTTTACTCCTCTTTACAGTCCTTGCCCATAGTAGGTGGATAGTAAATATTGAATTGCATGTCTCCATTGATCATATTAGAAAACAAACAAAAATGATCATTTTCTATTAATCTGTTAATTTTTTTCTGCAAATGTATAAGCAATTCAGTATCAACCCTTAGATCTGCTGCTATTTGTCTAGGTTCCTAGGCACAGAGATATAGCACCTGTGCCTTCAGTCTCTGTCAGTTGTGGTGTGTCATAGTATTTAAGAACTGATGTTTCCAATGATATATATGTATAAGTATACATATAATAATATAATTATATACATATAATAATATAATATAATATACATATGGATATAGTTCTGCCCAGAAGAAGCCACTCTTACCCACTTACATTTCCATTTGCTTTCTTTTTAAAAAAATCTCTTTATAGGCCAGGCGCGGTGGCTCACGCCTGTAATCCCAGCACTTTGGGAGGCCAAGGCGGGTGAATCACAAGGTCAGGAGTTCGAGACCAGCCTGGCCAACATGGTGAAACCCCGTCTCTACTAAAAATACAAAAAATTAGCTGGGCATGGTGGTGGCCGCCTGTAATCCCAGCTATGTGGGAGGATGAGGCAGGAGAGTTGCTTGAACCCGAGAGGCGGAGGTTGCAGGGAGCCGAGATCGCGCCACTGCACTCCAGCCTGGGTGACAGAGCGAGACTCTGTCTCAAAAAAAAATAAAATAAAACTCTTTATAATTACTTGTCTTTTCCTTTTAATTTCCCTTACTTATAAAGTGTTGGTAGAAACTTTAAAAAATTGTTTATTTTGTAATTGACAAATAAAAATTGTATATATTTACAGTGTACATCATGTTTTGAAATACATATACATTGTGGAATGGCTAAACCCACCAATTAATATATGCATTCCCTCACATACTTTATTTTTATTGTGGTGATAATTCTTAAAATTTGCTCTCAGCAATTTTCAAGTATACGATACATTGTTTTTGACTGTAGTCACCATGCTGTACGATAGATCTCTTGAAATTATTCCTCCTGCCTACACATTTGCTTTCTTAATGTCATCTCACCTTGGACTCACCCTGGGAGTGGCTGTGCACATGAACATCGTCTATTGTGTGCCAGCCAAAACAACAAACAGTTGGAAGTAAAAACAAAAACCAAAACCTCGTTAGATTCCCAGCTCCACCACTCACTAGCTTTGTGACCTAAGCACATCACTTACCTTCTCAGACTGTTGTCAAGAAGGGAAAAATTGATGCAGGTGTATGTGAGGAGCGCTTAGCACATGGTAGACGTTCAGTAAATTCATGGAACTCTGAAAAAAAAAAAAAAACCCTTATTTTTTATAAACCCACCGCCTGGCCTTAAGAAGTTTCATGATTCTACTATGAATAAATTTAAAGAAAACTGAAACACAGATATGGGATTTAAAAAACAAAAAGGGGAAAAGGCAGTCACAGGCCTTTTGGGAAGTATCTGTACCTGAGTGATGTTAGAAAAAACTTCAGTATTCTGGAATTCAAAAAGCATTCTTCAAGCAGTTCAAGCTGCACTGATTTGAGGAGCATTTTTGCTTGCATAAATAAAACACTAAAAATGTTATTGAGCTATTCCACGGAGGAGATACATACCTGGTAACATAAGACTATGTTTTCATGCAGTTTTTATTCAAGGCAAAACATAAACCAATGAAAGGAAAACAGAAAGTGATAAGTAACGTGGCTATATTTTCCATGAACATATGGTAGGTGTTTAAAATGAGGTATGTCAGCTATTAATTCCCCAGGTGCTTGCCTTAGCCTTGATAATAAGGTTTTCTATGGAGGGATTTCCCATCTCTTGATATTTTGATCTTTGGGAAAATATGAGACCGACTCTTCTCTCTTGGGCACGTGTTAGCAGGAATATTTAAAAAGCATTTTGCACTGATTGAAATGCAAAGGGTTTCAAGAACAATTCTGATGAGTGTGTCTATCCTAAACTCAGTTATTTTCTCACCCCAAAACGCCAGAGAAACCAGAGACTAGGGAAAGACTGTTTTGTTCTCAACTGAACATGGCACGCAGATTTAACAGTAGGACCTGGTTCCTCATGCTGGCTGGTTCCTCATGCCATATCCATCTGATACTGGATTTAGCTTACAGAGGACGTTAACCCATGTAAGTCAAAGCCACAGACTTAAACATCCAGAAAGTATAAGGTGGGCTGAGGGGCAGCCCTGTAAGGTAAGATCTTATTTCAACGTGATTAAATGCCTTCTATTAGGAAAATTGCTTTTTTGCTTCTGTTTTTCATATGTAAATGTTAACGTGGTATGTCATAGCTCTCAAATAATTTGGGAGAATATGGAAAATCATTGAAATGTTGATAAACCAAATTATTTAATTTTTGGAATATGAACAATTTGATTTTTGGAGTGTGAACAAAAATATTACTAATGAAATCAGTGGACTTAATGGTCTTACTGGGGTCAACTTCTGTGGCTCGATGGAAAGAAAAAATAAACGAACTATGTAGGAGCTTGAAATATGAACACTCAGAATTCTGAAATTCATTTTTTGAATTTCACTATGATGTTTGGTGTTTTAAAACACAAAATTATAGATTCAATATCAGCCCTGATATAGAATGTTCTGAAATAATGAAGAGCTGGCATTTCACAATACAGGATAACCAGACAAGAATTTATCTGTACCTGAAAGTTTGGTGACACTCTTCGAATTTCTAGGAAATGGAAATGTGACTGATTTTTATTGAGAGTTTTCAAGGTCAAAGATAGGAACTGCTCTCAAGGCATGATAGCTAGAAAAATCGAGGGGGAAATTGATGTGAAATATTGCTGAATTAAGTGTTTAGAAATACGTAAGTACAAGTTCTGGCAGGTATCCATAGACAACAAGGCATATATCATCTTTAAATATCATAAGGTTAATTTTGGAAATCAGTGGATTTGTATATCTCACGAACATTTCAAGTGGAATACTGGCTTTTTTTTTTAAATAAGAAGAAAACAATGTCATTAGTTTTTAGGGTTTTTTTAATTAAAAGTTCAGTTACAGTTTTTTAGTGTTAATATTTTAACTTCTTATTTGAACGTCATTACTCCAGTCATCCTCTTTATTTTTTCAACTCTTATTATGTGCAAAGCACCAAACCTGATTCTTCTAATTACAACTTGTATTTTACCATGGCAATTCGGATAATTTAAAATAGATGAACGCTTTGGGTTTATTCACTCATGTTTTCTTTTTTAAACCAATGTTTTATAACACCTACTAAGTTCCAGGCTCTTTATTCTATAGTTTTATGCCTACTCTCCTTTTCTCCATTAGAAGAATGCAGATCTAAGCTTTAAAGAGGCAGCAGCATCCAAATAAGAGTCAGTGCGCTTAACCAAAGAACAGCTTTTAACTGTTTCCTAGTGAAACATTTTGAAATAAAGGTCTTTCTACCGGGGCAATAGGTGTTGTGCCAGTGTCACACCAGAGAGTAGAAGCCTTTGAAGAGCCCTTTTGTGACTTGGCCACTCTGCAAAACTCTGTGTCTGAATCCTCAAGCTAAGTGGAATCTTGATTATGTTTTCTATTTGTAAATGCTCTACAGCTTATCCAGCATGATTCTATCATTTTCTTACTTAATCCTCCCAAATACCTGTAAAGCAGGTATTATTGTCCTATTTTATAGATGAGCAAACTGAGGCTTAGAGAGATTAAGTGACTTTAGTTTCCGATGGCCAAGTGGAAACTAAAGCTTAGTCTTTCTTCCACAGCTGTGTTGGTGTATATCGACAAGTAAAAGATGTCTATGCAAACACAGACTAATTCTAGTACATACTTAAGAGATTTAAAAGATAGTTGTTCAGTCAGCCCATACAAAGAAATTGTTTCTTAGTCCTAAGCAATAGAGGCAGTTTCAACAGATGTGTAGACTTTTGATATGAGAAATTGGTTTCAAAATCAGGAGTCGGGGCTTTACTGCTTTTCATGCACAGAAAAAAAAAAGTGTATCTCTATGAATTGTCACAACTGATTCCTCTAAATTCTGCTTTAGAAAAAAAGAATTTGTTATACACTTGAATCTTAAACTGTAGTAAAATTAAGGTCTTTTGGAAACCAGGAGAGGTGTTGGTCCCTGGGGTTCCTTTGAATCATATCAGAGTACACTATTGAAAGAAGGAGAAAACAGGACAAAAAATATTTTAAAAGGCATAAGACACATAAATGAATTTTTAAAAATAGTTTCTATTGGCCAGGTGCGGTGGCTCACACCTGTAATCCCAGCACTTTGGGAGGCCAAGGTGGGCGGATCACTTGAGGTCAGGAGTTCGAGACCAGATCATTGGGTACCTTGAAGGCCATGATAAACATTTTCGTCTTCAGCCTGAAAATAATGGAAAGCCACTGAAGCATGCCAAGCAGTAGAGTGACAAAATCACACGGGTCCTTTGCAGGGATCACTCTGGCTCCATTCTGGAGAACAGAAGGAGGACTAATGTTAATGCTCACCAGCTAGTCAGGATGTTTGTTTTTTTAAACTCAGTCCTTTTAGTTACACTTTATCTCTTAAGGTTCATTCTCTTCCTACTACATCTTATCATAACTTACTTTTGTGCTACTCAGGCAGAAGTTTTTCTTTTTTAAAACTTTTTATTGACAGCATAACGGAACATCATGAAAAAATTTTGCCACCTGAAAAATACCATATTCTCATTTCTTCAATAAAGTTAGTTTTACATTTATAGTTTCTGTTACTATATTGTTCTCCTATTGATATTGCAATGTCTTTATCATATTCCATTGAGATGTATTAAAATTTAGTTACGTGTTGCTCCACACTTGGACATTTAGGTAAGAAGTTTTAACCGAGGATGACAGGGATCAGTGAAATGCTGTCCAAATATATTCTTTTCCATTTTGCAGCAATAGAAACTAAGTTGGGAGAGCATATTCTGCCACTTTCAACCCCAATTATGTGAAAATCTCCCTTTATGAAGAATGTAAAGTCTCTGAGTATTTGTATTAAGAGTAATGCATGTTGCTTAGGCTGTTAAGGAAATATTGATTTCTGACCCTTAACTGAAATACTTAGCTTTCATTTTTCTTCTTTTTACATGAATTGTGTATATTGTGTTCCCCTCAGGGAAAACTTAAAAGCATTTTGTGTTATGAAGGCTCCATTCTAGGATCTTATTGCTTTTGAGATGAATAAATGGAATGCTTGCTATCACTGGAACAGCCCTTTTTTTTTTTTTTTTTTTTTTTTTTTAATGTAACAAGGCATACAAGTAATACAGGGCTGAATTTGGCCCCAGAACTTCTGAAGTTCCAAGCCAGTTTCTTACGGCCAAATTTAGCTTCCAGCTTTCAGTTGATGAGGAGCTTTGGCATATAGGCAATCTAATTTTTGTTCAGTAAAAACCTCCTTGGGTGTTTTAAATATAACTTTAAAATTTGTATTACCAGGTGATGCTTAAGCATTTCTTAGACATTGACTCTAAATAATTGCTCAGAAAACAATGTGCCTTAAAGGTGTTTTATACCAGCCTTCGAGGTATTAGAATGAGATGAGTTGGCGCCAAAACATTTCAATATGCTATAAGGAGATGAAATATGGCCAAACAGGTTTTTATGTTCTGATTATTCCTTTTTCCTGTTACTAGCCAGAGGCAGGTAAATCGACTTTACATCCCCCACCCCCCCAAGCCCACCACCACAGCAATTTTATTTTTATCAACCCCTTAGGAAATTTCAGAGGGTTTTTTTTTTCCTATTCTTTGAACACATACAATGGGAAAATTAAAACTTCTAAAAGTTTCTTATCTATTAATCTGTTGATGAGATGTTGCTTTAAACACATTTTATATTACTAATTAATTTAATTATACATACTGCAGTTGTATTAACACATTTTCTGTTCTCTGCTCTAACGTGACACAGTGCCCTCCCGCAGCCACCTTAACCTAAAGCTTTAATTGCTTTCTCCTTAGCCTCAGCTCATGTTTGATTTATCTGATTTCTTTGTATAAAGATTCTCTAGTTTACGATGTGTACACAGTCATTAAATTGGTGTTGATGTTTATGCAGTGAACTTGCCAACTGGTTACAGCGGACATCCCTTTATGAATTTATGATGGGGCAATAAAGACAAGTGTCAGAAACCTCTTGTCTGGGAGGGGAATCACTTTCCTTGTGCTATGTTGGAGACAGTAATGTGGACACTTCCACTGATTTGTACAGCAAAGGATAATGTTGAAATCCAGATTTTCTTTCAAATCGTGGGCACTCTCTGATTTCTTGTAGGGAGATTTTTCAAATATTGGCGCTCTTTAATTTCCTGCAGAGTGTGTGTGCGTGTGCATGAGACACACACACACAAATGTTTGCACTTTTTTTTTTTTTTGAGACGGAGTCTTGCTCTGTCGCCCAGGCTGGAGTGCAGTGGCGCGATCTCGGCTCACTGCAAGCTCCGCCTCCCGGGTTCACGCCATTCTCCTGCCTCAGCCTCCCGAGTAGCTGGGACTACAGGCGCCCGCCACCACGCCTGGCTAATTTTTTTGTATTTTTAGTAGAGACGGGGTTTCACCATGTTAGCCAGGATGGTCCGGATCTCCTGACCTCATGATCCTCCCGCCTTGGCCTCCCAAAGTGCTGGGATTACAAGCGTGAGCCACCGCGCCTGACCAAATGTTTGCATTTTTAAACAAAACTATATTATATTTGAGCATTTTAACCAGGCATTCAATCTTTGTAAACGTGACTGTCTATATAGCTAGGTTATTTACAGAGTCAGTGTCAATAATCCAGAATTCTCCAGCTATAAAAAGTAAATGAAGTATTAAATATTTGAAGACAAGGGCCCTGTATAGTTTTCTTATATCTGTACTTTTTTTGCGAAAAGAAAAAAAAAGCCAAAAAGACATTGTTCTCAAGTCTTAAGTTACGAGGAGCTGCAATTTACATTGTTTTTCATTATGGGAAGATCTTCAAAGATTGTAATTGTGAGTTTAATTTACTAACAAGGAGCAGACATGAGTCTTCTTGACTGAGAATGCAAACATACTAATTTAAAAGTAGATTTATATGTATTGTATTAGTGCTTCCTCCTGTGTACATATACTGGTTTGATCTTTGCCCTTTTACTTTTCATTAGTATTTGAAATTAGAAGTCAGAAAAGTTGATTCTTAATTTTCATATACACTACAGAGGATTTATCTGTAAATATTATTTATTTCAAATTTTCCTATGTATGTATAAGTTTGTTCTCATATAAACAATACCTTTAAATAACTAAAGAATTAAGATAGAATGTAAGAGCTCAGAAACATAGGAAGAGTGAGCCAAATAAGGAAAAAACACTTTCGTGTTTGAAGAAAAGGATGGACGAATAGGGAGGTGGAGAGAAGGAAGGAAGGAAGGTGTTCCAGATGGTTTTGAAATTTGTGCAGTAGAGGAGAAGATTCTCAAATGTCATGTGGTTTTCTGAAGAGACAAAAACAGGACTTTAATGTTGATGACAGAGTAGATAAACTGGAAGTGAGATAGTGAAATTCATTTTTATCTACATTTCCTCTCAATTCTCACCCTTTATGGGAGCTCTTTTTCTTCATCCTGAGAAAATTCAGATAATTAAATGCAGTTAAGAGTGCAAACTAAGAGAAGAAATACAACAATGTCCCATTAGGAAGGTTGTGGCTGATGAAGGCTTAAAATACTTGCTACCACTTAACAAGTAAAAATGACTGCAATGTCATAGAATATTCTTCAAATGTCTTTAACAAAAAATCCAAATAAACTAGAACTAAATGATGGCCGGTTTACGTTTCAAGATGAGAAAGCGAAGTGAGGAGGACTGGTTTTGATCTGCAGCAATCATCTCTTCAATAGATACTTTTTTACTGAGATCCTCAACTATACAGTTCTGAGCTAGGCACATGCAAATTAAAGAGTTGCGTGAAATATGGTTCATTTTATTGAGAACCTTACTCTTTACCCCCCAGTTTCTATAATGCAAGTACTATAATGTATATCTCTCCTAAATGAATAATATAAATGAAGTGTGACCCAGATATCAGCTGATTCCTTTGACTGCACAAGTGAATTGCTTTTAAACCAACATAGCCTTGATGCAAAATTCAGCCACTTCATCAGCTTCCTTAAGAAATCCAGTCATATCAAGGATTTTGTGAATTCTCTAGTTTTGCTGAAGACTTTTAGTGTCAAGGGGAAGTGTCACATCACATAGCACACGTATCACTTGAAAAACTCCCTTTATGCAATCTCTTCCCAGGCCTCGCCTCTTAACTTTAATCGCCTCTCCACCTCTTCTCCTAGGCAGCTCTCAACACAGCTTCTCAGCAATTCAGGCTGAGTAGCTTCCTGCTTTGACAAGAAACTTGCCTGCCATTAGAAACACAGGCCTGGGGGATTTATTTCAACCCCTATTTTTCAACCCACAGGCTTATCAAAGATCCTTTTCAATAGAGCTGATTCTTCCTACAAAGAAATTTCTAACCAGCATCTAAAGAAAATTTTCTCCGTATGATTTTTTTAGAAGCACAGAGAAAGAAAAAATCACTTCAAAGTAGTGATCAAGAAGCTGGATCTTGAAGAAATGTATATCAATCAGAATAGGATTTGTTACGCTGCTTCGACAAATAGCACCAAAAACCTCAGTGGCTTAACACAAAAGAGTTGTTTCTTGGGCACACAAAATCAGTGGTGAGTTCAGGCTATTCTCTGAGGCTGGCTGTCCTCCTTATACAAGCTCAGCATGTAAAGTTTCTTCCACTTTGTGACACCACACTCTTAACAAGTACCTCCATGATTGCAGCGGCAATAGAGAGGGCTAGGGGAGTTCATAGCAGCAAGTGAATTCTTCAGCCCCCAAAATAGCACACATACCCTTAATCACAGTCCTTTGTCTAGTGATCAGTTGCATGGTCATGCCCAATTCATGGGGAGGAGAGGTATAGAGGGACTGGGAAACACAGTGTATAGAAAAAGGGGAGGAGAGAAAGAATGGTGAGATTTTGAATATCTGCAAGATGGAAGGGGTTTTGGTGGCAATAATAGAGGAATAAAATAGAGAAGACAATGTGGTTTGGTTAGGATTTTATATTTGTGTTGCAGAGTAGTGGGATATAAATTTGGAAAGATAGTTTGGGATATTGTGAAAGGCCTTAGAGTGCAGGCCAAGAATCTGTTTTATTGGTGACATGGAGCTATACCGGTTTTGGGAAGTGTATGAATGATCCATTTGATGTCTTGTGTACTTGCTAGGTGGTGACTGCTGGGGCCAATTTGTAGTCAATTTAGAGACATGAAGATCAGTTAAAGACTTTCTTCCAAATCAGCTTAGTATAAGGAAAATACCTGCATTCTGGTGTTCTTGGGGAAAATGCAAAGGACACTGTCCTAATCCATCTTCCCTCTATGTGTGTCCCAGCTGAAGATTCTTTTTTGCATCCTATCTCACCTCATTCAATTAACATACCCTTTTAAAAAATCACTTTTAAGACCCACCAACAGGAAAATAAGATGCTGAATAACCACACATCACAAAATATTTATATTTACAAATACTAGTGATATCATGAGCGTTTAAAATGTGTTAGGATATCGCTATGTGAGGATGACAGGATTGATGTAGAAAACTCCCATTACATGACAGAGCAATGGAAACAAGGAATGATTCTGATTTATGACTGTATTTACCCAGTATGAATAAATAAATAGCTACTATTTATTATGTGCTTAATTACTATGTGCCAGACACCATGTTAGTACTTACATCCTTTAACATGACCCACAGGCCCAGGATGGTCTGGCACCAGCTACTTCTCCAGCCCCCATCCTTCCACTGAGCCCCTCTCACTCTGCAGTAGGGCTCTGGGCTCCTTGCCATCCTGCCTTCCTAGCTGGCTCTGACTACACTTGTCTATGATCAAATGTCACCTTCTCAAAATGCTCTCCCTGGCTACCCTACATAAAAGAGCAGCATCCCCAGTTATTTTCTATCTCTGTATAGTGCCTTGTTTGTCTTCATGAAGTTTGTTACCCCCAGAGAGATTCTGTATTTTTCATTTAGTACCTTCACTCCTTGCCAGAATATAAATTCCATGAGGTCAGAGATTTTTCTCTCCTGTAACAGTGCCTGGCACTCAATATCCATTTGGTCAATTAATACATGACTTATTTAAACCTCATAAGAACTCTATGAGGTAGGTACCATTAATTTTCCTATTTTATAAACGAAGAACTCAAGTCCTGGGGTGATTCAGTATCTCCTTCAAGGTTTTACAGTAAGTAATCTGCCAAGCCAAGATTAAAAGCCAGGACCGTCTGATTCCAAAGCCCCTACTTTTAGCCATAATACTCGTCTGGTGATGCGATACTAAGATCATGGTAATTAAAAGTTACTGTAAAATTATTCCTTGAGAATGTGTATGCTTGAGCCATTTCTCTGACATTAATATATATTTATTGAAAACATGATAAATATTTCTATATGTATGAGAAAGTGAACTTACTTCCCCCTTCTCCCCCTAAAAATGGTGTCTTGTGGAGCTAATAGATGGTGATCTCAAAGAGCGAATTTGCTCATATGGGCCAAATGTTTCCTCCTGCAGAGTGGGCTGCTTCCCAAAGAATTAGCCCTCCTCAAAATGAATTATTAACCCCAGCGTCCTGGCCAAATTCCCACTTGGATAGCCTAGGAACTGTTCAAAACTTGGAATCTATTGAAATTAGCCTGGCTTGATTGCAGTTTCTGCATTAATTGTGATATAATAGAGTTTCTCCAGAGATTTGAGCATATATTATTCTAATGTGTATAAGCTCACTTTGTCTCTTAATCTTTTTTAGTTTCTTCTTCCCCTCGTGAGATATAGCCTGAATTTCTTTATAAGTTTTTGTTTTTGTTTTAATTTCCCAGAATGAATGACAGTGAGCTCTTTTTTTCTTGGACTTGTCAAAGCTTTTTCTCACTTGAATGACTAGTTAGTCTCCTGGTCATTATCGCAGTGTGTTGCAGACATTAGCCACAGAAGTTTCTAGATCCCCAACTCTCTTGTGCAACTATAGCCTGGGCTAGGGAAAAGTTTGCTCCATGAAATTTTCCTAATTGTTTCTTTCAAGTTTCTTCAAGAAGCTTATGTTCTGGTGGGAGACATATAAATATTTTAAAGTTTAAATTAACTGACCTAATGGTGGAACTATTCAGGACTTCCATATTCATCCTACAGTTATTGGCTTTTAATTTCTTTAGGCAATTTTGTTAAATGTTATAGGCCACTTGTGTTGTCCATGAGCAGATATAGTATCACTTACATTCTGGAGGGACAGAGAGGTATGAGTTTAGTTAAATTACTAAATCTTACACAAAACTAAAATACCTTAGAAATTCATTGCCTTGCATTGTTTTGATGGCAACTGTAGACCTCATATAATTAATCACATCTTGCCAATATCACATAATTATTTTATCTGTAAGTTGACCTTGCTTGCCTTGAGTTGGTATAATCAAATCTTCAGTGTAATAGATTATATTAGAATGGGTAACATCACCAATGTTTTCATATCCAAAGTTTCTCCCTAATCTATATGAAGAATAAGAATGAAGATTTTGTTAAAAGACAAATAATTATTCCTAGGAAGTAGTTAGCCTCATGGATTTTCAACATAGGGAAAGAAATTGAGAACTCGAAGCTTAAGTTCTTGCATTTAATTCTGCCTGGATCACAAACAAGTAATAAGTCACAAATGCTTCCTGCGTTCGGTTCTTTACCTTTATCAAGTGAGATGAGACAATGGATATGAGCCATGTGCACTTAGAACTTCAGCAGCTAATATTAGAAAAATGCTTTGAAAATGACAGATGGAAAGAGCTATAAATGCAATTGCTAATGGATTTATGTGTTCTCTCTCCCTCCTTCCAACCTATTTCTGCCAGTATTTTCCAAAAAATTTCCCAGAGCTCCACCTGAAGTGTGACCTGATGACACCATAGCACATGTGTTTCCTGAGTTGGTTGAGTGTTTCCAAAATGTATCTACACTTTAAATTCAAATGTTTATCCACTAGGGTATTAAATTATGGAAAGTGTTACTGCCTTGGAATGACAGTCATGTACTTCTGCCCAGACTATTATGACAAGTTCTATGGGGCTTTCTACAGGTTTTTCCCCTTCTTTCTGAATCAATATGGGCTAATAGAAATATATAATTTCTCATGAAAAAAATCCAGATTTTCATTAATGTAAATGAATTGATAGAGAATATGCTTTTAAATCTGTAACATGCAGAATTTTTCCCTCCCCTTGTCATTAGTCTCCTCCCAACTAAGTGGTTCTAACTGCTAATTTGAGAATTACCGGTAAAGACTAACATTTCCCTTGCTTTCCTTGTGCACTCTAAATGAGACATTCCCTGTTTCAGACTCAGGTCAAGCACTGAAGAAATATTCATTCCCTTACAAAATACTTATTGAGCTATACTGCTCTCCTAGACTTTTTCCTAAGAAGCTGGACATACAGCAATGAACGGAACACAGAAGAGAAAATCCAAGTGCTTATTAGTAAATCCACCAGAATGTTTCATTTGGCATTTTTTTGTAAACATCTAGATTTGTTCATAAAGAAATCAGAAAAGCATTCGTCCTTTGGGGAGTATTAATTGTTTTGCAAGAAAGTTATTTATCTTACAAAAGGACTCACTTTAGCGAACAGCAAATTCCCTTCATGATTCAACTTAGGATATTTCAATTTGCATTTACTTCAGTAAAGCACAGTCTATGTTGAATTCCCTTGCTGACAGGTTTTATGCTTACAATAACTTAGGGCTAATAGTCCTAAATGTCCAAAAGAAAGTAATGTCTCCAGAGAGTGTAGTTCTAGGTTCTTCTATAACATCTTTAGCATTCCATTCACTTAAAATGAAAACAGACAATGTGTTCAGGAACTTATGGGAGAGAATTAAAAGAAAGCATAACCAGTCAAATGCCAAAATGCTAATTTCAATCTCTGTTTCTACATTGCTCCAGTCACCTGACTTGTTAAAGATCTCGCCTGGGATGAGGCAGCTATCCATCAATGTTCGTAGAATTGTACAAATACCACAACAATAAAATGAAGATAGGTTTATTCATTCCTTGTAGTAGTATGTTCCCAGGCCATTTCAAAATTGGCTAGTTAGGTTGGAAAGAAGATGAAGACTTTATAAAATAGTGGCTTATGCATTTCTTCCTTAATTTCCTGTTTGTGCTCTACACTGTATGAAAATTTTACACCTACAAATACCTGAACTGACAAAGTCTTTCCTTTAGTTTCTGCTAGGTCAGACTTGGTGCTAAATGGAGGAGAGTTTGTCAGTATAGTTTCCTCAGTATCCAGGTCAAATCCAAGTTTCACTCTTTTTTTTTTTTTTTTGAGATGGAGTCTCGCACTGTCACCCGGGCTGGAGTGCAGTGGCGCAATCGCGGCTCACTGCAAACTCTGCGTCCCAGGTTCAAGCGATTCTCCTGCCTCAGCCTCCCTGGTAGCTAGGATTACAGGTGCCTGCCACCATGCCCGGCTAAATTTTTTTTTGTATTTTTAGTAGACTTGGGGTTTCACCATGTTGGCCAGGCTGGTCTCGAACTCCTGGCCTCAGGTGATCTGCCCACCTCAGCCTCCCAAAGTGTTGGGATTACAGGCGTGAGCCACAGCACCTGGCCAAGTTTCACTCTTATATGGGGAGCCAGAGTCCTGAGTTGAATGGTGATTTCTATCCACACTTTTGATCTCTTTGAGATAATTTTCATTCCTCCTATTAATCTCTTGCTAAAAACTATCCTCTCTTACCTCCTGTCAGTAAATGTCTTCATTTAGATAAAGCATAATCAATATTTTCATGGTACATACATACAAATAGTATCTTAGATTTGCTTAATGATTTTCTGCTTAGAGTCTAAAGGCCATTTCTGGCTTATTTCTTGCCATGTGGCAATCCTTAAGTGTTTTGCTAACTTAGAGAATGAAACCCACTCAGCTTCTGTTGCATGAGGTTATATTTCCAATTACTGAAATAAAGGTATTTAAATTAAATATTTTAATCATGTATATGATTCAGTCAGTAACACATGAGTAGCCAAGATACCTTTAAACAGTACTTCAGGCTACAGTCGGACCTTTATGTCTGCGGGTTCCACATCTGGGGACTCAACCAATTGCATATTGAAAATACTCATGAAAAAAAAGACAACAAAAATAACACTGCGACAGTAAAAAAAAAATGCAAATAAAAAGTGTAGTATAACTATTTACATAGCATTTACATTCTATTAGGAATTATAAGTAATCTAGAGATCATTTAAAGTATACAGGAGGATGTGCATAGGTTATATGCAAATACTACACCATTTTATATTAGGGACTTGAACATCCTCAGATTTTGGTGTCTGAGGGAGTCCTGGAAGCAATCCCCCACAGATACCTTGTTTCAGATGAAAAAGCATCATACTCTATGGGTAACTGGTTAACTCACCTTATTCTGATATATGAATGCCATTCACATTATGCTGGATATGGGTCAAACTTAAGTTCTTCTGCGAAAGCCACAACATACCAGGCATCAGAAATGCTAGAGAGTTTTGACCATCATTCAGAAAAACAATTGTTTAACAGCAACCAACAATTCAAACTATTTAACAGGCACCAGCTGTCAGAATGAATGCTCAACTAATCAAAGCAGTTGCTGGCCATAGTGGTTCATACCAGTTGAATTTAGCTGCATTAAAAATTTGTCCTTTTAAGGTTCTGTTTTTGTGGAGACAGCCATTTTCAGGGCTTCCTAAATCCTTGTAAGAAATATTTTTTTGCAAATACAGAATTATTTATTTCTAAGAATATAAAGATATACTACTAATTTCTAATATACAAATCAGGAGGAATAAGAAATAGCTATTGCTTTCTATCAAATCTTACTGCTTAAATGGATTAAAAAAATATGGCTGGTGTATACCTTCACATGTTTATATTTTAAATATGTCCACCATTATTTCTCTTTCTTTTGTCCAGTTGATGAATAGAAGCAAATATAGTAGAGAGATGATTAGACTATTTTCTGCTGAGGTCAACTTGTTTACCCAAGCTAAGAAAAGCCTTTTCTGAATATTTTCTGATTTTTTTGTCCAAATTAGGAAAAAAAAGCCACATATTAATATTTAAGTAAACTATAAACATATTATCAGCATGTAGCCTTATTTTTTGCCAAGAATACTTTTAATTTTATGTCTGTACTTTCTTTTAGTCCGTAAGTTTCCAATTTATTTGTATTTACTCAGCATTACATTCCATTATGGTGGCAAAAGGTTAAATACTATCAAGTGGTTTGATATTTTAGTATTTAATCACTTTTGTCTTGAACGAGTGAATGTTTAGTCCGTAGATATCCAGATCATGAAGATATGTATATTTATTTTGGGGGGGTTGGTTATGGTGTAGATTAGATGGTTTATGATCTTATAATTACCAGAAAAATACATGTTCACAGGTATGATGAAAAGACATTTTGAAGGTGCTCCATTTACTAATCAGTTGATTTCGTCTATATACAAATTAGAAACTCACAAAGTGATTTTCTTTTATATGCTCAGAAATACTTTATATTTAATGTATTCATGCATTGTAGTTTAGGTAAAATAGTAATGGGGCCCAAAGATAGACAATGTTGTGGCAGTACCTTGCTCTGTCTCCATCTTGATTTAGTTTAACTTTCACTGCAGAGGCTGTTCTAAAAAAAAGGGAAGGAAAAACAAATTGATAAGATAAAACTGTGGGGAGTTCCAAAACAAATACTGCTAACTGACCTTTTTTGATGGCCTGGGTAAGAGCTTTCTTATTATGGTTGGTTATTATAGTTGATTGCTTTATTTACTAGTACAATGCAGAACAAAACTAAGGTAAACACTTGGGTGATATCTTGTTTTACTTTGTCATATTTTGTGGTAGACTGGTAATGATGCTTCTCATGTGTTTTTAAAAGTCAGATAAATTCTGAAACATTTTAAGAATATGAGACTATAATTAAACAGAAAAAATATCAGCTGTTTTGAGCCTGCCTTTCTTAGGGTGTTCGTCTAAGTGTCTACTTGTATGAAACACTCATTTATATGCAGAAAGAAGCTCTCTGTGTATGTTAGAAAAAGAAAGTAGTTCTGAACCTTTCAGCCAAGTTCCTAATGCTGTTGTTTTATACCTTAGAGTTTTCTGTCTTGGTGAACTTTAAAAATGAAAGAACTAACTCTTATTAAGGGGTTGTGTTTCCTAGCCCTCCTGATTGAGACTTTCTCCATAATATGGTGCAAGAAATGGTCAGTCACTACGAAGGTTCTCCTTTTAACCACTCCTGTCTATCACAAGAAGTCATTAGTTTACAGCTACTTCCTTCTTGTTTTTATAACTTTTAAACTTATCATTAACCCCATTCTGTTATCCCATACTCTGAGATGAGCAAAGAAGATACTATCCACATTTCCATTGCTTACTCTAGAGATAATAACCTTTTTGAAAAAAAAAAAGATAACCCTCAGCTTCTTTAAACAACCTCTTCCTCTTTAAATCCATGTTAGCTATCTGTTGTCCAACTAGACCTTCAGTGCATTCTTATGGTAAATCAGACAAAATTATTCATAGCATAATCTGTGCAAGTAAAATTGAACAGGACATACTGAAATTATTTATTATAGCTTTTAATGTTGCTTAATAATTCCTTAATATTTGCCCCAGATTTTTTTCACCTAGACTTTTTTTTCCTGTTACTAAAGAAATGTTGTAATGGACTAATCACTAATCCTCATTTCCTTCTAACTCAGTCTCATAAGGCACTGTGTCTGGACCTGTTAAGTAGGATTGTTGTCATAAGATTAGATACAAGTATCTCAGTTGTCTAGACATTATATAACTCTCTGCTACATACTTCAGACTCTTGTTTTAAAGCAATCCCTTAGCCTATTTAAAATGAATAAATTAAATGTTAATGAAAAGTCCAATGCATTTATTTCTTTTCCATAGTGTGTCATTGTCACCATCTGGATTTGCCATTTCTTCCCAGTTCTTTACATGTATAAAGTTTTATTCTTGTTTTAAGTAAGAGCTGATTTTCACTATTTCAATTTTGATGTGGATAAAAAGTTGGTATTTTCTGCCTCTTTGTGTTCCTAAATCTTCCTTCTCATTTTCTATCTGGCTTTTACCTCCACTAACTTCCCTTTCTGTAATTTTAAAATAGTATTTTGGGGATGCAAAGAATTCACTTGTCACCTTTTCAAACTTGATTAGTTCAACACGTATTTATTGGTTACCTCTTAAATGCCAGGCAGTGAACTAGCTTCTGGTAGTAAAGTACGGATAGCCAGTCTCTACTCTCAAGGCACATATGGTCTAATAGGGAAGACAGACAAACAGGCAAGCATTTGTAATGCAGTGTGGCAAACGGGGAAAGATAGGGTGGCAAAGAAAGACGTAGGATATGGGTGTTACGTAACTTGCAGGAAAAAAATCTGGATATTGGCATCTATAATTCCTAGGTAGAAACAAGATGTTCCATAAGAGTGTTCTCTGAGATCATGTGTGTGAAATTTGTTTTCACTGGAGAAATCAGGGACATCTTAAAAGAGAGGAAAGCCAGCGAGGTTTGGCCAAGCCATTTTGCCTCCGTCAACCTCAGTTTTGTTAGGCATAAAATAAGAAGTTTGAGTTAGATGACCGCTAATATCCTCTCTAGGTCTAAAACTCTGAATCTGAGTTTTTCTTTTGCAGTTCACTGAAAAATCTAAATAGCCTAAACCTGTTTTGAAATCTATTTCAACAAATGACCCATAAAATAAATAAGTACAAAATTCAATTTTTTGGAAAAGTAGTCTGGCCGTAGAATTGAGTGGCCCCATAAAATATTAATTTGGTCATAGTGTGGAAATGTGAAATGATTGTTAAATGAGTCAAGGCCTTATTTGTGGCTTTTGGCTCATTTAGTAAGATTACCCATTAGCCATGTAGGCAGCATAACATGCATGGCCAAGCAGCTCATGGGAGCATCCTAACAAATGTTAAATAAAAATTATCTTTCTCTAGCCTTGGGAATATATTTCTGTTATATTCAAAATAAGATTGTGCTCAGCTTTAAAGTCTCAGTCAATAGGAAAATAATTATATTTGTTATGCTTGAAATTCTGAATCTTATCTGCAATATTTTTGTTGCCTTTTTGGAAGTTTAGAGGTAAAATGAGTGTTGGTGGTATCGGACCATCACTTAATTCCATCACTGCCATTCATATAAACTCACTTGATTCTGTTAGAATATGTATATGTAACATTTCTCCTTGCAGATGTTTTTGTTTCTCCTTATCCTAAGGTACTCACCTTTTTTCCTTTTAGTCATTAACTTTGGTGTCTTAAGACATTCCTTCTCCGCTTTTCTATTTTATCTACATCTTAATAATAAATTTAATAACTGTTCTTAAAATCTTTGGATGATAATCCATCAGGCTCATTCAGTATTCCTTTAGCTTATCTACAGAAGAGAGTATGCTTTTCTCTTTGCTCTTTTTAATGAGGCCTTCCCACTGTGGCTCTCAGTATCCACCAAACATTTTAATTTCTTAGGATCTGACAATTATTAACATCTCTCAAACCTTTTCTGAATTCTATAGGAGGCTATTATTATAATTCAATCTATTTACTTCCATGTAAACTCAAATGGAAGTGAATCTTCCTGAAATGGTCACTTTCCCCTCCTCCCAAATATACATCTGCCATTAAATTAAAAAACATTACTAATTTGAATGTGAAGCCTGCATTTCCATAACACCAAACATCTGGATGAAAAGTAAAAAATTCAGAGATGTTTTCAAATATCCGAATATTGTGTTCATAAAACAGTTAAATGATTGTCTCAATCTCTCCATATTCATCTGAGTACTTATGCATCTTATCTGTGGCACAGCCAGTCCTTTCTGTCAGGAAACAGCACCAATTTCAGAACTAATGCATTCAGTAACAAGTATGTATTGAACACTTGTTCTGTAGGAAATACTGAGCTAAGTGCTGTAGAAAGTTTGAGGTTAAATAATTCTTTAACTCTGCCCTCAAATGATTTGCAGTCCAGTGAGGGATGTGACACAGGTGCACATGTATACATAAAAGACAATATGAAGTGAATAAAAACACAAGAGAGGAGGAAAGAAAGCACTGTGGAAGTTTGTGGGGAGTGACTACTTCTGGCTTGGGAGGGTTTTCCACTGTTTGAATGAACTATGATGGATTAGTAGGGCTTGGACATGCCAGAATCGTGGAAATGGAGGGGAATGTTTTGATCCCACACCATTTGAAATATACTCTCCTTCAGCAGCCGGGTAAGGGAATTTTACTGAATTCAAATAACCCTAAATTAGCCAGATGATTGCAATAGTTTTTGTATTATTTTTCATTATCACAGCCTTTGGTTGCTGTAAGGTTATTGAGTCTAAATGTGTTTTTCAGGTATTTTGATTATCAAATTTATATTCATTTCACTTTAGAGTTTCAACTTTACACAAAAAACATGCTAAAATTTACTCTCTATGGTCATTTTAAGAAACATTGTTAAAATTCCACCTTGTCATTTGCTTTTCGAATTTAGATACAAAATGTTCACACTTTCATGTACATTGCATGCTTAAAGCCTCTATCTTTCAAATTTTATGATTTAAAAAATCTATTGGGATCACTACTCTGATAAACTTTTAAAAAATCTTCAATTCTAAAGTTTTTGCTATTTGACCAGAATCTGTATTGCTATAGAAATTAAAGCAAAATGAATCATTTCTTTTTTATTCTTTTCCTTTTTCTTCTTCCTCCTCCTTTTCCTCCTCATGCTTCTCCTTTTTTTTTTTTTTTTTTTTTAACAATCATTTCTAGCTGGAGGGGAAAAGGGAATAAACTGAAAAAGGTCCACATAATCCAAATCGGTCTATGTTTATTATTCAGAACTAATTTATTGGCTGAAGTGACTGAAAGGTAAAAGGTGGTTACTTTTAGGTAAAGTTTATAGGTGTAGAAACGATGTTAGGAATATATTTTCTGTATCTGTTGGCTCTGCTTTTGTCTGCATGAGCTTCATTCTCAATCAAGTTCTCTTCATTCAGTGACAATAATAGCCATTAGTAACTCCAGGCACACATTTTACTGACTTAGTAACCCCAGTGAAAAAACAACACTTTTAACAGTTTCATAACTGACTCCCATTAACCTAACTTGGGTTCCATCTTTAATGCAAACAGCATGATTATCTGTGTTGACTGGCTAAACTTGAGTCACTTAGCCACCACTGATTACATCCCTAAATTAAAATCAGGGCACTCTTATCAAAAAGAAAGGGGAAGTGGTATTTCAATTAAAAATATTAATGTTAGAGTGGAAAAGTCCTCCACTAAATGTTAGGATAGCAGGTGGTTATCCCAACTCTTACCAAAGCCAATTTATATGACCTGATGTAGATTATTTAAGCCTTGTGAGCCTCGGTTTCCTTATTTACATAAATTAGGTCTCAGATCAAGTTCTGTCCAAAAATCTTTGGACTCTTTTTTTTTTTTTTTTTTTTTTGAGATGGAGTTTTGCTCTGTCGCCCAGGCTGGACTGAGTCGCTCGGCTCACTGCAAGCTCCGCCTCCCGGGTTCACGCCATTCTCCTGCCTCAGCCTCCCGAGTAGCTGGACTACAGGCGCCCGCCACCACGCCCGGCTAATTTTTTTTTTTTTTTTTTTTTTTTTTGTATTTTTAGTAGAAACGGGGTTTCACCGTGTTAGCCAGGATGGGCTCGATCTCCTGACCTCTTAATCCACCCACCTCAGCCTCCCAAAGTGCTGAGATTACAGGCATGAGCCACCGCACCCGGCCCCAAAATCTTTTGACTCTTAATGTTTTGTGGTTCTGATTTCAACAGCTAGAGACAAGGATGAGACATCCAGAAAATATAGAAATTTGAATATAGAAACACAAATCAAGAGATACATACTGTTTCATGCAGAAGTGCTTCAGGTAGAAACAGGAGTTAGCTTGGCAGTAGAATAGCAAAGGATTTTTACTACATCCTGATGTACTGGCTAGAAGCTCAGACAACTTGAGAGGGTTGTGTATATGTTTGTCAGAGAAAGAGAGTCAGAGAGATTCAAAATTAAGCATCACAAACCTTGTTATTACAACTTCTATAGGTGTTTTATATCCCATGTATATCTTTGTTAACCTTCTCTCATTTTACCATAACAGAGACTGCGTCCCAAGCACAGTCTTGTTTAAAGTAACAAAGCTTGAATGAGAACTTATGTCTAATTTTTTTCATTCTTTCTACAAATATTTAGAGACACTGAGAAAGAATGGGGGAGAAATACAAAAGTTAAAAATCCCAAGGCTTTACCTTGAGGAAGTTATACTTAACAGAGATATAAATAAAGCATGACAATGAAAAGCTAAAAATTATGAATACCAAGTAAATTGCTATGGGAATTTAGTGGAAAGGTGATTGTCCTCCACTACAAGGATGGGATTGGTTTAAAATATCTTAATTGTTTCTTGTTTTATCTTCAAAATTCACGAAAATATATATTCTATTCATAGCATAGGAATTCTTGTTTACAGAATAAAAAGGTATTAAAAAAAGAAAAAGGTATTAAATTAAGGACCATTGAATAAGTTTGGCATTCCAGGAAGATGCGTTTATTTATTCAGGGCTTAAGTCCTTGGCATGTCTGCCTGTACCCTATTTTAGTAAGCATAGTCCTAGATCAATAAATGATATCTGCCCAATGCATTTTTATTATCCACATTAGGGAAATTACTTAGAGGGTTTCATGAATGAGTGGCATCATCAAAATGAAGGTCACCTGGATTAACTCTATAAAATATATGCCTTGGAGGGGAGCAAAGAAAAGGAAGTGGTCATCATAATGATCACTTTCCATGCATAATGATCAGTTTCCACGCATGTACTCAAACTAAGACTCTACCCAACAAGTTACTTGACCATTATCTAAATGATTGTATTACACTATCACAGAAGTAACTTGACAAATTGTGCATTGTTCAGTCAGCACTCATCTGGTCAGCTTTGTAGACCAGCAAGTGAGTCAGACTTACAGGGTAGGAAGGTAACTTAAGAGGCAGAACTGATCTTGGAGATGTCTTGCTTTAAAAAATGTCCATGAAAGAGTTACCACAATGCAAGAGAATATCTCATTGTATAAAAAAGTTAAGTGACTATAGTTTCTTAAAGATATGAAGTATATAAATTATAGTTAATTTATATTTAATTTATAATTAATTTATATAATTATATATAATTACAATTAATTATAATTTTAAAATTGATATTATATTTTTAAAATTATTTAAAGCAGTACACACATAGACAATATAGGAGTATATAAACAAAAAGTTTCTACTCGATGCCCTACACAACATGATTCAGTGTATATTTTTCCAGATTTTTTTTGCGCTACAAGCATAGATATGTGTATATTTTATTTATTTATTAATCAGAAATAAATGATACATATTGTTCTACAACTTGCTTTTTTTACTCAATAATATATGGGGACAACCTTTTCATGAGAACCTCACATTTTATTTAACTGTCATCCAGTTGATAGACATTTAGGTTAATTCCAAATTTTTAGCCTTCCAGATACTAGCTTTTTCATTCATTGTACATATCTAATTTATGAGGTGATTTGAGGTATCACTTAAAATTTCAAAACATCAATATAAATTCTTTTAACACAGAATAAAGTTTATGATAAATTGGTTTCAGTTTGGATATCATCACAGAGGGGTTAATCACAAAAGAAGTTGACTATTAGGTGGTTCACCCATAAAAAGTCCCAGTGATGTATTCCAAGGATATTGTAGATCTATTTCCATGTACTTGACAAACCTAGTTAACCCCAAAAGGAAAATTAAAAAGAAGAAGGCCTAAGGTCACTATCTTGAATAAAGATAGCTTGCTTTCAAATGAGTCCTTAGAAGAATGGTAATTACAATACATTTTCTATCTACGTGAAGTCATAAGCCATACATGTCTTCTTAGCTTTTTGAACAGTTGTCAGTTGATATTCAAAGTTAGAGGATTGTTGTGATTGACTTCTATTCAACAGTGGCTTTAGAATTCTTTCGAGATGTGAAAAAGTTTAACCTATGCTGGCTCTTTCTTGATGAGGGGAATCCTAATCATTGCTATCAGGTTACAATGACGTGTGCTCTTATGAGTAAGTTGAGCCACCTCTGGGCCACTGGACTAGAGTGGGTTGGCCCCCAACAGTGAACAGACTAAACTATAGCTTTAGTCCAAGAATATGGAAACTGACAACAAATTATTGCTTGTGGTCTACTTCCAGTTTTCAAGTGCAAGCATACCAAAGTTTATTTTAAATTTGAGCCAGTCAGACATTTAGTAATATACATCAAAGAAGAAGTGAAGGCTTCCCATGTTTATTATTTCAATAGGATGTCTGTTCTAATAAAGCAGAAGAATGCATATGATAGATCATGTAGTAGAAATACTCTAGTTCCACAGTTTGGCCTTAAATGTATACATATATTTGTAAATTAATCCAAAACACATTGTCATGGTTCCAATTCCTCTGAAAGCTGATTGTTTTCAATCCCCTTTTTAATTTTAGAAATATAGTGGCTGATTGCCAGAGCACTTTGAGGTAAACAGTCCACCCCATGTATAAAAGGGGCATGGAATCATGAATGTTCAAAAACCACAGACCATTATTTAAATAAGTTAAAGTTATTATGGTCTTCCCTATTAATTAAAAAAAAAGCCATCTGTGCAAGGTGAATTTTGGTAAGGTACCAATTTTTTTAATGATTGTGGATGGAATTTGCAACTGCCTTCATAGTGAAAGTACAGCTCAGGGATTCCCAAGATAAAATGCACTGTTTATGTAATTCTGTGGCCATTTGACTAAATTTCTAATAAAACACTGGAAAGAATTATTGTTATTCAATCAGAATTTACAAAATTTACAATCAAACTTGAAGGAATTGGCTCTCCAGTAATCTCCCATTTCAACTATTCTGCTTACACCCTAAACCTTTATTTCATCTAAACCTTCTCTCTCTCTCGCTTAAACACACATGCACACACACACACACACACACACACACACACACACACACACAGAGAGAGAGACAGACAGACAGACTCTACAACCCACATTTTGTCAAAACTGCCTTGGACAAATGCATCACAACAGTGAACAGTGAGCAAGACTAAACACACAAAAAAGATCAAAAACACTGCATAAAGAAACAGCACACTGGAAGACATTACCAATGCAGATCTAGATACTCTTGTGATGCATCCTTATTTTCATTTTAATTTGTGCTATTTGCAAAATATATTTCTGTTGGGTAAATAACCTATAAACCTAGGCTCTAAAAATCTTGGAGGGTCAAAAAGTCAAAGGGTGCAACTCCCCTGAATTTGGCAGGAAAATGCCATAATAGAAAGGATTTTTACATTTTTTTTGCCACCGCCCCTCCCACCCCAACCAGTGTTTTCAGTCCATTAAAATTTGTACTCCAGGCCTTTTCCAGTTTGAAGCCACACTGGCGTCAGTGATGAGCAATCCTTCTTGTTTGTGCAGTCATTCATTATCTCCATTACCAAAAGGAGACTGGAGGACAATTACATTGTTTGGACGAATCAGAGTGTTAGGAGGAGTATTTGTCATGGTGGCAGAGTGCAGCACCTGACAGGCAACGATTGATGACCAGGAATGAGTGTGAGTGACCAAAGCAGCCTCATAGGATGCAAATTACTGACTGTGGATTCCAATTTATCCTGTTCATTTTTCTTGCCCGTGCTGAAGACCATTAGTGGTTTTTGAAGCAGTGAAGGGGTCATTACTAATGTGGGTAGACTCGAAGCAGGAGGGGGAAAGGAGGGGAAAAGCCTTCTGTAATTACACAGCTTTCAGGAACAGGCTGGAGGCCCTAGCCAAAAAAGTGTCAACACCTCGCAATCAGAAAAATTTATTTTCATTTTATGCTTAACCCATATTAACTCAACATTATCATCTTTCTTTGTTAACATTTGCAGAATATTAAAAGCCTGGCTTCTATATTAATACAAATCTAGTTAACCCCTTTTGCTATACAGGGGATTTTGTTTAACCTAATGGCATTTGGGTTTGCTAATAAGTAATTGTGCGCATTTTGGATAATGTACGCTATTATAGAAGATGAAATACCTGAAGAATAAAATCTTAGATGATTGAAAAACATTCACTCTCTCAAATACTGGAATGATTAGAATATTCTGAATGGAATACTTTGTTGTTCCTAATGTCACCCTCTAATAATGTTGATGGGAAGTATTTATTACAAAAGGCTTTCTACTTTATGAATGACTTTGACATGCTAGATAAAAGTTTACTTTTTTGTTTAAGAAAATCAGTGAATTTAGAGCAGGGACCTATTTAATAGACATATTTCATAATTATGTATACCCAGTACAGTGTCTTTTAAAATAAAGGTATGGGTCTAAACTAACAATCCTTGATTTTAGAATCAGAGAGGAAAGTGTCTTGATAATGGAAGAACTGTTCATTATAAATGTTGGTGAATTTCGATAGGAAGTGAAGAATTAGAAAACACCAAAACCTATGGCTTCATTCTCTTATTGTTGTAGTTGAAGGTAAAATGTAAAATTTCTATATGAAGTATTGCACATAATTGGCTCCTTTTGCTGTGTGATCATTGGGTGTGACCCTGTTAGAGCAGTAACAGTAACAATGAAAGAATCTTCTGTTGTCCCATAAAGGAGTCAACATAAATATACTGTAAGTAAACTGTGTTGTAATTGAATCAGTTGCCATGGCTTACAAGAATAGTTGTGATTATATACTACCTCACTTTCTAAACTTTTACTGTCAATAATCTCAAATTTAACTAGAGAAGGATGATTATATTGAGCCATCTCACAAAGATAATTTAGAATAAGGGCTTTACATAGGCTGTCTAGGGAGGAGAGTAAAAGGGGCCTGAAACCAGTTCCTTTAGTGCAACAGAAGCGAGTTAGATGACCAAAATTCTGACACCATCACAAAAGTGCTTTGCATTCTGACTGATTAAAGAAATTGCATAACTTAAACTCCTTGCTTTTTACTGCTGGCCCTACAGAGTATGACAGAAACATGGGGCTGCTAATACAGGTTTCTGGGTTCTTGTCCCTGCCCACATTTCTCAACACATGATAAAAAAGATGCAAGTAGGAAAATCAAGCCATAGACTAAAGAAATCACCAACGGTGGTTTTATTCTTAGAAGTAAGTGACTCTTTCTTAACTTCTGATCCATCTTTTAAAACATTTGTTTTTCCATTAGCATCCGTACCCTTCCGAAGAGCAGAAGAAACAGTTAGCGCAAGACACAGGACTTACAATTCTCCAAGTAAACAACTGGTGAGTGACCCAAAAATCAATGTCTTTCTCCCATGGCTAAAATGAGATTTCTAAATAATGGTTTTCTCTCTTTTTTTTTTTTTTCTAAAACAAATGAAATCGAGGAGGATAACTTCTGTGTTTCTACCTCGAGGTGTGAAAGGGGTGATTAGGGAGAGGAAAAGGTAACCTAGGGAAATGGTTTTTGTAGGATTTATTCCTTTTCTTTTTCTCTCTCCCTCTTTCTTTTCTCTTCTTCTCTATCACTCTTCCTCTCCACCTCACTTTTCCCATCTCTGATGCTTTAAAATTCTCGAATTGAGCCACAAATTCTGTTCAGGTCATTCCTATTGAAAGTAGTCACTCCGCGGGTTTTTGCACAGTCCTCATACGGAGTTACCAGTTCTGGAAAGGATTCTTTTGTCTTGGCTTTGAGCGGTGATGTAGATACAGGCTTTTTAGTATCTCCTAATAGAAATTTATTTACCCTAATATTTTTTTAAATAGGAGAAAAGGTTTTTCCATTTTTGCGATTTGGTAGATTACTCCCGTGCTGGTGTATGGACCATCCACCCTTTGTACACGGCTTAGAGGGTAACTGAGGAAAAGGAGGGGCAGAGGATTAAATAAAATGATCACAGTGGCCAAGAAATGATATAGGAATTACTTATCAAAATACTGGCCCAGGTTTTATCAGCAGCTTAATTTTGTTCAGTACATTCTTGGGGTGATGTTCAGATTAATTGAACTGACAGTTCTCTTTCAAAATTCAGGGAAAGTATTTGCACGGATTTCAGGCCTTATACAAACTTAATTACATGGAACTCCATTTTATCATTCTAATTCCATGTAGCAGAGGTTGTATTTACAAATGAGAAGTCTCTGCCTTTATTCACAGCTTTCCTTAATATATTTATCAAAGCAGGTTCATTTACAAAGTGCTCTATCTGTGGGATACAGGCAGGCAGACATTAACAAAGCTTTTAGGTTTATCAGGCTCGCTGCCTGATGAGCTACCCGAGGGTCAATTGATTTTGTGGTTCTGTGATTCATTTTTTTCTCATTTTTCTAGGATCACAATGAGAGACATGCTTGGAGAATTAGCCAGTTTGTCTGCCTTATCTGTCAGGCAATTTTTTTTTTTCCCAGGGAAGTCAAGCTACTTAAATTGGCCACAGGAACTGCCGTTATCTGACTTTAATGCACCCTATAGTGTGGATAGCATTTCAATTACACCAGTAACCAAAGCTTAGCTGCAGTCCTTTTCATGCCTAGTGCTGTACAGAAAGTGATGTGCCTACCTACAGAAGCAGAAAATTGAGTTGCCTTGCTTCTGTCAGGGTGATTAATGCAGAAATAAACTGCTAACCTGAAAAGAAAGGCAGAAAGAAAAGATAGACAATACAGACTTGAATTCACTTTAATTTTCTTCTAAAGATTGGAACTGTGTACATTTAAAGACACCCTTTAGACCAAAAACTTGGAATAAAGGCAGTACATCCCCCTCTGGAGGGGGATGTGTATGTGATTATACATTGATAGGCGCTTCATAGTGTAAATATATATGTAAACATACATATTCTCATTTATGTTCCTAGCACAAGTTATCAGTGGTCTGAAACAGTAAAATAAATGTATTCTTTGTTAACTACAGGAGACTTGTTTGCTCTGCACATTCTTTTATAGCATACTGATTACCAGACTGAGCTAATATATACACATTGGTCCATGACGCAGTTAACATTGCTTTAGAATCATAATTTTTGTACATTTGAGGCAATTGAGGGAGCTTGTGATGGGAATTTCTGAGAAAAATAAAATTTCCGCATGGATATTTGGCATTGATATTTGATCTTGTTCTTTTTGAAAATACTGTTCCTTATCATCCATTACCTATAGTTTTTGATATACTCTTCGCACCTGAAGAATGAAGAATTTTTAGAATCTACAATCTAGCATTTCCCACAATTAGACACCTGGCTGGAACTGGAAAGAACACCCTTCCTTTCTGAATTCCATTGAGCCCCAAGGCATATACACGGAGTTCAGTGAGTGTGAGAGTTTAGGTTTCTTGTTTCTCTATTATTTGAGCCATATTTGCCACAGAATGCCAAGGGTTAGGATGTGACAGTCTGTCACACAGCATACTTCCCATAATACAGCATAAACGTTGACACTTCTGTCTCTACAAAATAATTCCATCTTCCTAATTTTCACACTTCCTTCAGAAAAATCCTATAATCCTGCCCTCGGGTCCAAGTCTTAGTTAACGGCTACCGTAACTTTGATAATAAGGTGTTACTCATGAGGATAGTATAGCAAATACCTCTAAAAAACTACCAAGAATTTAATGTAGGGCCCAAACTTCTGGGGATTTCAGAAAGAAATTTGAAAGTGAACACCACTTATTTTAGTGCATTTTGAACTTGCCCAATGCCTTGATGAAGTCAGCTTCAAAACAGAGAAAGCTATTCAATCTACTTTCAAAAGACCTCACAGTCACTGTTCTTAACTACAAAGTAATCACTAAGAGAGATGAGAAGAGTGGACTAGAAACTATTTCTCCAGGCCCTGAGAGTGCTCAGTCAAAAAGCAGAGGGGATCAGAGTGTAGTTCCTAAACAAACTCATTCAGTCAGCTATACTAGGAAATAATGCCCACTTCTCCGATTGAGACCAGGAAATTAGGCTTGTGTGCTGCAAGATTTGCACCCAAGGAATTAGAGCAGTAAAAAAGCATAAAAATCAGACAATCATGGAAGACTTGCGGTTCTGGTTCTGCTTCTCACTTACCTCTTAATATAGAAAGGCCACACAAGGTCAGGGTAGTTAAGCAGCACTGAGAAATAACATCTGTAGTAACAAGCGATGGAACATGGCTTCACGCACTTGATGAGAGCAATAAGCAATAAAAACAGACCTGTTAATATCAGCCAGTAATGATGAACTTTAGAAGAAATAAGCAAAAAGGAAGTTTAGGAGATAATTAAGAGAATTAAAGATGCCTTGTGTCTTTGCAGTCAGTGCTAGAAATAATCTTAATGGACTTTTCCAGTGTATTTACAGTAGGGAGTATGCAGAAAGTGATGATGCAACCAAATCCAAATGTGCTTCAGGAAAGGAGTGAAATTTATGACACTCAGTCATTTTTTCCTACAGTTAACTCTTGGAAGTCCATAAATCATCAATCACCTAATTAAGACTTTCTTTTAAAAGATGATAACCAGATCTTCAATGTGTGCACCTCACTGTCAAAGCTAATCACAAGTGATAAGACTCACTTTCTATGCTGGTCAGTTGGTGGAGAGTCAAATCAGCTGTAAAACAACCAAAGTACACGCGTTAGGAGAGAGGAATAGCAACGAACCAAATATCCTCAACCTGAATAACCTCCTTGCAATGGAAAAGCAAATATGGTGTAATTTGACTGAATATTGATTAAAGCTCTAAAGGTAATATAGCATGATGGGTAAGCAGTCAGGCTCAGGAATCAGACCGTGTGGGGTTAAAATCCTGGTTCCACCATTTGATAGATGTTTGACCTTCAGCAATTACTAAACCCCTTTAAGACTTAGTGCTTTCATCTGTGAAATGGAGATAATGGTCATATATATCTCATATAGTTGTAAGACTTTAAGAAACTCTGCATGCTAAGTGGTCAGTATGGTGCTGGCATGTAAGATAGCTATTGTTAAAATAGTTAAAATAAGTAATTGTAAAAATGAAAGAGAAACATGATTTCATACAATGATATAAAGAAGACATTAAGTAGCTTACAAATAGGAATGGAGATTTCTTCCAGGGGTAAATAGGCATGTTTAAGGGGGAAAAATTTAGTGCAGACAACTTACTGTGCATAACTTCTGTATTAAACAAAGATAGACTTTTGTAGCTTCTCAGATGATAGTTTTTTTTTTTTTTTTCTACAGTTCTTTGATGGCAGGGAGGTAAGATTAGGGAACTGTAGGAGGTAAGTGGCTTCAAATAACTGTGAAGGTTAGGCGTTTTGAAAGAAAGTTCTGGATATTAACACTCTGGTATTTTCTCAGGAGACATACTTATAAGCATTTATTGACAAAAGACAAAGAAGGTTATTTTTTAAATGAGGAAATCCTTGCTTGAGTCATTTGGTGAGTTGCATTTATACACATCTTTAGTAACAGTAATCATTGAAATAGAGGAAAGTCTTTGACAATTAAAATCCTTTAAGCTAAAATTACAAAGGAAAATTATAAGACATCTCCATGTTCTCATGTAACTTTTCTCAGTGCTATATCAGAATTATAATATTAACTTAAATGTTCCTATTTCCAGATTAATTTTAAAAGGAAGGAATACTGTACTTTTAAAAACTCATGTCACTGCAGTAATTACAGCCTAGTTGTATACCAACAAACACAACACACAGGGTGACTTATTGACAGTATACAGGTATACTAGGAATAAAGGATTTACTTTCTTGATAGAAGGCTGTCTCCAGGCCTCCAGATAAAAAAGCATGAAACTGAAATTTCAAAGAACTTTCCAGTTGAAGATGGTTCAGAGAGTTCCTTTGTATAATGGCCTCTCAAGCTGAGATTAAATACCTGTGTCCTGTTTGCCCCACCTTCCCATCAAAATGGTCTCACAACAATCATTCTACGTCTAACAGCTTTTAATAATCAACACCCACTTTGTATGACTTCTTCATGGAAAGTGGCAGTTTTGCTTTACCTGTTTCCATTTGGCCCCATTGATGAATTTTTCAAGAATATATAGGAGCTTGTTCAATTACGATTAAAGGACTGTGCCGAGAGAAAAGAATCAGTTTCCCTTTCTAGCCTTCTTCTCTTTCCCTTCAGGAAGGCTCATTAACCACCCAGGTGACTTGGTTTTCTAAGGTGTGAAATGGAATGATGCTGACACAAAAGGAGAATTTGTGTGTGAAAACATGTTGTAGGTTAAAAGTGCTCTGAAAATAAAAGGTAGCATTGTTAGGAGAACTTCTCAGCCCTGATTAAAATATGGACAGGAACTGAGTGGTAGCCTAAGGAAAGCAATCATTTGCCTCCTGGATCCATCAGCCCAGATAGATTTGGGTGCCCAGATGCTTTTCTTTGCTGCTTATACTTGAAGGGCAATAATAGTGTTCTAGGTGGGTTTCAAGACAGAGGGTCAGTTTCAGGCCTTGGTCAGTGAATCTCCAAGCCCAATTTGAAGCCTAATTAGTAGGAGGCAGGGTAAGTGCTAGAAGAGGTTGCACTTCTTTACAGCAAAGAAAAGTCATTTTCAAAGGTGTGTATGTTGTCATTCCACTGCAAGGAGAGCAGACACCAGGAAATATGTTGTGATATTAGGACATCAAGAGTAAGCTGGGAATTGAGGAAAATAATTTCATAGTAAACATATGGAATAATTGGCCAGTGGTGCAAGAAATCTAAATGAGGTACAGAGACAGCTGGACACTTTTATCTCAAGAGAGAAAGGATTGAAGGATAGAGTGATAAACCAGGGAGGTGGGGTCGAGATAAACCTAAAGGGAACAAGCCTGCTGGACTAAATATCCTCTCTCTGCTCAGCAATTTCCACCGCGGCCATTTGTTAAACGCATAGCTGCCATCTTCAGTGATTATTTCCAAGTAACATCTATGTTTCTGAATAAAAATCCATTTGAATCTCAAGTCAGATTTGCCAGGTGCTAGATTCATTGTCAGCATTTAATGTGCTGAAACTGCCGATGCTGATGAAATGAATACAAAAAAGCTTTGGTGAGCTCTAGGTGAAAATGCTTCTCTTTCAGATCACTTCCTATGCCAGAAAAATCAGTGGCCGTGGAAAGAGGCAGAGATGCCAAGGGGTGTGAATCCAACCAGCCCCATGAAGTCTTTTGCTAAACTAGAGCATTTTCTTGCCGACAGTCACTCATGGGTTGAAATAACTGGGCTTGTGTTAGCAGTAGAGTTTCTAATCTCTTTGCATCTCTGTCCAGTTTCCAGTCATTCTGTCTCCATGGTCATATAATCATTTCTTGGAGACCTACAATTATTTCTGAGAAGAAAACCAAAAGAAGGCGGGGAAAGAGATTAAAAGATGTTAAAAGAAAAACACACATTATTAATGTTTAACCAGAGGGATCGCCCTGAAATTTAAGTGGGTTTCATTTTGCTCTGTCTACAGGAAATGTAACTGGGGGTAACCAGGGCATTGACACATGGCATACCAATTGTGAATAAGAGGAAGCATTACCGTATCTTCCCATTTTACTTCCTGCAGCAGATTCATGAAATTCCCACACTGAGCCGAACACTGGATGTATTTATTGTACCTAGGCAGCTGTGCCTCCAATCCATTGCGGTGTCAGACCAGCATTTCTAGACACCCTTCTATCTTGTAGAGATGGGAGTACCATTTCCAGAAATTTAGATTCAGACCAAATTTGGGCAAGCAGCTAAGACTCAGCAAGAGCCTTTTAAAAGTGGTAAACAAAAGGAGTAGAGGGGGAAATAAAGGAAGGGAATGCCAGCGAGGGGACTCAAAGGGGAGGTTTGCTGCAATCCTTTACATTCAATTATACCAGCTCCTTTGTGCTTTTTCCCTTTTGCTCTGCAAAGAAAGAATGAAATATGGTTTTCATAGCAAGCTGGCAGCATTATCTCAGGATGCATATTTCTTTGCTGGGTTGGAATGCCAATAAGGGGAGAAAAAAAGTTCCTAGTTTAGAGGAAAGTACAGTGCTACAGAGAAAACACAAAACAACAAAAAAGGAATGCAACAAGTTTCTGAAACAGTTCCAAAAAATGCCCCTTAAAGAAAATATTTAAATGAGAACTTTTTGGAAGATAAAATTTCTCATGCTGAAAGTAACCATTTTTTGCAGAGTCTCTAAATATGGAAAGAAATTTGGCCAAAAACGTAGACCCTTTTTGATATTTGAAGATTTTTAGAATTATCCTCCTCTCTTTCATTGATGGAGACAATAAACTCCAGACAAGTCCTGTGTTAGGCACAAGCCTCTACCTACTTCTGCACTTCATTATACCAGTATTTGGATGGGAGACAAAGTTTGCTCAAATAAGTCCTTTATCCATCTCAATTGGCATGATCTACATGGTTTCTCAAAGTAACACAGAAACAAAAGTCTATATTTCAGTGGGTTGCATGATTTAAAAGAATGATATTGACTTAGCGATTTACTTATTTTTAAACAGGAAAAAAGTTGAAGATAACTCATTGCAAATATTACACAATTATCCCATAGCAACTGATTCAGTAAGTATTCCTAGCCCCAGTCACAGATGGATAAAGTAAAATTGTATTTTAAAAAAACATTTTTTTAAAAAAGGAATTTTCAAATTACCCTCTAACTTATTTTCTAGAAGGCAGAAAATAGAAAGGGGGCTTGTAAATGCAAAATTTAAACAAGCCCCTAAATTAGAAGCTATTGAAAGGAAGGTAAAAAGATAGATCAGAATATACCAATATCATATTGTTTACTTTCTCTAATTTTTTTACTCTTAAAAATAAGAGTCTTGGGGGCCATAGCCTGGTTCTGAATCTTCAGTCCTTTTTACTATGGTGGTGCCTTTACCAGTAATTTTTTTTTCTCATTTCTTCCATTACCCACAGTATTGAGTAGTCTTTAAGTTCTTTCCAAAAATTCACTCTCAGAGAAATAAGTGCTTTATGAATAGTCTTTAGACCAGATCCTCTTTCACTTCACTCATTCATTCAATGCATTGATTCACTGGAGAGCAGCCTTCTAAAAATTACTTAATTGAGAATCTGCTCTGGTAATGAGTAAATGTAGGTCCTATTAACCTCGTGATCTTGAGGACTTGTTTTGTTGTTGTTGCTGTTGTTTTCATTGTGTTGGATTTTTCAAGTATAAGAGAGTGAGCATCGGTTAGGTGGCGCTTCCTGGTGCTTACTCCAGGAATTCCGCCCAATTCGCGACACTCAGAATTGTTCCCTCTATTCTCTAAATAAGGAAAATCATTTTCTAATCTGCAAAATTATTAGAAACCTGGGTAGAAAAATACATAGAGCCTTACTTTGTAAAAAATATTGCTTTCTCCAAGTCTTTTTCCTACTTCACTGTTTTTACTGTAATTATAATAGAAAACCTTGTTTCCAGTTTTGTTTTGTTTTGGTTTTGTGCATAAATCAGAATCGTCATTGCTGACTGATCATTCGGTGGAGATTTTCAGCTAACTCCCAGCCCTCATCCAGAATCCTTAATTCTGCACTCAGGCTGAAACACATGCAAGGTTCTTTCTCTTTTTTCCTTTGCAAGGTAAACATTTAGAGATATGAGATTTCCCTGTGTCTCTAGATACACTTTATCTTTTAGATAAGTCCCTGCAGGCTGAGGTTTCAGGCTGTTTAATGTCGACCTCCTAAGTTCCAAACTTCCTTAAAGCCTTTAGATAAGCAACCAACTTTAGCAGTAATTACTCAAGGAGTGGATGGAATAGTGAATTAATCCCCAAAGATCTGGATTCAAATCTACTTCAAAACCCACACGTGAAAAATCTCTTTAATGGTCTTGGCTTAATGGTTTCAACTCAATTCTTGAGGAAGGAATGGGTCTTCCTTGACTAAGAGTATCTTGTAAGAATGCCTGCTAGAGAAATCCTTTTTCCGTGATTGATAGATTGATCTCCTTTACAGAGATGGTCACAGATGTTTGTATACTTTTACCTATCCAGTATTGACATTTTGGTAATTTCAAAGTCAAACTGTCTTATATTTTGAACCTAGATTTTGGATATTAGTTCACTTAAAAATTATAAAACACATGCTACCTTTCTTGATCTCTGCACATGGTTTTCTAAAATTCAGAAAAATACGCTCTTCCAAAAGAGAAGATTCTGATTCCAGTAGTCTGATGGATAAGCATACTCAACCTGCATGCAACACAATGCATAAGGAGGTGGGCAAAATAGTCATGGTGGTGGTGGTAGTGGTTGTGGTTGTTGTTTTGATCTGATTCTCATAGTTTTCTTTGTCAATGCAGTTAAAAGGATGCACAGGGATTCTTGAGTGCCCATGGGCAAATTTCCTTTTCATAAAGGTTGTAGAAATTAGCACCATGGAATTTGGTCACAGGTTTCCTGGGTGACCTGAGGCTGGGTTAGTTAGGGTAAATTCCAAATACTTTCTTAGCCGTGAGTTACTAAATCCTGATAGTCTTGGATCTGTGTAACTCAGGGTAGCTCTTTGCTTGGCTTTGCTCATTGCAGGTTTCCTGTTATCCTGTGATGTTCCCATGGATTCTGTGTTTCCGTGTTTGTGTTAGGTGGAATGGGTTGCTGCAGAAGAAGAATGGAGGGGGAGAAAAGCAGAAACTGCCTGTGGAATAGAATGGCAAAAGTCATAGGGATTAACTTTCCTTGTGATTCTTTTTTCATAATGAAATTACTGAAGCAATGTCAGTAAACAGGAAACAAGTGATGTGTAAAATAATTAGCACCAAAGGGAACATAATAGGTTACTTATTAAAATCCATAGATGGATTCTATGACCCCATCAAGTCCAGGGACCAGAGATCACATGACTCCGTGTGCCTTTTCTGAGGTGAGCACCCCAATGCACTTTGTCAGCTTACTGGCTTCTGACATTAAATAAGCTTCAGGTATGATTTATTGAGTAGCCTTTTGACAGGAGTGAGAAACTGAAATCTTCTAGTCCTTGCTGAGCCCTGGCTCTATTCTCATTACCTTCTCCAAGTATTACATTTAGTCAACCGAGTTATGTGTAGTTCTGAGAGAATCTCTCCTGCTCCCAGAAGTCATTGTTCCACTCATAATAAAATTATGCTATCAATTTGCCACAAGAGAAACACTGGAGTTCACTAAATTATTGCCATGTGTTTTGCACTAAAGACAAAGTGATACCAATTAAAAAAACAACCACCCCTGGATTCTATTTTTAATGGTGTGCAGGGAGGAGCGAGACTGGCTGGCAAGGGAGGTCATGTCTCCCTTCTACACATTACAAATTTCATTTTCCTTAATTAGAAAATGGCGCTTATGGAGAATGAGCAGGGGGTTTAAGTAGGGAAAGAAGAAAGAAGGAAACCTGAACTGAGCTCTAAATAATATGTCAGAAACTGACAACTTGCCTCCCGCAAGACTATTTCATTTGAAAGATTTGCTAGGTTACATTAGGCTCAGATAGATTTTCCTGGAAATGGGGCCATAACCCACAGACTAAAAAAATGCCCCAGTTCCAAAGCTCTGCAGATAAGGCACATCCATACTTTGGTTCCATCTCAGCAACCAGTACTTGTAGCTCCTACTTAGGGTAACATTTTCAGGATGCTATATCCCTAGGGATTTGAGCATCTGTTACTATGTAAGAGTGTCATGTCCTTAGATTATCCATGGGAACCAATATCCTGCCATCGCAATTTATCTTCCACTTGATTAATGAAAGACTTGCCAATAATTTGGCCACAGAAGGAAAGCTTACCCGTCCCATACCCTAAGTAAGTAATGCCTGCCAATTTACCATCAAGTTAGTGATGAGGTGAATTCAGAATTTTAGATATTATAAATAAGTCAAATCCCATTACAACAGAAAATCTTTATACAATAAAAATTTCCAGCCCAGGCAGTAGTTCACTAATTTTAAATAATACTTTTAATGACACAATTTTATTAAGCAATTGTGGGCGAGCCCCTTGCAGTATATTACAATGAATTGTATTTGTTCTGAGGATAAACAGGTACAATTTCTTGAGAAAATTGGCACATCATGGAGATGGTATGATTTTCCCAATAACACCAGTAAATCATTAACAAATTAAAAAAAAAAAATAAGGACCTCTATTGCTAGACCTTCCTAGAAACTCTTCCATAGCCCAATAGCAACACTTGCAAAGACAGCAAAATGGATCCAAAGAGAAAATGGTTCTCCTAGACATCACACCAGAATAAAAGTAGGTTGTGTTTTATGAGTGACAGCCCTGACCTTTGGCTCTGTTTCCAAACTAGTTGACCATCTGAAATAATTGCCAGATTGCTTTGGGATTTTTTTTCTGCCTTTTATGTGACAAAGGGATTATTCAGAACCGCAGTGTATAACTCTTAGTAGGTATGCATAACTTTTCGTTGGGTTGAATTCAAATAAGCTAGAGAGTGGGCTGGAGAAGTAAACATGCATGAAAGCCAGTTATTGAGGTGAGAGGGTAGCTATTAGCATGCATTTTCTTGGAGGAGATTAGATTGGAAGTTAGTTTTGAATCAGGAAGAACTGTTTTAGTAGTCATATGGAAATAGTACGAGAGACCATGGAAGTAGGGAAATTGAGTAAAGGAGTCTGGGAGGAACCAGCTCTGCCTGATGAGAGAAAGACATTTGCAAGTGCACGAGGTCCAGTGAGAAAGGCTGACACCCCTGTCCACAGAGCTGCAGCGGGGACAGCATGGAGGAAGGTTCAGTGTTTGACAAAAGACGATGCAGTGTGGTGCGTGAAAGAGAACGGGCTGGACATCAGCAGCTTGGGTCTAATTCCAGCTCAAACAACTTGTGTGATCTTGGTCAGTTTAGCCTTTCTCAGTGTCTATTCCCTCGTCCATAAGAGAATGGGGACTGGGTGATTTTTAAGGTCCTTTCTATCTTTAAAATTCTAATATTTTATGATTCTAAGCCTGTGAACTGAAAATAAAAGTCTAGCCAAAGCAAGTGAGAGGAAAAACGATTTTAACCATTGTATTTTGAATTGATTAGAACAAGAGATGCAGAGGCCAGTCGTGGTAGATGATAGGTGACTTACACAGAACCTGAATCAGAGATTTAGCTATTAAAATGAAGAAAAAGAAACCGATTTTATCTCTATTGTTATAACTGTGGCAGGTTTTGGTGGCTAATTCAGCATGGGACGAAAATAGAAAAAGGAGCTACAACTCTGGGCTCTGGCCCCTGGGAGCAGGGGCTTGGGGATTCTTTCCACAATGACAGCAGATCTGAGTGGGGCCTGATGGTTTCTCTGGGAAGATGATTTTGTTTTCACAATAGGTAGCATAAAATAAAGATGAGCCCTGTAGGGAAAGAGGTCAGAATAACAGGAAGCACTGTGGGACCGCACAAGGGGAGGGAAAGGTAGGTCTGAGGGTATAGATGTTATTGCAGTCCTGGGAGCAGATGAGCTCATCCAGAAAAAGAGAGGAGGCTTTGGTGACAGCGGGTGCTTGGAGGAGCTTGGGTCGCAGGGGCAAAGCCACACTTTGATTTAGAGGGTCCCTGAAAAGGACATACCATATCTAGGCATAGAGGACCTTCCTAAGGCAGAAAGCTATATAGAACCAAATTTCAAACATCGTTTAAAATCTCCAACTGTGGAAAGACCAACTAGGGTTGGAGAAAAAAAAAGTTTGACATCTATTTAAAGCACAAAATTCTTCATAAAAATGGAATAGTAGGCAAAGTAAGAAGCCTGCCTTTCCTCTTGCAAGTTTACATAGGATAATAAATGAGTAAACTTTTTGTGTCATAAAAATTTTGACTCAAATAGACAACCCCCAATTTTCCATAGTTGTGAGGGTAAAAAGTCTTTTAAGAGTGTGGAATTACATCATGGTTTTTTTTTGTTTGTTTGTTTCTCTTTGTAGCATCCTGATCCCTAACAGGTCCACAGCAAAACAACAACAACAAAAATCTTCCTAATAGTATGTTGTTGATCTGGCTGTGGAAAGCATAGACATTTTGCTGTGGGTGAGTTCCACTCTAAAGTAATTTGCTTCAACAGTGACCATTCATACAATTTTGGCTTGTCACTTTCATAGCAATTTATAAATTTTTAAAAGGCAGCAGTAGTGAAAAATGAAATACCATCTTATAAAAAGTATATCTTATTTAGCTTTTATGTAGAAACTGTGCACAGTGCCTTATCCTGGTATTTTGATAAGCTGTTTCTTAAATCCCTTCTTGCAAGGTAGATACCCCTATTCAGAAGAGCAAACAAACTCACATACCAGGTCAAAGTTACATGTAGCGTTTCACAAAAAGCTATTGAATTTGGAATTATTGAGATGATCAGACCAAATGATTTCTTCACCCAGTCACCTTCATTTGTCAAGGTTGTCTAGAGTGACTCTAGACGTTGATATTTTGAGGACTGTCTATTTTGTTAATTCCTGACCAAACAACAAGGGAGGGACAAATTTGAGAATCTGCAAGTCACTATACCTTTGCTATTTAAATATATAAATCAGTGGGACATTTGTGGTGTACCTCCAATATCATATCCCACCTCAAAACACAGTTTAATCAGTCTTTCCTTCACCCACTCACTAAACAATCTATTTCCTAAGGGCCTCTTTCATGGGTTGCTTGTTCACCGTTTGTGTTGACATATTGTTATTGCCAAAGTTCATCTGTATCAAGAAGTCTTTCAAAAATAAGCATATTCCTTGTCAGGTCTTCTCATTGGTTAACACTAATACAGAGGAACCCTTGGATCTCAAACAAATGCTTTTTAATGAGTTTGAAATTCTTCTGAAAACAGTTATCTTTTCCCCTTGAATGCAATGAATGAATCATCCTTGTTATCCATCCAGTCCTGACTATATTTGGAGAAATACATGAAAATTGTACAATTTCCTCAGAAAACTGGGCATTCATAATAAAAAGGAATAGTATAACAGGTTGAGTCATTTTATGAGAATATGTTATTTTGTGACTCTTAAATCTTTATTTAAAGAAGTGCATTGAATACAATATCAAATATAGTCAGTTCATAATTACAGTAGAACTACATTTTATAATACATCTTTCACATGGTTCTCAGGAACACATTCCTCTACCAAAACTCAATTGCACTCACTTTTGGACAAGCCTGTGCTCAGGAAAGGAGAAATGGTTGTTTACCATCAACTTTATAGAAACTGTCAAACTAACTGAAGAAAAGTTTTGCTCCATTAAGAAAATGCACCTCCCTCAGGAGATCGAGACCATCCTGGCTACCATGGTGAAACCCCATCTCTACTAAAAATACCAAAAATTAGCTGGGCGTGGTGACAGGCACCTGTAGTCCCAGCTACTCGGGAGGCTGAGGCAGGAGAAAGGCGTGAACCCCGGGAGGCGGAGCTTGCAGTGAGCCGAGATCGCACCACTGCACTCCAGCCTGGGCGACAGAGCAATTCTCTATCTCAAAAAAAAAAAAAAAGAAAGAAAATGCACCTCCCACTCCTTGCAGGCAGAAACTGTGGTCGATTTGCCATCCAAGATCCTGGGTGCCTGCCATAGTGCCTGGTACATAGTAGGAAACTCACCTAATACTTATCGAATAAATGCAGACAGAGCAAGTAAAATATTTGATGTCTGTATTAAAAGATGCCCTAAAGGGTCTTATCTGAGCAGCAAAAACTGTTCAATGGTACTAATGCTTTATTTGCAGGTAATGGGGAATTCATAATGTAAAATAATATTCCTGTCAATTCTGAATAGTTGCTTATAAAGTGAAGCTCTTAACTGAGCTAAATATTGGCTAATGTAAATAAAATAAATTATAAGTGGGAAAGATATTTTAGATAATTGAACCTAAAACTCTAATTTTATTTAAAAAAAAAAACTGAGATACAGAGGGGGAAAATGATTTTCTGAGGGCATTAGAGATAAAGCCATAGTCAAACAGATCAAGGCCCCAGATCCAGAGTCATTTCTAATACACCACACACTGCCTCCAAAGTTTTTTCATTTCAATTGTTAAATTATCTCAGAAAGAAAAAAATAATACATTAAAGGATGCAGTATGATCATATGATGAGCTTCTTTTCTACGTAACTTTATATTGCTGTTGTAACCTTGGTTTTAAGAAAAGTTAAAGCTCTCTCTTTCCTGATTATTATTAGATTTTTGTGTTCATGAATGTTTTGAAAAATTAATAACTAAGACACTGAATTGAGATGTTTTAAACAAATTTTATTAAATGAAATATTTACAGTCCATCCAAATGGATATTTGTAATTAAAAAAAAATGCAACATTTAAGGAACCTCAACAAGTCTTCAAAAAATTTAGTTTGGGTTTGGGCTGAATATATTACTGGATGGCTTTTGGCTTAAAAATTGCTGTATGCAGAAGTTGGGGAGGGAGGCTGAACAAAAACATCATAGGCACATACCTAGATTATTTAATGAAAAGAAGAATTTCTCCTCCGCTAAAAAAAAAAAAAAAAAGAAAAAAGAATTTCTCAATCTGGAAAAAAGATAATACTAACTGAAAACAAGCTACCATTGGAAACTTAACAACCAGCTAAGTGGCTCCCACTACCATACTGAATCTGTGACCTTGGACTCTAACCAATTATGAAGACCCAGGGCAGCGAGTGAACAAAGCAATTACAATGGGAGTCAAACTATTAAGGAGCCAAGAGTTCAGTAGCTTTATGTCTCTGCCAAGGTATCCCTAGAACACTATATAATAGGAATTGAATAATATTAACATTCCCACATGGTAGTTTAAAACAACTTACAATGTATTCTAATCCAAGCAGATTTTTCATTTTGATGACTATGGGAGTGGTTATTTTATTTTTAGATGTACTTTTACAAACATCTAAATTGAAATAACTGGTAGCATAAAATTGCCAGTGATTTAGCTGGCTATGAACTTGTAACCACATACACTTGGAAGATTTTTCTTTCTCCCTTTAGCTCTCAGGTAAATTTCACTGCATGACAGCATTTCATGCTAGGCAAAGCTCATACAGGAGATGAAAAAGCATGAAGCATAACAAACATCACAAAGCCAGTACAATTACTTGTTTATAAAGAAAAACAAGGAATGTAAGATAAGTGGAAAGGTGCCCGTTGAACGGTATTTTAAATGCCTTCAAGTTAAAACCATCAGGGATCAGAAAGCAGAAGGCAAATTCTAGAGGCTAGTACACCAAGGGAAGAGGCTGATGAATTGCCTTGTGCACGTTTTAATTAAACTATCATCTTGAGAATTTTTTGTGTATTGATTTGCACAGTACTTAAAAAAGCTTCTTTTCCCCCTACCTCCCTCCTTTGAATGTTAAAGCTTTGTGCCTTCAGCCTGACTCTATGAAAAGAAATTACTCATCTTTGGAATTGTTACGGAGGAAAAAAAAAAACACAAATGGGTGGATATGTTCTCCTCTCCTTTTCAATATGTTTAAATTTCAACTGTTCATATAATTATGCTGGCATGTATTTCTTCCTGGCTCTAGTCATGCAGAAAAATTTTAAACATGAGAAATTGGACAACTCTAATGTGGTGTAAAATCTACTTACGCATTGTATTTCTTTCAATATTCGTTACCAATAGTATGCACATTGTTAAAATTAAAAGAAAATGTTAGCTTTTATGCCCTAATGCATTTATGTGATATGCATAGCTGACAAATATTTTATTAATGTTGAAAAGAGGAAGTTTGAAAAATAAAAGAAATGTTAAAGATAGGGGTGGCTTCAGGCAGAGGTGACAGTGACAACCATTTAATAATAATCACCACTTGTATCGCACCAATTAGAAGAGCACTTTACCAACAAGACTTAGTTTCCTAACACCCTTATGAGTTACTTACTCTTCTGTACAGAGAAGTAAACCAATGCATAAATTGAAGTGGTTTTCTCAGGGGCTTTTGGAAAGTCATATAAATAGAGTCAAACAAAAAGCGTTAGGATACTCAATTCACAAGTCAAAATGTGAAACAGGTAGTACGATTTCACTGTTAATCCCTTCTGAATAAGTTAAAAATCTGTGTCTCCAAATTTCCGCCCCCCGCCCACCCCCACCACACACACACACATACACATAAATGCTAAACAAATGGGAAGAAGAATACTTGGCACTAGAGTCTGGGATTCATTAAAAAGGATTATCTCTTTCTGAGGTATCAATTTCTCAATGGTCTCTAAACCATGCAGGTTATGTAAAAATGCAAAATGACTTGATGGAGGAGATTAAAATTCCATGATGTAGATGGAGATGTCCTTCCTCAGTGACTAGATTCTCAGGCAACTATACATATATGTGTATGGGTATGTATGTATACACATATCCAGTCTTTGTGAATAGTGGCCTTGGGAAGACCCTCTAATTTTTAGGGCTTTTTTCTTAGACCACAGACCCTATAGAAAGCCGCACTGCTCTGATGCTGAGATAGTGTTCCTACTTGTTCAAGAGTGAGTTCAAAAGTGAGCCTAGCCACCTAATTTTCACTAGCAGCACAGACTGGAAATGCCCAGCAGGATTACAGCTTTGAGACTCACTCTGGAGTACAACAGACTATCCCGCCCCTCTCAGATCAGACCCTAAAGTCTGTTCTAAAATTGTCCACTGTGGGTGCTGAGAGAAGGGGGCCCAAACATAGCGTGTGTTTCATGTCAAACTAATGGGCTACCCTGGAGAGATTTCAGAGTTCTCATTTGTTTACTCACTTGGGCCCTCAGTCAAGGTCTGATCTTTGGAAGAGCAAATTTTTCCAAATTTTGAATAATCTCTTTCTAGCAAGAGGCTATGAATTCCTTTGTCCATCACTTTTTGGCTACTCGGAGCCACCTTCAACATACCACTCAAAGCTTTTCCTCATTTAACAATAGGCTGTAATATACTAGTTCTGAACCTTTGCTGGGTCATGGACTTCTCTGACAATGTAATGAAACCCACATATCCCCAGAGGAATATGTACATATAGACAGACAGAAGACAGACAGACACACACGTGCACACACACATGCACACATACAGTTTTGCCCACAATCTTAGGGCCCTTCAATGGACCCTCTAACAATTAAATCCAAAAACAAATGAACAAAAGCCAGCAACAACAACAAAGAAACTTCCTATTCTAATAAGTTTGGTGGAAATATGTTAACTAATCTTAAAAAAAGACCATAATCACTATTCCTCATTTTCTTGGTGGATGAAATTTAAATTAATTGAATTTTTAAAATGGCAACAGATGGTTCTCACTTTATTAGATTTTAAATTCATAAAATTATGAGCAATACCTTTTGGTTTGTTCTGTATGGTACAGCCAGGGCCACTATAGAGGCCTGAGCACTCTGTACACTGCACAATTCCAGGGCGCATCATATGCACAGACAACGCTGTGATCAGCACCTTCAGAGTCATGCAACTCGGCATCTCTTATCAATGTTTAACACATGGATATTGAATGGCACCACCCAACAGCACATCAATTTTAGCAAAATGCTATTTCAGTCATTAGCGATTAAGTCTGCTTTGGTTATAATTATTCTCCTCTAAATGGTGACTTTTTTCCTAACGTTTATCTCTGTATGTTAAAAAAAATATAGTATATGTCTAAACAGCCATTAGATCTTAAAGAATATCACTATTACACATAAACTTTTCTTCCTTGGTGAGCTTCATGCTAATAGGGATTTTGTGCACTGCCTTTCAGTGATTTGTCACCACCTTAGCGTCCCTCTTTGTGAAATGTCTGATTATCTGCATATCTGTCTATTAATTTGTTTATCTGTCCGCCTATCTATAGAAATTTTAAACGGTGTAATAACTTTAAGAATAGCGACACTAATGTAGTATTAGATTAAAAGAATGTTACTTTATATGGGTGTAAATGTAATTTAGAGGCACTTAGAGAAAGCTCTATACTTAGCATGATTCTTGGCCAGTGGAGACAGGTTGATCCCACTCATTTTGGGATTGCTAATTTGTCGTTAATTAGGAAGATTGATTCTGTTCTGTGATGCATAGGCCCAACCCCATATGCATTTTTCTGGTTTCCGGGGCACTTCCCTAATTGCCATTGTTGTTTCAAATGTGCAACAATGTCACAGGGCCTTACAAAATAGAAGTGCTTTGTGGCTTCTAAAAAGCAAGCATCAACGTTGTTTCAATTTTGTTGTATGCCATTAAGATTATGCTGGTGTTATTTTGAACAAACTTCTGCTTCATTCCATTCCATATTTTAAAAGTTACAACACAAAAGCTGTATTCTGATTTGAATTTTAAGTGAAAGAAACGCCTTGGTAGCAAAAATTCTTTACTCTGTTGTCTTGAAGTAATGTCAGCCTCAGATACAGTAGTACACCCATCAAGGTTGTGCTATTCTGTACAAAACAGCATTTATTTTCAATATGTTAACTGTTTGTTTGTCTTCCCCCATGATATACTGAGTTTGCTGCTATAGGCTTTTTTCTTCTCTCCTCTCTTGGCTGATGACAAATTTTAATCATTTGACTGTCCTTCACGACAATTACTTTAAGATGAGTTATATTTTCTTTATTGGAATGAAGTCAGGGAATCTATCAAAACTAGTGAAAGGAAATTTTCTAGGAATGTTTTCAAACATAGACATTAGGAATGGGCTGAACCAATACAGAAAAAAATGTGGAAACTTGGGAGTGTGAAGGAAACCACTTACTCACTGCAATTTTGATGCCTACCATTGCCAGGCAGGTAACTCAGGCAACTTTCGAACTACGTGGTTTATTTCAGAGTGGTGGAAACTGGGTAATTAAAAACAATATCAAACCCACAAAGAGAGGTCTAATTTCACTTTTGTATTTCACCTGCTATATAATGTGATAGATAAAATAACTCATGTTTGTACTTATAGAAAGATGTGCGTATATATGATGAGCATACATGAACAGTATATGTTTACATTTAAAGTTAGTGTCCCAGTCTTGTATCTTTCCTCTTCTTTAACAACCTTGGTATTTTGGCAAAGCTTTCGTCATTTTTTTTGCTTATGACTTCAGAAACAAGTTGGAAATTCTTTTAATGGGCTACTTTTAAATGTGCTAAACATAACCTCAGAAACAAAACAACAAAATAAATTAAAAACCTAGACGCCGAGGACATGGGAATGAGGAATGAGCGATAATGCATATCGCTCATCGAGGGTCTTTAAACCTATATGTTTGCACCTTGTCAGCGTAACTTACAGCTTTAAGTGCATAAAGGAAGAGCCTTTGGTTGTGCCTTTACCCATGGCTTAGTGACCCTTGCCAGCCTCAGTGACCTCTCCTGGTATTACTGGGAGTTCTTTGGTGGTACTTTGGCAGCTCCTTTTTATTTCTGGGTGACCCTTAATGTTTTATATAACCATTCCTTGTGCAATCAGCTCTACATATCTCTGTGGTTTATTCTCTGTGGATAACTTTTTTTTTCTCTCTCTCTCTCTTTTTTTTTTTTTTTTTTAAGACTGAGTCTCACTCTGTCACCCAGGCTGGAGTACAGTGGTACGATCTCACCTCACTGTAACCTCTGTCTCCTGGGTTCAAACAATTCTCCTGCCTCAACCTCCCAAGTAGCTGGGATTACAGGTGCCCACCATGGCAGTCGGCTAATTTTTGTATTTTTAGTAGAGATGGGGTTTCACCATGTTGGCCAGGCTGGTCTCGAACTCCTGACCTCAGCTGATCCACCCACCTTGGCCTCCCAAAGTGCTGGCATTACAGGTGTGAGCCACCACACCGGGCCTCTGTGGATAACTTTTAATCCTCAACTGATTTCTTCTTGACAACCGATATTTTCTGCTGAGTTGTCACCTCTGTCATCAATCTCTGTATGTTTAGAAAATCCAAACCAATCCTAATATTAGCCCACATCAAGTATAATTGGAGAAATAGGTTTGCTGCCTCCTTCAAAACCACATATTCAGTCTGCCCACTAATGTTCCTTAAGCATCTACCATTGCATAAATACCTGCCATGGTGCCAGGAGCTGTGCTAGGTGAGGTCTATTCAGAAGTGGGACAAAGCGGACCCTCTGCCTTCATGGTGCTTCCAGTTCAGAATCAAATGTAAATGACACAAGTACAAAACTATTACATCAGTTGTTTAGAACTTGGAGTGTATTCTCCCTGAAGTTTAATGTTATAGTTATATGCAGAGGCCCAAACATGCCCACAAAAGCCTACACAATACTCTCGTACAAATTTCATCTCAAAATGTAGGGAAACTCCATACAGTTGGGGGAGAAAATAAAATCTAAAATGAGAAAAATAGTTGCATGCACAAGGAAGTTTATACTCCATACCCACAGGTCAGAGCAGACTGCCTTGGCCAGAGCTGATATTTATTGGTCTTTGGAAGGGAGCTCTTTCCTTTCTGGTTCCTCCACTTCTTCCTTCATCTTACTGACTCACTACAGTGAAATTCAGCTGTTGAAAAGAATGAGACACATGTAAGTAACATGTCTTTAAGTTGAGAGATTTCTTATATTGATATGAATATTTGATTGGTAATATGTCTGCAAATATTTATAATGCTAAGCGCTAGAGAGACATCAGCAAACCAGAGTTGCAACCCTGCCCTCATGGAGTTTCCAGTCTATTGAGGAAGACAGAAGAGTTATATAATTAGTTATTGTTTGTTTTTATTTAAAATGTTTATAATGGAATAATCTATGATCATTTAGACATGAACTGTGAGTTATTTTATTTTGCTTTTCTTTCTTTCCCTTCTTTCTTTTTTTGATCTTTTTTTATAAGCAGTGCCACTCATTTTCCAAGAGCGTATGAGGGTTAATGGTGCAGTCCTCAGCCATCCAGAATGAAGGAATTGGCCCACAGGGGAAGATAGAAGATACTATTTTCAATTGGTTCTAACTAAGCCAAGAAAAACAATATTGACTGTGTTCTAATCATACCATTCTTTAAAAAATATCTAAGTACTCTTCTATGTTATCTAATTGTTCCTCAGAAGACTCTTCTCAAATATGGGTCACATCTTTTTAAATCTCCACTTATATACAAGATTAGGTAACAGAGGGTACATAAACTCTCTGACATTACTTAGAAGAATAGTTTGCATACACACACAGGTAGTATTTGGTACTTTTTCTTAAATCACTTCTTATGAAGAGGCAGTAGGATACAGTAGAAAGGAGAGATTTTGGAACATAAAGGATGTGAGTTTGCATCTGGCCTCACTATTAACTATCGGTTTGGACCTGAACTTGGTCCCTCAGCTTCCTCATCCATCAAACTGGGATAATGATTTTGATTCAGAATATTACTGTGAGAACTGTATGACAGTTGGTAGGAGCTCCAAAAAGTAACTCTTGTTACTGTTGTTGTTTTAATTGTTGTTATGTCACATTTTCTGTTCTCCGTCTATTCCTGGAAAAACCCTGTACATTTTTCTGCATATGGTAGGAGATTAATAAATAGCATTATTTAACAGATAGCACAGAAAGTGAATTTCAGGAATTTCATACTCCCTTTCTGCAAATAGTTCATCTTACTATTATGCAACGTTTTTGTTTTTCATAAGATTTTTAATGCTTTTGATGCTGGAGTATTTTCACAGAGGCATTCTGAAAATAAAGACAAATGCCTCTGGTAATTTGAGCACTTCATGGCTTCTAAATGATGGTGGTTTATGTCACAGCAAAATGGTCATGAAAACCAGAAATCTTGGCCGGCTGTAAATATTTTTTTCAGCAGTATTTTTTCCTTCCTCTAAGCATTTGTTTATTTATGTTATTTATCAAATATTTAAATTTAAATACCTGAGTTTTATAATGTGTACCATTGAGGTACAAACAGCTGACAGGATCTATTACAGGCTTCTAAATACAGAGAAAATGACTTATTGTGGACATCCTAACACATGTAGAGAAGGGAACAGACATTATTTTCAGAGATTTAAGTTAACATTACATCCCAGAGAGAGTTTCCTTGGTCACTTCCTCTATAGTCTATTGTTTCTTATATTAAAATAGAAACACGTTTTCTCATCCCTCCGACTGTCATATTTCTTAAAGATTTAAAAAAAGAAAAAGGTGTTAACGTCAAGATGCTGTGAGAGAAGCAACACATCTAATGAACTCATACAGGGCTCTTGAAACAGTACATAACATCTCCTTTCAAAGATTAACAAGGTCTGAAGATGAGAATAAACAACATGTAGATGTTATTTTATGGTAATCCCACTTTGCGTTAGTTTCTTTTTTTCCTTTCACCTTATTTTCCCATCAGAGCCCTTCCTTCCTTCGTTTCCTTCTGCCCATTCTTGCCTTTTTTCCAGGTTCTCTACCTGCCTCCCTCAGATCCTCTCTGTGGAAACAGTTCACCTTGCTTCCTCAGGCCACTTATTTCTGTACCCCTGGTTTATATGCTCCCTTACATCAGACCCCCCCATCATCACTCATCAGACCCTCTCTCATCTTCAGGGGGGCTAGCCTCTCAGCAGGATTGGCAGGCCTTGCAAATCTTTTGGCTGCTGTAATAAAATCTCCAGTTGCTGAGATTTATGAGGTCAGATGCATGTAGAAGAGGAAGCACCTACAGTTCATGAAATTGTAAAGAATGCCAAGCACATCGGTAGGAAGAAAAGATGCCCAAATTCTGGACAGTTTGTATTTTTGCCAACCTGGTTCGTGTTTCCCTTAAATTTATCATCCAGGTATTGCAGGTATTCAAATGGCCAATTCAGATGCTTTTTGGAGCTCTTGAGATATCCGTTTACATAATTAATAGAAATATACCAGCAGGTGACTATAATGTGATTATAAAGTACAGTCCTGGCTGTTGGGGTGTATTGAATACTTTTAAATGAAATATGTGGAGTGTGTGCACGCATGCAATGTGTTTAAATGAATGCAGCCTTTCCAATCAGCCAGAAAGAGAGAAAGGATGTAAATTGCTAGCATGTGTTGTTCAAAATGCAAAAGTAGGAAAGCAATATTGATCTGTGCTTTGGATGTTTATTTACATCAGTTGCACAGTGTTAAGATGTCTGGCCATAATTATCAAGACCTGCCCACCTGTCAAACCGCAATTGGGTTATTTCCCCATTGTCTTGCAGCAGTAAATCTTCAGGTCTGGATGGGCATTAGACAAATGGAAAAAGGCTACTTTCCCAGAACATGTAATTCATTATGGAAAACAGGTGCCTGCTGAAGATTTTTGCTTTAATGCAGACGTATTTTATTATTCATAAAATATTAATGTGAATAGTCACCACCAGAGTCGTGTGGGTTGTTTTCATCTAAAATTTTCAGTTTTAATGTGAAGAGAGAAATTGTAAGGATTCTCCAAACCTTGTTTTTTTGAAAAGGTAAAACCATTCCATAAATAGTTTCATTCCCTTGCTCTCCCAAAATAGGTTCCAACGACCCTGGCTCTGACTTACATAATGTACAAAAATAAGTCTGCTTTAATGTTGTATGCAGTAGGTGTTCTGTCCAGGGACAACCTTGTAGTAGGGACAGAGTGACCTTTCAAGAAAAAAAAAAAAAGGAAATGAAATATACTTTCATTTTCCAGAAATATGCATGCAAGTAAAAATTTGACAGCCTGGAAGAACATAAGCAAATATATCTTTTTATTTGAAGATAAAAAGAAGCGGGGCTGGATAGGAAAGGGAAAAAACCTGTGAAAAAACGGATGATGCAGTTTTTACGAATAAGCAGCTTAATGTATCTTGGCACCCACAGTAAGCCTTGTAGGAGCTCAAAGTGCCTCAGGCAATCTGTGAGCAGAATAGCAATTTTATTACTTTGTCATTAAACCAATTTCACAGCAGTATTGTTTGTTAATGAGCAGCGGCAAACGAGCGAAGATGTCACACACTGGAATAGCAGAGAGATTTGTGACCCAAGCTCACAGCACTAAGATGGAAAGACCACGGCTATAAAAAAGGAAATACTTTGGGATGAAATGCAAAGTCTATACAGCAGAGCTTGTGTTTATGAGCTACCATTTTGCTAAGAGCTGTGAGAGAAATAAAGGTCTGGAAATATGCAGTTAAAACAGGGCCTATAAAATTAAAACCAAATTAAAGTATAGCAGAGGATTACTGCACAGACTGTACTCGACAAAATATATTTTAAGTGACGAGGTGAAATCTAAATCAGTTTTGTTTGAATTTGGTTGGTATTTATGAAATTCAATAAAAAAAAATGAAAAAATATCCAAACAAAGCAGCCGCCTCACCCTTGTGTGGTCTCTGAGCCATAAACGTGCATCACTTTGAGGAAATTCAACTTGCCAATCCTTAAATAATTAGCAACTTCTTGATTCACAGGGTGCGCCCCTCCATCTTCATGAAAGCCTTCTCTGTTACTTTATCTCTTCGTAAGGACGTTGCCCATGTATAATAAACACTCAGGCGGAGCCCTCATCTGCCTGAGGCTGGGAGTCAAGTGCACCTAGCAAGGCTGGAATTGAGCTCATCATTTGATAGGACTTTCTCTTTTTTTCTCCTTTTTTACTTTTCTTTTTCTCTTTTTCTTTCTGTTCCTGTTTTGTTTTTGTTTTTGTTTTTTTGAGCTAGGGCTGCCCTTACAAAGAACTTGGGAGACAGCCTTGAGGGATACAAGAAACAGTGCCAGACAGTCACTGCATCCCTGCAAGGCGTCCCGAGGTGAGTGTGCTGCCCGGGCGGTCTTGCAGTGCTGATGCGCAGGAAGAAGTAGTTCAGGCCACCAGTTCTGGCATCAGACTCACCTACTCCAGAAGGGAGGATGGGGTGAAGGTGGGAGCCTGAGAGGAAATTAAGGAAGGTGATGATCAATCCATAACTGTATCTCCGTTTGCAAGAGAGATTGATTAGAAATATTTCTGGTTGTCACACTTGCTGCGGAGACACCCCACTTCTTTGTCAGGGAAACTCATCCATTTGGAGTTGAGACTGACCCGATTTGTGGGGCCTAGATGCTAAAATGTCCAGAATTGTGCAGGGATTGATTCCATGGGAAAGTCCCAGCAGGTCCGCTCCCGTAAGCTCACAGCCAGTCATGGTCAAGTTCGGTGCCTCGTATGCTTTGAGGTTCGCGGCAAGTCTATGTAGTTAACTCTCATAACCTTTGGGACGACAGGCCAGTCCTCACTGGCGCCCTTTATAATTCAGGTTGGCTGCCTATGTGTATTTCATATTTTTCTCTCATGACCCCAGCTTGGATTCTTAAGGTCTTTATGAATTTTAAACTTTGGTTTGGTTCTATTGTTTTCTCTGCTTTCTTTTCTGACAAAATTTTTAAGTGGTTTTTGGACTGATTTGGTGAAAGGGAACTCTGCAAGAAATGTTCATGACCGCGATCTCAGCCGTGCACACAGTGGTGGGAGTTCAGCTTTAAGACTGTTTTCTGCCTGACAGGGCAGGACCCCCAGACAAATCACTGGCTGGCTCTGTGGTAGTTGGCAGCCATTCAAGACTGGTCTTGTGCCAGGAGTATTACTAGATAGCCAGACAGATCAATTCACTTTTATATTCCCGCCATTATTTATAGCCCACTGTATATCTACTCTTGCTTATGAAGTAATGATTAGCAAATACAGTACACATAAAACATGGGCATTTGTTCTGGAAAGGGCTTTCTCCTGCTGATATTGCAGATAGTTTCACAGGTCACAGAACCTTAAAAAGGATTTAAAGGGCATGTCTTGTGTAGCATTTGTTCCTTTGAAAATGATGCTCCTTTCCCATTTTTTAGTAATTGAAGAGGATAGAAAGGTTTTCTCATTGCTTACGTTTCACTGAATTCTCTGCAGCCCCTTTTCCCACAGATGTTTCAGCCAAACCTGTATGGAGGGAGGTGACATGGCATGGCTTGCTGTTTAAAACAGCTACGGTATTTTGTGCTTCCCTTTTGAGTGTGTCAAGGTGAACAAAAGGAGAGCCTCTAGAACGCATGGGAGGGAATTTGGGACAGGACCTTTTACATGCTGGGGGAAACTGACAGGACTCAGTGAGGAAAGACTTTTGTTTGTGTTTTCTTCTCTCTCTTTCTCTGCAGAGCGCATGATCTATATCAACATGCTTCCTGGTCATACTAAAGAATCTCAGCTAGTGGTGATCTACCAGTTTCTGTGAGGATTATTACTGTATTAATGCATTTTGGGAGGTGTTCATTCAGTTCAGAGTGAATGCTTTGGAAGACATTGCACAGCTTGAATCATGGGGCATCAGGGATAGCTTGACTTTTCCTGAAGGATGTATGGTGGCCATAGACTAGTTGGTTGGAAGCTTGCATTCTGTAAGCCTGGTATCAAATGCACACATTAAGCCATGTTTTCCTAGCAGAATGAACATATATGACAAAAAGTAAAAAGAAAAAAAAAAAGCTCAGAACCTTAGAACAGGATGATATCATCAGAAAGAATAAGGGAAAGTAGGCCAGAATTAGAAAACATCAAGATCATTGGAAAACTGCTATACTTGCATTGCTTCCTCCTTGGTTCATTGTACAATGGCCTTAATTCAGGTGACATTGCAAGTACCTTTTGTGCCCTCCAGAAATTAAGCGCATTTTGTATTGTGTGTGCAGCTTGTTTTTCTTCTGTTGCAGCAGACAAAATTGTGACATATTATTGCTAAGGAGATTGACAACTCATAAGAATAAATATTGTCTGTGGGCAAGATTTTTTTGTTTGTTTCCAGAGAACATTATTAATTTCAGATTATATTAAAGACTTACATGGCAGGAGACTTTCTTCTAGATAACTAAAAACACTGCGTAGAAAGTTATACTATGTTTGGCCGGGAGCGGTGGCTCATGCCTGCAATCCCAACACTTTGGGAGGCCAAGGCAGGCAGATCACAAGGTCAGGAGTTCGAGAGCAGCCTGATCAACATGGTGAAACCCCATCTCTAAAAAAAAAAAAAATACAAATATTAGGCGGGTGTGGTGGCATGCGCCAGCTACTCGGGAAGCTGAGGCAGGAGAATCGCCTGAACCCGGGAGGCGGAGGTTGCAGTGTGCTGAAATCACACCACTGCACTCCAGCTTGGGCAAGAAAGAGCAAAACTCCATCACAAAAAAAAAAAAAAAAAGAAAGAAAGAAAGTTACTGAGGTTTCCAAAGGGACTTACAGAATTTCATACAGAAAACAGGAGTAGAGGTAGATACTCCTCAAGGACTTTTTGTTGGTTTGTTTCTGCCCTTTTAGATGAACTCCCGTAAAATGTAACATTTAAAAAAAAAAAGGATCTTAGTAGTTAAAACGTAAAATGAGGTGAAAACAAACAAACACACACACAAAAAAACCTTTTGATTCTGTATAAAAATACCTCTTTACCACACTATCTTATATTTTATAGCCCTTTACAGTTTTCGGGGCACTTTTATATATGCTGTCTCACTTGATTCTCACATCAGCTCTGTGAAGTGAACAAGGTTTTTCCCTTTTTACAAATGAAGAATCACAGACTCTTCCAGGCTTGAGGGCTTGTTCACTGTTGCAAAGCTCCTCGGGGTCAGACTGGAACTAAACCTTTAGGTTCTAACAGACCAATGCTCTCCCTTCTACTCCTTCCAGTTCTTTTCTATGTGCTGCGTTATCCTGTGGAAAGAGCTCAGTTTAATTTTTTAAGATTGGGAAGGCAAACTTGCCAGACAAAAATGATATCCCTAAGCCAAAATGTTATTTAAGCATATTCATTTCCATATCAGTCCACATCAGTGAACATGGAAGTCCTTGGATACTCTGGGAATATCTCATCATGTCTGACCTTGGAGGGTGAGATTTCCCACACGGAAGCCCTCGTACGTAAGGGCAAACTAAGTCGATGTTTAAATCATCATTTGGCTTCCTTTGGTTTCTCTTTATAGCTGCTCTTCCTCGAGCCTTCCAACCAGCACTTGAGTCTTTGTTTCTTGTTGTTTTAGTGCCGACTATCTAAATGTAGTCATCTTGACAGGACCACTCACATTTCATTTTTTTTTTTTTCAACAATGCCAAGAGGTCACTAGCGTATCAGGCTCCACACTGTGTTTTAAGTATGGAGTTATGCTAAGTGGTGCTGAAACACAAGCTCTGGGAACAACACAAAAGGTGGGGGCACACTTTGGGTGAACCAAATTCTTTCCCACTTTGGATCAGGAGAAGACAGACCGACAGTGAGGCAGAAAGCAACCTTCAACTCCCAAAGTTAAAATCAGAGACTACTAAGCGCTTTGGTGTTTTTCCTTGAAAATGCTAGGAAGATCACTTCCTTGAAATTATTTCAAACCACATGAAATAGCATACGGTATCAGGAAAACTGAGTCTGAGTATAGTTAATGACTTCTAACACAAGCTGGGTGGCTGTCCCTTGAACAGAATGTATGTTTATGCTTCATGTTCTATTGGAACTGATCATTTCGCATTTTCTTTTCCATGCTGCTTCTTTTGGTCCTGTGATTGATGTAATCCTCAGGGTCACATGGGCTGCCTCTGGTCAATCCTACATATTTCACAGGCATCACAAGATACCTTTTCTTGGTGATACCTATCATCAAGGCAAACATCTCATTAAAAATTTATCCAAGGTGGTTTGGCAGCTTTATTCTACAGGGGCTGCATCCTAGAAAGCTTTATATGCCATGTTTGATTAACAAATGGAGAATTTACTAGATTTATTTGGCTCTTCGAGGTTAAAAATGAACAACAGAGGTTTTTTTTTGTTTTTGTTTTTGTTTTTGTTTTTTCCTGGCCCTTCTGAAACCTTTGGGGTGTGCTTTTACCAATAGAAAACAAGATCTGTTACCTCCCGGCCGTGAGCGCTGGTTAAATTTCAGCTTCCACCCATATTTGTCAGACTGGTCAGTTCCAGTCTAGGTAAAGGATGTAGAACAACAGATTCCACATGACTTCCATAGTAGTTTTTCTTTTTAAATTTAAGGACTTGATTACTTTATAACTTTTTATTGTTTTATCCTCAGAACACAGGTGATTCAGAGAGTATAGTTCTCATACACTAAGTCAAGACTGTATTCCTACTGTCTTCATTTGGTGAAAATGAGAAATAAGAGATTGTTATCTGCCAAAGGAAGCATGGAGGTCCATTTTCCCACATTTGTGATCCGTAAGTCATCATCCCATGTGGGCTCAACTTAAAGGATTTTTAGCAGACCTGTTTTTATTTATCAGTGAAACAGGTTCTGCATCATTCTCCCCTTTAGCCTTCTAAGATCTCTAAGAATTCTTTTATAAAAAGAAAAAGGTGGTACCTGAAGATCAGTATAGACCGGGCGCCGTGGCTCACGCCTGTAATCCCAGCACTTTGGGAGGCCGAGGCGGGTGGATCACCTGAGGTCGGGAGTTCGAGACCAACCTGACCAATGTGGAGAAACCCTGTCTACTAAAAATACAAAACTAGCCGGGCGTGGTGGCGCATGCCTGTAATCCCAGCTACTAGGGAGACTGAGGCAGGAGAATCGCTTGAACCCGGGAGGTGGAGGTTGCGGTGAGCCAAGATTGAGCCATTGTACTCCAGCCTGGGCAACAAGAGTGAAACTCTGTCAAAATAAAAATAAATAAATAAATAAATAAATAAATAAATAAATAAATAAAAGCAGTATAGGTTGCTAAGTGTTGCTGGGACTTTAATCTCCAGCCTCCATTTCTTCTTGTTTTTCTTATTCCAGCATCAGTATCCATGCTCCAATGACTATGTAGTTTAACTTCCTTCATCCTTGACTTCAAGGAACAATAACTAGAAGGGTATGTTGTTCTTACGTGCCTAAATATTTGGACGAATAATTTGTGAGCTCTAAATAAAGATCCACCTATTGTGTTTATGCTCATCCATGTCAGTGGAAGGAGAAAATGATACTCTGAAAGACAAAATCTAGCAAGATAGCTTAAAATTCAGGCTATCTCACTTATTACTTGCTCTATTTCATCTACATTCTAATAATGGGTCATTGTAGATAAAATACCAAGTGCAAGTCAATAACACAAATTTTAATGTTCATCCTCCAATGTTTAGGTGATTATAGAAATTAGTGCTATGACTGGACCACTGTACACATAAACTAGCCACTAATCAGAATTCTTTTGGTAATATTGAGGATTTTTTAAATTACTGTTTCCAATTTTTTTTTTTTTTTTTGAGACGGAGTTTCACTCTTGTTGCCCAGGCTAGAGTGCAGTGGCGCAATCTCGACTCCCACAACTTCTGCCTCCCGGGTTCAACAGATTCTCCTGCCTCAGCCTCCTGAGTAGCTGGGATTACAGGCATGTGCCACCACGCCCAGCTAATTTTGTATTTTTGGTAGAGACAGGGTTTCTCCATGTTGGTCAGGCTGGTCTCAAACTCCTGACCTCAGGTGATCCACCCAACTTGGTCTCCCAAAGTGCTGGGGTTACAGGTGTGACCCACCGTGCCTGTCCCTCCAAAATTTCTTAAGTACATAAAACATTGATAATATTTGTACAAGTATTTGTCCAAAAATTTATCCAAATATGCCCATTATTTGGATAAATCTTTATTTATTTATTTATTTTTGGAGACAGAGTCTCCCTCTGTTACCTTGGCTGGACTACAGTGGCATGGTCATAGCTCACTGCAGCCTCAAACTCCTAGGATCACGTGATTTTTCCCACCTCAGTCTGCAGAGTAGCTGGGACTCAAACTCCTAAACTCAAGCAATCCTCCTGCCTCTAGGCCTCCCAAAGTGGTGGAATTACAGGCATGAGCCAATGTGCCTGGCCTAAAATCTTTAATCTTTACAATTACGAGGTAGGTATCATCTCCATTTTACAGATGAGAAATGGTGAGTCAGAGAGGTCATGTAGCTGAGAAATTGCACCAGCAGAATTCAAACTTACCACCTAACTTCAGTCCGGTACCTTTTCTACTAAGCTTATGACTAGGAGTACTTGCTCTATCTGTGCATTTACTTAAGTAGTTTTCTCTATCTGGTATGTTCTCTCTCCTTCTGTCCTTCCCATTCCCTCCTGTCAGAATCCTTCAAGGAAGGGCCCAAAGCTTCCTCTCCTCCTCCCGCTCTCATCCAGGTTATCTCCACCTTTTCTGCACACCCATGGCCACTCTTCTGGCATTGAGACTCTTTCATCTTATTGCATGGTTATTGCTTTACCGCTAAACTCCAACCTTTCTGAGAGCAAGACTAAATCTTCTTCATCCATGTATGCCTTGCAGTGTCTACAGGATTGTAAGCATTAACATTTATTTGTAGAATTTTTTAAATATGTTTCCTTGTAATTCTCACCTACTGTTCTGATGTCTTTACAATACAAATTGGACTTCACATTGCATCTTCAGGTTAAGTCTTTGAAGTAGACTATATAATTTATTCTCATTTTACATTTGAGGAGATTAAGCCACAGAAAAGTTAAAGAACTTGTCCAAAATCACTCAGTAAGAGATATAGCCAGAGTTCAAACCCAGATTTCCAAATCGCATAGTCTTCATTAAATTGTGCTGCCTCTTTCATCACACAAAACTTAATGGATAGAGGGCTGTATGTCTTGTTTCTTTAATTAAATTCAGAGATCCCTAAGATGTGAAATTAATCCCAATCTTAGTGCTTTTTTTATTTGACAAATGTGGCTTGTTATACAGTCTCTTCTCTATTTACTTCCTGATAAGGTCCTTGATGCAATGCCCAGTAGGCAGCAGACACTGAATAAATATTTGTTAAAGGGGATCAAGAATTGTGACTTCTAGAATTTCTGCAGGCAATCAAAGATTATTAATAAGAGAAAGGAGATGAACCAGGGGAACCAGAAGACCATTTGAAGGAAGATAATGGAAAATTTTCTTTTAGGTGAAATAGAGATGAGATAAGCAAAGCGAGGCTACCATTTTGAAATTCTCTCTGTGTGTAAAGAATTCCTACTCATGTCTCTGGTATGGACTTCTCACCATTGTGTTAATTTGCTTCAAGTGTTCTCTTGCTTCCCTCTGTCATTGACCCTGAAACTCTTTTAGGTTGTGTTCAGTACAATGATGAGTTAGTGCCCTTAGGTGACATTTTACCCAGGTGTTTCCCTAGAGTATGATTGGAGATAAAAATCTGTTTAGGATTTCCTTTGTAGGACAATTCAAGAAGTCGGAATTTTTAGGACAGTTACAGTCTGCATTTAAGGATCCTGATGGACAGGCTGAATAAACAAAGATAATTCAAATTTCAAAAGCACTATTCATGTATAACCCTTAGAACTGATGAATGAGAAAATTAGCATGGGCCTGTTGAATCAGGTTCAGAGTAAAGGCTTACTTTCGTTTATTTTTTTCCTCACCAGCTGGACCACATTCCCACACTAATTTCTCTTAATTTTGAAGACTTTAAAATGCCAACCACTACAGAATTCCATGCACATTCTATGTTTTTCTATATTCTTCCTTAGAACCTACTGGCTTTCAAATTTAGATAAGTGAAAAGTTCTGGTCTATAACTTTTCTAGAGATGAAGTAATTTCCAAGGCTCCATTTTATGTGTCTGCTCTAATAATTGGTTCAATTTCTCTATCTGACTGGGAAATAGCGGATAAAGAGTCTGTTGGGTTTAAGATAGCTTGTGATCCGGTTGCTGTTGGTTCCCAGAAGGTCTTTCAGCTGCAGGCCTCTCCTGACAAGACAGGAAAAACAACCCTAAATATTCCTAATTTCCTAGCCCCCAATCATTTGCACGCATGCGTGTATGTGTGTGTGCGCATATGTGTGCATGAGTGTATCTGACTGCCACTTCTGCCACTTACTAACTGGTGAATTTAGGCATATTATCAGATTTTGCTAACTCTCAGTTTCCCCAACCAGAAAATGGGGATGCCGATAATGTTATCCACTCCATAGGGTTTTTGTGAGAATTTCATAAGAGGATACATGTATGCATTCAGTTTAGTGTCTAGCTCAATAAATGTTAATTATAATAATATGGATGAAAGCAAGTTATGAATTATGAAGCCCCCTTAAAAAAGGAAATTTTGTTGGCTGTGCGCAGTGGCTTACACCTATAATCTCAACAGTTTGAGAGGCTGAAGTGGGAGGATTGCTTGAGGCCAGGAGTTTGAGATCAGCCTGGGCAACATAGCAAGCTACCATCTCTACAAAAAAATTTAAAAAGTAGCCAGGTGTGGTGGTGCACACCTGTAGTTCTAGGTACTTGGGAGGCTGAGACAGGAGGATTGCTTGAGCCCAGAAGTTTGAGGATACAGTGAGCTATGATCACACCACTGCACTTCAGCCTGGGCAAAAAAGTGAGACCCTGTCTCTTTTTTTTTTTTTTTTTTTAATTGAGATGGAGTCTCGCTCCATCACCCAGGCTGGAGTGCAGCGGTGCGGTCTCAGCTCACTGCAAGCTCTGCCTACCGGGTTCACACCATTCTCTTGCCTCAGCCTCCTGCGTAGTTGGGACTGCAGGCGCCCGCCACCACGCCCAGCTAATTTTTTGTATTTTTAGTAGAGACAGGGTTTCACCGTTTTAGCCAGGATGGTCTCAATCTCCTGACCTCGTGATCCACACACCTTTGCCTTCCGAAGTGCGAGGATTACAGGCGTGAGCCACTGCGCCCAGCCTGAGACCCTGTCTCTTACCACAAAAAAAAAAGAAGAAGAAGAAAAGGAAACTTCTTTAATGTAATAAAATTATGAGCATTAACTGACACCTGAAATTTTTCACCTAAAATATACATTAGCTACCAGAGTTTTCACTACATGTTTCACTTTTTCTCCAAGTCAGAATTTGATGGACTGTGTAGTTTAGAAGACTGATAACCCAATAGAGCTTGACAACCATCTATGCCAGATTTTCTATAGTGCTAACTTTAAATATTTTGTTTTGCTGTCCTCCTAAGCATCCTCATCTTTACAACATTTGCCCTGAATTTTGGTTCAGCCATGGTTATCATAGTAAGTACAGCACATACTTCCACTTGACTCAATGAGCCCTATTTAGTCAAGAGACTAAATCCAGGTCAGATTCATGGACTGTTTGCTTCACTTAAATGAATCCGTGATACCACCATTCATAAATGGGAATGGGCCAACCCCTGCTGGCATAATGATCAGTGGGAGGAGGAGTGGGTTGGGCACTGAGCAGCTGACGATTCTCCTTACTTCTGGAGGGGGCCCTTGAGATGACAGCATATAGGTGGGCAGGGCAAGGCAACTGTGACACCTCCCTGGGGTCCTTTTGGTGCCAGGGATTTACAGAGCCTCAGCTGTCAAAGAACAATAAATTTTCCTTCAAAATATAAAACATAAATCAGTGTTTCCCAAACACTGAAAGGCAAGAAGAAACTAAATCCCCATAATAATGAAAAGAATCCTGTTAATTAAATCAGCAAGGTAGAGAGCTTCCCTCCTAGCACACAGCCCAGCTGAACAGTAGAATACCTTGGAGACTGAAACTGAAATCCAAGCTTTTTCTAGGTTTCAAGCCAGCATCCTGAGGGAACATTCAGGAGAAAAAAATAAAAATCTTAATAACAGGACAAGTAAACACAACTTTTTTTTTTTTTTTTCCCAGAAGTTGTACTTGGACTATGTTTATCTGGGAAGGGAAGTTGCAAAACAAATTGTAAACTAGGCTCAGTATATTTGTGCCAACCCCTTATCAGATTTGCACCAGTCACGGAGAAGCTGAAGGCCTGTTGCTGAGAATTAAAATGCAAAAGAACATACACAGGATACTTGAGGAAAGGAGAGAGAGATTTCATTTCTTCTGATTATTTGTTTGTTTGTTTATTTCAGTCATAGCCTATTTCAATTTATTTGGCTCCTGAACATCCTGGCTCACGTTGTTTATAACAACACGTGTTGACTTCACACGTCTTTCTTTTTGTCCTGCAAAGCTATTGGTATAGATTTGTGGGGTTTTTTAATGCTTGGTTAATTGGCTAGCCTTCTGCGAAAGAGTGTGTTGCTGCGGTTGAGGAAAGTTGGAAAAAAAAAATAGAGGTTAAGGTTTCTTATGACTCTGTCACGTTTGGGAATTGAGGGCCATATAATCTTACTACCCTCAAGCCACTGATAGCAATTTCTATTCCCATCAGCCAGAGCCCTCCCAGGGATGAAAGCCACACCCTCTCGGCTCCACTTCAGCTTTTGGTTTTATTCTCCAGGCCTCTCAGAATCAAGTCACTTTCCCCCATCCTCTACTAACCTTCACATCAGTTTTTACTGCCAGAGGGAGCACTTTTCAAATGGGAAACTCAGAAACTGAGACCTCCCTTCAGAACCTGTCCATATTTGAAAATGCAAAAACTACCCAACTCTCTTCTAGACCTCAGTATTTAATCTTTCACGTAGCAATTAATCACATACCAGTTGTTGCATTAACATTTTTGAAAAGTATATTATGCATGTCATGGGACATATTTGCAGTATGCCAAAGTTCAGTCCGATTTATATTTGCCTACAGCAGAGATGTGTCTTGAATACTCTGGCACAAGAGTTTTCTTATTATCATCTGTGTTCTCCTTGGATTCTTACGCTTCTCCATCTTCCTTTGTCCAGTTCATAACCACACATGTACATCCTCAGAAAGATCATTTTCAGTACTGTTGGTGGCTAGTGCTGCTCAGAGACCAACAGTGGGGTGTAAATTTATATTGATAAGTAGAATTGGGGCCACAGCTGCAAGGTTGCCAACCCCTCAGATCCCACCATACCACCAATCGCTTTGACCTTGGAGGTGAGGATGGCAGGAAGAAAGGAAGTGGCCAAGAAACTATGGCTCATTCCTAGCTCTTCATAGGAAGAACAACTTTAAGTGGCAGCAAGTGGACACAATATGATATCAGTTTAGTTTGATTCTTGGGGCAAAGCAAAACAAGATGGCGGATCCCAGCTCAGTTCCAAGAGCTTCTCTTCCATGACCTCAGCTGGGTTGTGTATCATGGTCTGAGTTCTTTTCCCCAGGGTGTATTTTTTTCCTTCTGACCTGTGTGCTTAGGAGGAAAAAAATCTCCTTAAGCTTTTTTTTTTCTCCCCCTGAGTGTGTGAAGTCAAGTGGGATTTAAGGTCACAAGACACATTTGTGAAAAATAGGTGCATATGTGTGTAAATTCAATGTATGTGCATGTAGGCATATTGTAAGAAATAAGTTTTGAGGTTTTTAAAATTATTTTTTTTACTCTGTTCTATAATCTTTCCCATAGGACTTTAAGGAAATAGTTGCTTTAACATTCTGTTATTTGGAAACGGCCAGTAGGTGATGTAAAAGCTTTGTTTCATTGGTATTGCTAATGAATGTCTTAAGTCACAGATATATGAGTGGCTATTAATTGAAGTGGAATACCTGTTTAAGTAGAGGCTGTTAACTGTTTCCTAAAGGCCAAAATCTATGCTTGTTTAATGGAGAATCAAACTAAGTATCAATGTTATGCAGGTCCAAAATGTGTGTCCAAATTTCACTTTTAATTTTTTAAAATATAAAAATATAATCTGCAACCACATCTATGGATTAACTTGAAAACATCAC